>NC_000003.12:49403939-49706969 GCF_000001405.40 Homo sapiens | reverse complement strand
CCTGGCACAATCTTGCTAGACCCGTGGCCAGACAGTGAGGTCGGGAAGGGGCAGCTGCAATACCAGCACACCTGGGAGTAGACAGTGGCATGGACCCAGGCAAGACGGCGGCTCAGGTGGTCCAGCTTTTCTGAGAAAACCTTCTGGCTCTTGGTCAACTCTGCAAGGATGTCCTTCCTCTGCCACCCAAGGGGAAAGGAGGACAATCAAGACATGGCCCCATACCCAGGTCCACCCTGATCCTGCAGGCAGCCTAGGAAGGGCCCTCTAGTGCCTGGAGCAGGCAAGGGATTGGGCTCCATTTTTCAAAACCTTCTTCTGCCACTGACCCTCTGGTGACCCTGAGCCAGCCTCAGAACAAGGCCATGGTGGTCCCCTCATGACATGGAAGTGAGGCCCAGCTGGGGGTCTGTGAGCCGCTGGCCAGAGCACCCAGGGACCTGATGCCAGAACCGCTGCTCCCCCAGCTGCCAGACCCAGGGATCTGCTGACAGGTCGGGGTGGGTGGGGGCTGTCAGGGAAGCTCAGCCTGGACACACTGGGCCCCACCTTCCTGGGCTAGGGCAGCTACAGCAGAGGGCTCCGGAGGGTGCAGTGGAGCCAGGCCCTGCTTCCTGCTGACTCTGCAAGTGGCCGAGGAAGCACTCAGGGTCAATGAATAATTGATGAGGAGAGTGGGTGTGCTTCAGCACTTATTGGGCCCAGGGGGTGGGGGGCACCTAGGCACAGGCCACACTGGTGATGGGTGCCAGGCCTTGCTGCCAGCCCCACTCTCACTGGCGTGCTATGGCCAGGGCTAGAGTGGGGATGAGAACTGCCAGGGCAGCCCCCAGAACCAGACTTCATCTGTGGTTACCTGTACGAGTAAGCAAGCTGCCCCTCACCAAGACTATGTGGGCCTTACCCTCTTGGGGCACCGGCGGAGCTTGTCCTCTGTGTCCCTCAGAGCCATAGCGTATTCATTGACATCATCGGAGACACCCACCATCTACACAGCATGGGACCACATGTCCAGAGTGCCCCTTGGGCACTTCATCCAGGCTTCTTCAGACCCAGTCTGGACCCCAGCCCTGCCAAGGTCCCAACCTTAGGCCCAGGGCGGTCCCATTCCCACAACAGTCAGCAGGTCAGACTGAGGCAGCAGGAGCAGAAACCAGCCTCGCTGAGGCATGTGCTCCCATGCACGGTCTTGAACAGGCAGCCCTGCGGGCCCATGTGCACACAGGAATACACACACAACCAAACACGCACAACACCCGCCACCCAATGCGGGGTCCAAGAGTGCACGACCTTGCCCAGCTGCTGGTGTACGCTGAGGTTGTACATCATGACCGCCCCATCCAGGACTTCCAGCAGCGAGTTCTCGGTGAGGGGCTGCTCAGGCTCCTCGGGGGGCCGCCCCAGCAGCAAGCCCTCATTCCAGTGGCTGCCTTCAACTGGGGAGTTGGGGAGGGAAGGGTCAAGGGTAGGGCCATCCCGGCTCTCCTGAGCCTGCCTCACAGCAGGAGAGGAAATCATCTCTCCCATTCCTGTGCCCAAGGAGGGACCCGCGGGGAGCCCATGGGGGCATGGGGGTAGGGGTGGAGTGCAGGGCAAGGCCTGCGGTGCCAGGACCTATTTCTGCGGCATTGATCTCCTGCCCTCGGAGTGTGCTTCCTGCACTCCTGGGATGCTGCCAGGCCACAGGGCTGGGAGGGCATGGGGTGTATTTTGGCTTTGCCCGGATCGGGGACTGTACACTGTGGAAGGGTCCTTCGGGGACCTGCCTGACCCCACCAAGCACCTACTGTCCTCACGGGTCCTCTGCTCCACGCTCAGCGTGCGGACCTTCACTTTCTCCGAGGTGCTCAGAGGCCGCCGTGGGGTCATGAGGCTCACAGCCGCTGTGCTGAGGAAGCGGTTGGCTCGGCCCAAAGTTGGAGAACTGAGCCAGCCGGGCCGGGGCAGGGGCAGTGGCCCCCCAACAGCCAGGGCCTGCATGGGGCGCTGCAGTGAAGAAAGGCGGCCAGGACCAGGGCTGGCTCAGGGTTCCCTTGGCCCACGGGGCTGCAGAATTGTGAGGGAGGGTCCATGCCTCCACCCACAGCAAGGCACCAGCCCAGTGAGAAACCCTTTGCCTGCATGGAGCGGGAAGTGGCCCTGGATGAGACCCCTGCCCATAAGATACAGGATAAGCCCAACACAAATCCCACCGCCTGCCCCCACTGCGGCACCTGGGCCATAGCTGGGGCTGGCTCCTCATCCTCATCTAGGTCATCCATGGCGGTTGACTGGAGCTCCAGTGGGTCGATCACAATGTTGGCTTTGGAAGCAAGGTCATCTGGGAGGAAGAGCAGGAGGGTTCTCAGGCCAGTGGTGGCGCAAGGGGCCACAGTGGAAGTGCCCAGGACGGTGAGAGAGCCCAGCACACTGGGCAGGAGGCCTTGCAGAGCCCGGTTTAGCACCGTATCTGCCCCTCGCCCCTCCGCCTCCTCCACCCAGCCTTCACTCTGCATCTCAAGGGCCCCGTCTAGCTGCCACTCAGTAACAGGAGGCCTTCCCCATCACACCCTTCTTTTTCATTTATTTTCAAATTGACTTTCTTTATTCTACATAGATGTAAGCCCATCATGCCCTTCCTGCTGGTCCCTGGCTTTGTTTCCCAGGACTTCCTGCTCTCCAGGGCCTCCCCCACTCTCTGACTACTCCATAAACAAAAGGAGATGCCAGGGCTGCTTCATTCTGGGCACTCCCAGTGGGAGCCAAGCCTCATCCCAGGCTCATCCCCACCACCGTGCTGACAACTGACCCCGCCTTCGCTGCCCCCCGCCCAGGCCTTGCTCCCCGCTAAACGCGCTGTGTCCAAACAGAATTTCTCATCTCCACCACCTCCTGCAGCCCCTCTCCCTGATGGCACCCCATCCACACAACCTCTGGCAGGAAGCCTGGGGTCATCCTGACTCCTCTCCTCCACCTGTGCCCTCCCCTACCTACCTGGGCAGGCCCTTATCTCCTGTGTGGGGACACCTGGGCTCCCTGTCTCTCAGCCCCTGCACTCCGGCGTATACACTGCGGCAGCCAGAGAGAGGTTCTGACAGCACAGACCCACCCTTGTGCCCGGCTCAGGGCCTTGCTCTCGCTGTGCCCTCAGCCCTGCACCGGGGCAGCTTGTGCTCATCCCTGAAGGCAGCTCCGGCAGCACCTGCACGCCCCATCCACACCTCACCAAGATCCCTGGTCCCCTGCCAGGCACGCCCGACCCCTATGGCGTGGGTGCTGGCGGGAAAGAGAAGCTGCCCAGATGTAGGGCAGGCAGATCAGTGTCTCCCTGCCTGAGTGGGTGGAAAGACTTGGGCACCCTCTGGTGGCCATAGGATGGCTCAGCATCCACAGCAGAGCAGGCTCAGGGACAGTCCCCCACCTGGCCCCAGAACTGCTCCCGGCCCACAGGCCTGTACACACCTTTGAGGGTCTTCCGCAGGTGCGAGAGGAGGCCCCCCAGGCGCTGCAGGTCAAAGTAGTCCACCTTGCCATTATAGAAGACCTGGGGCGGGATGTAGGCCTCTGCGAGGAATTGAGGAGGCTAGGCCAGTGGTCACGGCCCAGTAGGAAGACCCTCCCCACAGCCCTCCCCTCCAATCTGGCCTAGCACAGCCTGGGAATTCTGGCTTTGGCCACTCACCCATCCAGGCAGACAGAGAAACTGTCTCCTGGACCAAGAAACAGACCTCCCCTACCTCTTCTCCACCCCTGCCATTTCAGGTCAGAGCCAGCAGCTGCATAACTTGGGGTGATGGGGGTACTCATGGCAGCCGTTCACTCAGGAGAAGCAGAGAGGCCCAGCCCCAGTCCTGTGGGATATCCCCCAATCCAGGGCAGGTAAGGCTCCCACTGACCCTTGGGGACTCAAACACAGGGCCCCCCAGCACCCACCCAAGGCAGCCCTATAAAGGACGCACAGAGAAATGGGGGGGCAAGGACGGAAGAAAAGAGCCCACAATGGTAGGAGCCCGTGGGACAATCAGAGCAAACACAGGATCGGCAGGCCTGCGGTGCAGGGCTCCTGCTGCCCCAGTGGAGAAGCCGCCTGTGGCTGGGTAGGACTCAACCAGGCAGGATGCCGGGGACAACTCCCCACAGCCCACAGCCTCAGCTCAGCACTCTGCACTAACATTAGGGGCTGCCCTACGCCTGGCTCTGTCCAGCCTCACTGACCTGGGACCCCGGTGCCACTCACCCTCACTGAAGGAAGCATGAGGATTGGAAGCCTTGTATTCATCCCAATAGTAGCGCAGGGCAGAGATCAGCCGGTGTAAGAAGCAGACCATGTACTCAGGGGGGCAGAGCATGGGCATGTTCTGTGGACACCAGGCATGAAACATGCATTGGTGCCAGTCCAGTGCCTTGCCCATTCCTCATCCAAGGCCCTGCCTGAGGGTCGAGGGTTAAGCAGGGAGGGAAAAGCAGCAGAGAAAAGCTTGGGGCTAGGCAGGGATGAGGCAGTCCGAGAAGTGCCAGGTGCTGAGGGCATGGCATGTGTAGTGCAGCCGGGGATCCACAGTGGGCTGGCCTGGAGGACACCTACCCCCCGGCCACTGGCGTTCTCCTGCAGAAACTTGCGAAACTTGGTCAGGAAGATATACCTAGAAGCTTCACCCTTTGAGAGAGGGAAAAGTGAGGCTGTGCTGAGCTGAGAATGCAGGCCCAGACTGGGCTGGCTCAGTGCTGCACCTTCCCCCAGCCCCTGCCATGGGAACCAAACCCAGTTCCCACCCTCTGGGTCTTAAGGCCCAGTGCAGCATCCCTCCCCACAGGGCCCCACCCAGGGCTCCTGGGAGTCACTCACCCCATTGTCATCTTTATTGTCCAGCAGCAGCTTCAGGATCTGGACCTGTAGTTCTTCCACCACTGGAGGTCAGGTGAGGAACATGGCCCTCAGGCTCCAGGAGATGGGGGGCAGGTTTGGGCCAGGGCTCCACCACCAGGGTTCCCCAAGTCCCACCTAGACATGGGCACCTCCAAGCACCCTCATGTGCACACACACACCTCCCACCCTACCCCGTGCCCAAGGCGGGCTGACCTTCGATGCGCTTCCTGAGCCGCTGACAGCCCCGTTCGTAGGCTCGCCGCCGCAGCCGCTCCTCTGCGGTCTCCTCCTTCATCTCCGTGCTCTCTTTGCCCTAGGCAGGGGTAGCAGGTGGAATACAGCAGGGTCACCTGGGACCTAGCCAGGCCTCCTTCACTCAGAACACCCACACTCCATCTCCAGGGCTTCAGGGACCAGGGCCAGTGAAAAGGCCTCATGCTAGATGCCCAGTGGCCAGATGCCCAGGCCAGGGGCCTTGCCATGACCTCTGCCCATCCCACTTGGGGTGCACTCACCTCCCTACTGGAGCAGTGGGGCCACCAGGTGGTGGGAATGAGCTCCTGCAGGCCGGCCTCCTCCACACGCAGGGGGCTCTTGATGTAAAAGAAGACGACGGAGCGGAGCACGTCGAAGCTGGCGGGTGTCAAGGCAGGGCTCTGCTTGCCAAAGGGCACTCTGCACACCCTCAAGAGTCCTTCCCCAGGAGCCCATCCCTGGATGTGCCTACCACAGCTCTCCCACCACCACAGGGGCATGTTGCTGCTATGTGTCTGACCCCCAGGGCATGCTCCCTGACAAAAAGCTGTGGTGGTTAAGCCCACCAGCTCCAGTACCCAGCAGGTGCACGATAAGGGCTTGTCACAGGAACAGATGACTGTGGGACAAGCTGGAGAGAGGGACTGGTGGCCTTTTCTCAGGCCCCAACTCTGACCTCTGTGTCTCCCAGCTTTGTGTCTGCCTCCTGGAGGCTGGAAGACCCCAGACCAAGAAAACGGCTACAAGCTGAGGCTTCCCAGCCAGGGGCTCAAAGCTATGCTCTCACTCACTCATGCAGTTCCCAACAATTCTGGGAAGCAGGAAGAGCTGCCTCCTTAAAGATCTTGCAGGAATCCCCACTGTGGAACATGAACAAAAGTGCTGGGCTGTGGCCGAAGAGGGCAGGCCCTGTGGCCCCTCCCACACCTCTGCGTAGCCCGAGTCTGCAGTCATTCAGAACCCCCTGGCTAGGCTGGCTGGCCAGGCTCAGTCCTTTGCTCTCTCGTCCTTGCTCTGTAGAGAAAATGCCACGTTGGGCAGCTCTGGTCCTCCTGATGCTCCCAGGGGACCCCTGGCCTGATGACACTCCCCTTCCTGGCCTCTGCTGAGTCCAGAGGGCACCCCATGTCTGGCCTGCCAGGCAGCAAGGAAAGGATACAGGACATTGCTAAGCAGAAACTTGCGGGACTTCTCATGCCTCAGGATGGCGATAGTGAGCCGCAGGTAATGGATCTGTGGAGAGGGGGCGTTCAGAGTGGACAGGCGAGTCCCAGGGGGCTCAGGGCAGGGGTAGGGGCTCCCACCTGTAGGCCCAGGTCTGGGACAATGGGTGAGAATCGGTACAGCCGAAGCAGAGACATCATCAACTGCTTGAGGCAATCTTGTACCTCGTAGTCCTGGGGGAAGAGATGCCAAGGCAGCCATGACTGGGGCCTTTTCCAAGATTCTCCCCGTATCTTCCCGACCCCAGTGAAGACTGACAGCCAGGCCTGAGGCCTGAGGTCAGGAGCCTCACCTCCATGAAGAGCCACAAGAGGTCCAGGACCTGGTGCACCACGGACTGTGCCTGTGTGGGTGTGCCCTTCTCCACGATGCCCAGCAAGAAGCTCATGAGCACAGCCTCCACCAGATACACCTTGCGCTGCACCAAGGCCAGGCACTGGTGAGGTGGTGGCCTTCCACTCTGGTCAAGGCACCCCTGCCCTGGCACATGGCCAAGGCACAAGCCTCAGGCACAGAGCCTTGAGCCACTCGAGCAACACCAAACATAGATGACCCCTTCCGGGGTCTGACTGAGGGACAAGAAGGCCATTGCCCCACGGCTCCTCTAAGGCTTGGCACACGCAGTTTCCTTGGCCTGGGATGTTATTATCCTTCAGTCTTCTTTCCAGGACATCCCCTGATGCCCTTGGTTGGCAATGTCCCTGTTTCCCTAGGGGACTGACTGAGGTCTGAGGGCCCTGGTCACATGGGGCCCTCGCCAGGTGATGCTGTGGGACCTCAGCACTGCAGCCCTCAGTGAGGGCACATCTACCACGGGCGTGTCTAGCATGGCCTGTCTCCTCCCCTCCCATGCCCCTCCCAATGCCGCTCACCAGAAGCGGTGCAAAGTGATGGAAGATGTGGGCCAGTGTGAGGAGGACGGTGGGCTGGCCCCGCAACCGCCACTTGGAGCTCTCCTTGTCCAACAGCCGCCCCTCCTGTGTGGAGGGGGAGGAGGGAGAAGTGTGAGGGGCAGGAGGCTGTGGAAGCCCCCCACCCCGCCTGGCCCAGACCCCAGCTCACCACAGGGTCCAGCTCCACACTCAGCACTGCCCGGAAGCAGCCCAGCAACCTCTGTGCCCGCACCAGGTCAGCACTCGGTGGGTCCTGCAGGGGCCGGTAGCCTGCCACTGGGTAGGTGCCAGAGTTAAGCCAGCAACGCCTTATCTGTGGCTCAGACATGCCTACTCCCTCTCCACTGCCCACCCCCCACCCCGGGGCCTGGGCTCTAGGGCAGGGCTGGTTTGCATCACAACTTGCCCACTTATTCTCCCTAGGGAGGATGCTTCACATTCCTCATCTGTTCAGTGGAGACAAGGGCACCCAACCAACCAGGCTGCTGCGAGGAAAGTTTTCTTCGACACTCTACATGGCCCCCCACTAACTCTGCAGCAGCCAGGGCCTGCCACCAGCCCATGGCACCCCTGGGGTAGGGAGCCCCTCATCCCAGCCTCCCCAAGAGCTTCTGAGCAGCCCACAGCCATCTTCACAAAATGATATCGCAGAGGACGGCTGCCAAAGTTGAAGGCCACGGACTCCTTGAAAGAGAGGCTGATGGCTGGGAAGTAGGCCATACCCAGGCCCCTGGACAGGTTCTCAAAGGCAGTGCCCAGTGATACACCGTTCCTGGGGAGAAGGGTGGGTCTGTGAGCCAGTGCTAAGCATGTGGCTGCCCACCCTCAGGCTATCAAACTCAGTCTGGCCCCTTACAGGGCCCAGGAAACTGGGGGCAGTCTGGGGAGGCCCCAGGGGCCAGGCCTGTGCATAGAGATAGGAAACTCACAGGCAGAAGGACAGAGTGCCATCATCCAGGTCAATCAGGCAGCTCACGATGTCCCCCGCTGCCCACGCCTGCCATGAGAGGAGGCCTCACCAGATGCACAGAAGCCCAGCAGCCTGCTGACTCTGAACCCCAGCTGCGTTTCCAGAACCACCCAAGGGAGACTAGCCACAAGGACAAAGGACCTGGGTCCCTGACCCTTCCCTGGTGCCCTGTAGTCCCTTATGGCTGCCCAGTGGCTCCAAATAAGCTGTAGTAACAGTCATGGGGCGGATGACCCACAGGGGCTTGGCTCTCACCTTGCCATAATTCGTTGTGGTCACATTCCACTTGCGCACGCGGTTGCCATCATAGGCATAGGAGTTGTGTGTATCTCCAACCCCCTCCTAGGGAGGAAATGCCTATGAGGTCCCTGGTGAGGCAGGCAGGGTCTGGGCCAGAGCCCACCAATCACCAGCCTTGGATGCATATGGCTCTACAGAAGGGAACAGATGATCTGAGGGAAAGAGTAAGAGGTATTCTCTGAGCTGGGGTGCCTGGGATTGGGTGGGACACGTTTCTTCTCCAGAGGGCAGTCCAGGTTAGTTAGGGTCCTAGGCAGTTCTGAGGGGATCTGGAGACCTGATGAGGCCTGTGGCAGGAGAAGCTCTCCCTGGGCCCAGGGAGGGGTCCCCTCCCCAACGTGTACCTCCTGGTTGAAGCGGCAGCTGATGGTGCACCAGCCGATCTGCATGAGCCCCTGGGAGGAGATGAGGACCTCGTAGAGCCATTTCCCTGGAAAGAGCTGAGTTAGGGCCACGAGGTGGACAAAGACTGCCTCTTGCCTCATGCCTGGGCCCTTAAACTTTCTCCTCACTACCTAGGCCACAGCAGGGTAAGGTCTCACCTTTGTACACGCATGTGGTAGAGCGGATGGTGCCAAAGTTGCTGTGTCCAATCACCTGGGTGAAGAAGAGGGGTGGTGGGCTAGCTCCCAGGCACACAGAGCATCTCCCCAAGGGAAAAAGACCCCATCCCCAACTGAGCCAGCCCTGGTGGTATTTGCCTGTGGCGGCCAACACTGCACTGTGCCTGAGGACGGTGGGAGCGGGTAGGCTTGTATCAGGAAGGATCCTGGGCCAAGGCAGGATGAGAGAGGGACTCAGGGCTGTGCTGGGAAGGGCTGGGGGCTGAGTCCACATCAAGACTGTTTCAGGGCTTTAGTGGGAGAGTTTGAGGACTGAGAACACAATGGTCTGGGGCCACGTCAGGACAAGTTTTGGCTGCAGCCCCATCAGATGAGTAGAGAGACTAGGGCCACATCAGGAGGAGCCTGGGGCTATGTCAGAAGGGGCTGGACCTGGGTCTCCACACCTCACCCTCACTCACCCCCAGCAGGTCATCATCCACCAGGAGAAGCCCCTCAAAGCCGCCTGTGTGGTCCAGGACCACAGTGGATGGGCCAAGCCGCCCTTCAACCTGTCCTGAAAAGAGGAGAGGTGGGGTCAGGCAGGGTGGAGCATTTGACAGGATGCATAGGGTGTCCTGAGCTCACCAGACGTCTCCAGGCCCGCTACGTCCCAGCTCTGCACCTCCCAACCCCACTCCAGAGGTGGCCACATACCCTGGCTTTCCTCCTCCTCATTGTCCACCTGTAGCAACTGGTCCAAATGTTCTGGCAGGTTCTGGAAGTTCAGGGGTTTCCTGGGGAGAGTGAGAGGCTGCCAGGGGTCCACAAGTCCTTGAAATCAGCCAGATGACACTAAATCCCATCCTTTCCCCTGAGCTCACAGGGGGGCTGCCTAGACTCCAGAAAAAGGGCTGTGCCTAGTCCTAGACTCTGGCATGCAGGAGGTCAGAAGGCCGAATTCTCCACTAAACTCAAAAGTATAACCAGTCCAGGCCGGGTGTGGTGGCCCATGCCTGTAATCCCAGCACTTTGGGAGGCCGAGGCGGGCAGATCACCTGAGGTCAGGAGTTCGAGACCAGCCTGGCCACATGGTGAAACCCCATCCCTACTAAAAATACAAAAATTAGCTGAGTGTGGTGGCGCATGCGTATAATCCCAGCTACTCGGGAGACAGAGGCAGGAGAATAGCTTGAACCTTGGTGGGGCAGAGGTTGTAGTAAGCCAAGATCGTGTCATTGTACTTCAGCCCGGGCAACAAGAGTAAGACTCTGTCTCAAAAAAAAAAAAAAAAAAAGTATGTGGCCAGGTGCGGTGGCTCATGCCTGTAATCCCAGCACTTTGGGAGGCTGAGGCGGGCAGATCACGAGGTCAGTAGTTCAAGACCAGCCTGGCCAACATGGTGAAATTGCGACTCTACTAAAAATGCTGGGCGCGGTGGCATGTGCCTGTAATACCAGCTACTTGGGAGGCGGAGGCAGGAGAATTGCTTGAACCTGGGAGGCGGAGGTTGCAGTGAGCCATGATCGTGCCACTGCACTCTAGTCTGGGTGACAGAGCAAGACTCTGTCTCAAAAAAAAAAAAAAAAAGTAGCCCTCTCTAAGTCTTAATTCCTTCATCTGTAAAAACAGAATAGTGACTTATGTTAGAGATGCTGTGAAGAGCCCAGGGAATAACAAGTGCTGTCTGCATAGCACATAACCTGTCCGCTCTCAAAGGTGGCTGTGCTGATGATGTCTGGAAGAAGAAGGCTGGGAGAAATGCTGGTTCCCAAAGTGGTCAGTACCAAGGCCACCTAGTCCAACCCTTGCCCCTAGGCCTGTGGTTCCTTTGGGGCAGATTCCAGTCTCGCCACCACCCAGCCAGGGGAGTCTGTGTTGAATGGGACATGTTCTGGAAGTATGAAAGGCTCAGCCCTCTGAGCTGCTGGATGGCTCTGTCCTGTACCCGCCAGTCCATAAATGGTCAGCGGAGCACATGACCCACCTACCCGAGCCAAAGGAGTTGGGAAAAATCTGTCTGGGTGGCCCCCTCATCCTCTCAACACACAGGCCTAGAGGGAAAAGGGTACTGTCTAATGCCAGTCAGTGCTGTCCTGAGCTCAGCTGCTAAGAATAGCAGGGAGTGAGGTGGTGGTAACCAGCAGGACTCAGGCAGAACAGAGGCCCATTACACACCTGGCTGCCCACAGGGTGCCACCACCTGCTCTTCCACCTTTAATGCCAGTTCTTACCCCACTCATCCACACAGACAGAAAGCTCTGGAAGGGGACAAAGGTTGGACAAGCACCCTGACAAAGTAGCCACTACCCAGGCTCAGGGATCACATATTCCCCAGTGTAAGCCACTCCCAGCCCTGAGCTGTAGGAGCAGAGATGCACAAAGGCCCCTCCCCACTGCTGCTCTGTCCCAGGCCAAGGCCAGGTGGTGGCTATGCAGTCGGGGTGCTCAGCTAGTAGCATAGAAGGCTAAAGCCAACCCCATCTCTGAATACCCCAGTGGGCCCAAGGATAAAGGAGCCTTCCTCAAAAGCAGTTACAGGCCAAGCATGGTGGCTCACACCTGTAGTCTCAGCACTTTGGGAGGCTGAGGTGGGAGAATCACTTGAGCCCAGGGGTTTGAGACCAGCCTGGGTGACACAGTAAGACCCTGTCTCTTAAAAAAAAAAAATTAGCTGGGTGCTGTGGCATGTGCTTGTGGTCCCAGCTATGTGGGAGGCTGAGGTGGGAGGATTCCTTGAGCCTGGGACTTTGAGGTTGCAGTGAGCTATGACTGTGACATAGCGAGACCCTGTCTCAAAAGAAAACAGTTCTTAACAAGCCCACACTTGGAGCAGCTACTCTTGTACCTGACCCCAAAAGTCGTGTGCCTGATCCTGAGAGCAGACTGCACATATCTGTGGGCAGTCGGCCTGAGACAGCCACCACTGAGTGCCTACAGCACTGCCCATTTGGCCAAGACCAGCAACTTCCCTGACCTTTTTGGATCTCCTAGGTCCCAGTTCAGGGCCCTGAATACCCACAACCACTGACTGACAGCCCTACCACCTGCTGTCTCTCCTGGCGGCCACAGCAGCAGCAGCAGCAGTAGGACCATCTCTGGTATCACATGAGGTAGGGATCAGATGGCTCTGAGAACAGGCCAGGACTGAGTATGGGGTGGGGGTGGGCAGGAACTCTCTGCAAGCAGGCACTTTCTGACCACCACAGTTGCTTAAATAGAACAGGTAACGTTGCTGCCTTTTGGACCTGCCTAAAGGGCAGAAGTCGTAAAAGACAGAACAGCTAAGGCTGATGAGGGGGTGAGAGACAGGGACAACCGTGCCTCACTGCAGGGAGGGAGAACCTACTTGATCCTTTGAAGAAGTAATCTGGCAACAGTCTTAAAAGTGACTGCAGTTCAAACACTCTAGCCACACGACTCCAGCCCTGGGCATCCTCACAGCATTGTTTACAAAAGCAAAAGTCCTTCCAAACTAGGGCACTGGTATGGGCCACAGCAGACCCCCTGGCCCTAAAGATGCTCAGTAAGATAAATTGATAATGGGGAAAAATACTCACGGGATAACATTTGATGATAAAAATAGGATGCAAACTTCTATAGACTTTTGGAAGTGAGGGACATGTCCATTACCTTGATGGTAGTGATGGTTTCACGGGTTTTATATATATGTTAACACTTATCAAATTGTACACTTTAAGTATGTGTAGTTTATTGTATATTAATCATAGCTCAATAAAAACGTTTTAAGAAAAGAACTGAAGGTGATAAATTTTTTTAAAGTTTTCTATACAGCATAATCTGAACTACATACATTATAAGATAAACAGACATGAAGTTAAAAAGCTTCTGCATAGCAAAGTAAACGATCAACAAAGTGAAGAGACAGCCCACAAATGGGAGAAAATATTTGTAAACTACCCATCTGACAAGGGATTAATAACCAGAATATACAAAGAACGCAAACAACTCTATAGGAAAAAAACTAATAATTCCATCAAAAGATGGGCAAAAGATACGAACAGACATTTCTCAAAAGAAGACATACGAATGGTAAACAGGCATATGGAAAGGCATTCAACGTCACTGGTCATCAGAGAAATGCAAATCAAAACTACGAGATATCATCTCACACCAGCTAAAATGGCTTTTATCCAAAAGACAGGCAATAACAAATGCTGGCGAGGTTGTGGAACCCCTGTATGCTGTTAGTGGGAATGTAAATTATAATAGTGCAATCACTATCGAGAACAGTTTGGAGGTTCCTCAAAAAACTAAAAATTGGTCAGGTGCGGTGGCTCATGCCTGTAATCTCAGCACTTTGGGACGTCGAGGTGGGAGGATCACCTGAGGCTAGGAGTTCGAGACCAGCCTGGCCAACATGGCGAAACCCCATCTCTACTAAAAATACCAAAATTAACTGGGTGTGGTGGTTTGTGCCTGTAATCCCAGCTACTCGGGAGGCTGAGGCAGGAGAATTACTAGAACTTGGGAGGCAGAGGTTGCAGTGAGCCAAGATCATGCCACTGCACTCCAGGCTGGGCAACAAGAGCAAAACTCCATCTCAAAAAAAAAAAAAAAAAAAAAAAAAAGGCCAGGCACACTGGCTCACGCCTGTAATCCCAGCACTTTGGGAGGCCGAGGTGGGCGGATCACGAGCTCAGGAGATCAAGACCATCCTGGCTAACACGGTGAAACCCCGTCTCTACTAAAAATGCAAAAAATTAGCTGGGCATGGTGGCGGGCACCTGCAGTCCCAGCTACTTGGGAGGCTGAGGCAGAAGAATGGCATGAACCTGGGAGGCGGAGCTTGCAGTGAGCTGAGATTGTGCCCCTGCACTCCAGCCTGGGCAACAGAGCAAGACTCCGTCTCAAAAAAAAAAATTTTTCAAAAAAAAAAAAACTAAACTAAAAATTGAGCTACCATATGATCCAGCAACCCCACTGCTGGGTATATACCTGAAAGAAGGGAAATCAGTATATCAAAGAGATATCTGCATTCCCATGTTTGTTGCAGCACTGTTCACAATAGCCAAGATTTGGAAGCAATCTAAGTGTCCATCAACAGATGAATAAATAAAGAAAACATGGTACATATACACAACGGAGTACTATTCGGCCATAAAAAAGAATGAGATCCTGTAATATGCAACAACATGGATGGAACTGGAGGTCATTATGTTAAATGAAATAAGCCAGGCAGAAAAAGACAAACATTGCATGTTATCACTTATTTGTGACAGCTAAAAATTAAAACAATTGAACTCATAGAGGCAAAGTACTGGATGGTTACCAGAGGCTTGGAAGGGTAGTATAGGGCTTGTGGGGAGATGGGGATGGCTAATGCGTACAAAAAAATTGAATTAATGAGACCTATCTGGTAGCAGAACAGAGTGACTATAGTAAATAATAATTGTACATTTAAAAATAACTAAAAGAGTATAACTAGATTGTTTATAAGACAAAAGATAAATGCTTGAGGGGATGGATACCCCATTTACCATGATGTGATTATTACGCATTGCATGCCTGTATCAAAGTATCTCATGTACCCTATAAATATATATACCTACTACATACCCACAAAAATTAAAAATTAAAAATGTAACACAAAGAAAGAAACAGAAAAGAATCACATTTGAATAGTCATGTTAAAATAACAAGATAGCAGGTGCTTTTCCTTCTTTTTTTAGAGACAGGGTCTTGCTCTGTCACCCAGGCTACAGTGCAGTGGCATGCAGAGGCCAACTCACTGCAGCCTCAACCTCCTAGGCTCAAGTGATCCTCCCACATCAGCCTCCCTAACAGCTGGGACTACAGGTGCACACCACCATGCCCAGGTAATTTCTGTATTTTATTGTAGAGATGGGGTCTTGCCATGTTGCTCAGGCTGGTCTTGAACTCCTGGACTCAAGCAATCTACCCACCTTGGCCTCCCAAAGTGCTGGGATTACAGGTGTGAACCACTGTGCCTGGCCCTCTAAGTTTCTGCTAAAATGTACTTGTAACTTTTATACTGACTACACTTAAAAGTATTAAACTTGTAAAGAAAAGGCCCTGGAGGAGTTTGTTCTTTACAAGGTCAGTCAGAAGCTACAAGGGGCCAGGCTGGGGCCAAGGTGAGGGCAGGTACATGCAGGGGCAGATGCTGGGTATGGAGTAGGTGCCAGGTGCTAGCTGGGCATGAATGTGCACCCGCTCCCTGACCTCTGCTCCCTGACTCTCAGAAGGAACTAGCACTGCCTGGAGACAGGAAGAAGCAGAGTACGGAAGGCAGACTCTCTGGCCAGAGATCTCGCAGCCAGGAGCACAGTGAGAACAGAGCCTAAGCCTATCTGTCCAGAGCCCAGGCTCCCTTTCCCTACAACTGCAGCCTCCTTATTCTGGTCTGGCCCAGCAGAGTGAGGAGGGGCCACCCACCCAGCCATACCTGCTGGTGGCTGCTGGGGGTGCATGTTCAGAAGAGGAAAAGATGCGGTTCAGGTAGTCATTCAGCAGCTTCTCCTGCACAATGCCTGAGCCACAAGTCAGAAGGGAGAAAAGGGCCACATGATCAGTGCAGCTCCTGGCCCCTGCTGGCCCCAGAGACTTCTGGTCCTAGGCCAGCCACAGGTGCAGCAAGGCCTGAGGCCTTTGTCCCTTCCTTCTCCTCCCAACAAGAGGAGCCTCCTTCCTTCCCTGCCAGCTCTTACCTGTGACCCTGGATTTCTCAGCATCTGAGGTCAGCCTATAGCTCTTGCGGGAGAAAGACATGCCGGCCCCCTTGGATGCCATCCTTCATCTCTCATGG
This sequence comes from Homo sapiens, assembly GCF_000001405.40. NCBI lineage: Eukaryota > Metazoa > Chordata > Mammalia > Primates > Hominidae > Homo > Homo sapiens. Next base: position 49,691,149 of record NC_000003.12, on the reverse strand, counting down.
GCAGCCAGTGGTCCTGGGGGCTGAGCCAGACACAGAGCCTGTCTACTCAGGGCCAGCCAGGGGCCCCCACACCTGACCTCAGTCCTGCCATGGCAGGAAGGCTTGGGAGCAGGTGAGGCCAGGGGCATGCACACTAACACATAGGGCAGGGGAATGCAGGGGCTCCCAGCTTCCTACACAGGGAGGGTAGCCAGGGTCTAGGCCCATGTAACAGGGACCACTTCTTGTTCTCCAGTGTCCCTGTGCCCAGCACAGGGCTGGGCAGAGAGCAGGTACTAGATATATTTTTGCCGAACCATAACAAAATGTCTCAGCTCTGTGGAAATCAGACCAAAATGTCCAAAGTGAGGTGTCCTAGGGGCAGAGCCCCTGTATCCATCTCAGTTGTAAGCCATACTGAGTCCAGCTCACAACCAGAAGCGACAATCCTACACATTCCCCCAAGTGCAGACCACCACTGGTCTGGTCATCTCTAGCCATAAGTCCCACTTACTCCCCACAAGGCTGGAGCCTCTTTCCTCAGCCCTGGGTTCCTCCCTTCTTTTATCCATGGTCCTGATAGTTTCACCATTCCCACTCACACATGTGGCCTCCCACCTCATCCAAGCACCACCCTTGCCCAGCCCTCATGGCAAACTCCATTGGTCCTCCTAGTGCATCTATCCCTCACATCATGTTGCTGCTGCAGCTGCTCCAGAACCTGCACTGAGTCCCTGGTGCTGGCCTCACTGATGTGTAGCGGTGCTGTCCAACACAGCAGCCGTCATCCACATGAGGTTACTTAAATTTAAAGTTTTAAAAATTAACAATTCGATTTCTCAGTTGCCTTAGCCACATTTCAAGAGTTCAATGACCACATGTGGCTAATGGTTACTCTGTTGGACAGCACAAAGGTAGAACGTTCCCACCATCATATAAAGTTCTATTAGACAGCGCAGGTCTAGAGTTTCGCTCTGCAGCACTGCCTTAGCCAGCACTCCCTACTCTGCAGTTCAGTCTCTTATCTCACCCCAAACAGACCCTCTACTCCCGCCACAAACCCTTGTGGGTCTGCACCACGCCTGCTCCTCGGGAAGGTGATTTTCCCGACCTCGGGCCCTCGGTGGGCGTCCATGATCGGTGCCCCTTCACTACCAGAGTAGTTGAAGATCTGATTAAACTCAGTCATTCATTTGATGAGCAGACCTTCCAGACACCCGGAGTGGGCTCCGGGAGTCAGTTGCTGAGGACCCAGGTGAGAGGCGGACCTTGTCCCCGCCCGGGGACTCCCTGTCACGGCTATCCCGTCCAACCCCGCCGGGGTATCCGGACTCAGAACTGAACCTACTCCGTCTGGGAGCCCAAGGACGGCGAGGGCGGCGCATGGCTCCCCCAAGTCGCCCCCGCCTGGCCCCAAGCTCCACAGGACCTGCCAGACCAGCTTCCGCTCGGAGTTTCGCACCCAGATCCCTGCGCTGCAGGTGCCCTCGCACTGGACTAGCCCGGACCGCGAAGGGAATAGCCGGAACCCGCCAGGCTCAGAGCCCTGCCGCCCCTCACTCACCCGGAGCCTCGGCCGCAGCGACCCGGCTCACAACATCCGCCCAACCTCTTGGCTACGGCGTCCGTTCAGGGCCAAATCACGCGCACGCTTGCGCGCTGAGCCTCCAGCCGCGCACGCGCACTGGCCCGCGCCCAGCCTCCGCTAGGGGACCCCCTCCATGGCTTCCCACCGGGTTGTTCCAGGCCTCAGCTTCGCCGAAAGGCCTCACCACCTCCGACCTCCGCCTGCTCTGGGGATGCTCCCAGCCCTGCTGCGGCAGAACGCGACATGCTAACCGGAATCCCTAGGCCGCCTGTCTCCTACCCATACTTAGAGGCCCCGCTCAGACGGTCCTTAAAACGTCTGAAAGGCCGTTCCTGCCAGAGTCCCTGCTACCTGTTACCTCCACCCCTATTTAGTCCTAGTGGACAGCCTCGCTCACCTTCCCTGGGATGACACTTCTGGCGGCTGAGATGAGCGAGCCTCTCTGGGCTCTGCCGCCGGGTGTGGGCTGACCTGCCTACAGCTGGGGCCTGATAAGGCAGCAGCAAAAGGGTGGAGGGGAGGCAGTGTTGAAGCTGGGGCAAGTAATTTTCCCCAATTTACAGGGAAAAACCGAAATTCAGAAAAGTTTAATGTCACCCAGGGGCTGGAGCCCAGACCTCTGGCAGCTCTCACTTTCACAATGCCCTTGGGCTGACTAGGCTGCAGAGGGGTTTCACCCCAACCCCAGGGCACCTCAAGTGTCCCCACCAAACCTTCCTAACACCTGTCCACTAAGCTGTACTAGGCCCTTGCAACTGACCTATGGGACCTGAGGCCTGGCCCCTCATGGCTCCTGTCACCAGGTCTCAGGTCAGGGTCCAGCAGGCCCTGAGCTGACGTGTGGAGCCAGAGCCACCCAATCCCGTAGGGACAGGTTTCACAACTTCCCGGATGGGGCTGTGGTGGGTCACAGTGCAGCCTCCAGCCAGAAGGATGGGGTGGCTCCCACTCCTGCTGCTTCTGACTCAATGCTTAGGGGTCCCTGGTAAGTGCCCCCAACCCTGATCCCCATCTGCCTTCAGGAGGGGGTTGGCCCCATTCTCCTATTCTAGGATGAGAAAAAAGTCGGGGAGCCAGAGGCTCAGTGGGCATGGGGCAGTGACCTTGCCCTCTTGAGCACAGCTGGGAAGCCCTAGGAACACATAGACATTGCCCACTTAGGCCTCTATTAGCACGTCTGCTCTAGCACTGAAGCAGTGTCAGGACCACACAGATGCACGCACACAGCAGGCAGTGACCCCTCCTGAGCCTGATCTACCCCTCTAACCTAGCATATGCCTTTGTGCAGGTGAGAGCCCAGATTTGGAGTCTGAATGCCTAGCCAGGGCCCCTGGCTGGGTAATGTGATGGCTCTGAGCCTTAGCATTCTCATTTGAGAGATGAGGTGGGGCAAGCTTCATCACCCACTGCTCTCACAGAGCGTATGTGTTAGATCTGAGCCCGGTGCCTGGGCCACTAAACAGAGGCACCGGTGATAACTACCAAGTCTGGGCCTGCTTCCCAGGGGAAATTTTTTTCACAAGTATCTGTGCAGGGGGCTAGACTGGCCCTTGAAAGTGCATACAGGGTCCATCCCAGAAGCCTTGTAGCTTTGATCCCCTGAATGAACAAAGTGTGGACATGCCAATACACATTACTGACATGTATGCCCACCTGACCTGCACCCACTCATGCCTACTCTGCAGGGCAGCGCTCGCCATTGAATGACTTCCAAGTGCTCCGGGGCACAGAGCTACAGCACCTGCTACATGCGGTGGTGCCCGGGCCTTGGCAGGAGGATGTGGCAGATGCTGAAGAGTGTGCTGGTCGCTGTGGGCCCTTAATGGACTGCCGGTGAGTGGCCACTGGGCCTAGATAAGACTGGGGGCAGGGAAGCCTGGGCTGTGGCGTTACCCTGTGCCTTCTTCTCTCCAGGGCCTTCCACTACAACGTGAGCAGCCATGGTTGCCAACTGCTGCCATGGACTCAACACTCGCCCCACACGAGGCTGCGGCGTTCTGGGCGCTGTGACCTCTTCCAGAAGAAAGGCAAGTGGGGGTGGAGAGGGGCAGGGTGGGAGACAGGGGACCTCAGCCCAAGTTGATCTTCTGTCTCTTGCTCCCAGACTACGTACGGACCTGCATCATGAACAATGGGGTTGGGTACCGGGGCACCATGGCCACGACCGTGGGTGGCCTGCCCTGCCAGGCTTGGAGCCACAAGTTCCCAAATGATCACAAGTGAGACAAACACCTTCCCTCCGTCCCGGCCTGGGGCCTTCCCCCAGCACACACTATAGTGATGCTCTGGGCCCTCAGGTACACGCCCACTCTCCGGAATGGCCTGGAAGAGAACTTCTGCCGTAACCCTGATGGCGACCCCGGAGGTCCTTGGTGCTACACAACAGACCCTGCTGTGCGCTTCCAGAGCTGCGGCATCAAATCCTGCCGGGAGGGTAAGCGGCGCCGGGTCAAGCTGGGAGAGTGGAGGGACAAGCCCACGTCCATCCACGAACCCACTGGCTCTTTGTCTCCAGCCGCGTGTGTCTGGTGCAATGGCGAGGAATACCGCGGCGCGGTAGACCGCACGGAGTCAGGGCGCGAGTGCCAGCGCTGGGATCTTCAGCACCCGCACCAGCACCCCTTCGAGCCGGGCAAGTACGCGTAGGCGGTATCGGCGTCCTGGGGGCCGGGCTAGGGAAGGTCCAGGACTCCAGGGGCAGGGCTCCGTGTAGGGCAATTGGGCGGGGCCAGATAAGCCAGAGTCCCAGGGTCTTGTTCACGCCCCATTACCGCCCCCAGGTTCCTCGACCAAGGTCTGGACGACAACTATTGCCGGAATCCTGACGGCTCCGAGCGGCCATGGTGCTACACTACGGATCCGCAGATCGAGCGAGAGTTCTGTGACCTCCCCCGCTGCGGTAGGCGGCGGGGACCAGGCCTGGGAGGGTACCTGGGAACCTTGGGGAGGGGCGTGGCTTGGCCGGGGAGGTAAGAGGGGCTGGGCGTGACCTGAGAGCATACCCCGTGGAGTACCGTACACCTGGGAAAGGCGGGTTTGGTCCCAGCCCCAGAGGGATCTCAGCTCTCGCTCGGGGCCCGACCTATCTCGGTCCATCTAAGGGTCCGAGGCACAGCCCCGCCAAGAGGCCACAACTGTCAGCTGCTTCCGCGGGAAGGGTGAGGGCTACCGGGGCACAGCCAATACCACCACTGCGGGCGTACCTTGCCAGCGTTGGGACGCGCAAATCCCGCATCAGCACCGATTTACGCCAGAAAAATACGCGTGCAAGTGAGGTGGGGGGGGGGGGCGGGCGTTGGGACGTGCTGCTGCGGGTGAGACGGGAGGAAGGTAGTCACGGGCTCAAGGCTGGAGGCTGGCGGGCTAGGGCTGAGTGGAGCGCCTGCTTAGAGACCTTCGGGAGAACTTCTGCCGGAACCCCGACGGCTCAGAGGCGCCCTGGTGCTTCACACTGCGGCCCGGCATGCGCGCGGCCTTTTGCTACCAGATCCGGCGTTGTACAGACGACGTGCGGCCCCAGGGTGAGGCCCAAGCTTGGGGGCTACAGAGCCGGGCTGGAAGCCTGGAACCGGAGGGCCGGGGCGAGGTCTCGGCCTGATGGCTGCCCGCACCCGCCACAGACTGCTACCACGGCGCAGGGGAGCAGTACCGCGGCACGGTCAGCAAGACCCGCAAGGGTGTCCAGTGCCAGCGCTGGTCCGCTGAGACGCCGCACAAGCCGCAGTGAGTCCCTGGTGCTCCCGGCCCCGCCAGGGCCCTAACCCTGGGGCGGCATGCTTTGGTGTCTGGGACCAGAGCCTGGAAATGGTTGAGACTACCCTGCCACGATTTTGCTCCCGCTTCCGCCTAGGTTCACGTTTACCTCCGAACCGCATGCACAACTGGAGGAGAACTTCTGCCGGAACCCAGATGGGGATAGCCATGGGCCCTGGTGCTACACGATGGACCCAAGGACCCCATTCGACTACTGTGCCCTGCGACGCTGCGGTGAGCACTAGTGACGCTTCCCCCATGACCCTGCCTCAGCCCCCACCCAAAGGCTGGCTCCCTTAACCCCAGTGAACTTTGTCTTTCAGCTGATGACCAGCCGCCATCAATCCTGGACCCCCCAGGTTAGGAGTTGGGCCAGTTATGGGTCAGGCCCTTTAGCCCACGACATCCACACAGTCTGGGTTTCATCCAGCCCACCCCATCCTACAGACCAGGTGCAGTTTGAGAAGTGTGGCAAGAGGGTGGATCGGCTGGATCAGCGGCGTTCCAAGCTGCGCGTGGTTGGGGGCCATCCGGGCAACTCACCCTGGACAGTCAGCTTGCGGAATCGGTGAGGCACAACTGCCTGTCTCCCACAGAGAGGAGCTGAGGTTGTGTCCTCTGTGGTTATCCCACTGGGGGCTGGGAATCTATCCCTGCCCCCAGAGGTCCTAGCCAGAAGATGGCAGGTCTAGCATCTGTCCCAGGAGTCTGTTACCTGTCCTAATTCCCCACTCCTCTAGGCAGGGCCAGCATTTCTGCGGGGGGTCTCTAGTGAAGGAGCAGTGGATACTGACTGCCCGGCAGTGCTTCTCCTCCTGGTGAGCCTCCCTTGTGTTTGGGGACCCAGTCTCATCCCACCTTCCCCCTTCCCCAGGCAAGCTAACAAGTGAGCCTTGGGGCAATGGACTGAGAGTCACAAATGACCTAGCAGAGCTTCTCTCCCAGCCATATGCCTCTCACGGGCTATGAGGTATGGTTGGGCACCCTGTTCCAGAACCCACAGCATGGAGAGCCAAGCCTACAGCGGGTCCCAGTAGCCAAGATGGTGTGTGGGCCCTCAGGCTCCCAGCTTGTCCTGCTCAAGCTGGAGAGGTATGTGGACAACCTGGGAGGGTGTGAGGTGGGGCTGGGCCTTGTGGCCTCAGACCCTGAGTGCCCCCATTCTTGCTAAAGATCTGTGACCCTGAACCAGCGTGTGGCCCTGATCTGCCTGCCCCCTGAATGGTATGTGGTGCCTCCAGGGACCAAGTGTGAGATTGCAGGCTGGGGTGAGACCAAAGGTAAGAGCACAGTGCACAGGACTGCTGGTGGCCAGGAGGCCCAGCCCTGGATCTTCCTGCAGGACCCTCTCCCTCTCCCCATTCCCCTCACTGCAGGTACGGGTAATGACACAGTCCTAAATGTGGCCTTGCTGAATGTCATCTCCAACCAGGAGTGTAACATCAAGCACCGAGGACGTGTGCGGGAGAGTGAGATGTGCACTGAGGGACTGTTGGCCCCTGTGGGGGCCTGTGAGGTTGGTGGCAGGGCCCTGGGCCAGCCCTGGAAGGGTATGGGGGGCTAGAAATGAACTATTTTATCATGAAGCAGGCTAGTCATTGCTGTGGCCCGGGGCCCTCATCAGTTCTCCTACCTGCCAGGGTGACTACGGGGGCCCACTTGCCTGCTTTACCCACAACTGCTGGGTCCTGGAAGGAATTATAATCCCCAACCGAGTATGCGCAAGGTCCCGCTGGCCAGCTGTCTTCACGCGTGTCTCTGTGTTTGTGGACTGGATTCACAAGGTCATGAGACTGGGTTAGGCCCAGCCTTGATGCCATATGCCTTGGGGAGGACAAAACTTCTTGTCAGACATAAAGCCATGTTTCCTCTTTATGCCTGTACAGATGCTTCTTAGCCTTTGCTTCCAGGAAATGTGTCAGTGACTCCTTGCTAGGGCTCGGGTGGCTTGAGCCCAGCACACCCTGGGCTAGGTGATCTGTCCAGCCTAGGGGCTTCCCCAACCAAGGCAATGTCCCTGGGACTACTTTTGCCCATGGGTGCCGTGGAAAGACAGGGCCTCACACTAGTCCTCCAGACATACTCTTGGGAAGGGTGGTACAGAGTAGTTGCTAATGGAAGGGGCTGCAGCAGGGAAGCTAGGCTGGTACAGAGTCCTGGTTGCCAGGACAGGCAGAGGCTAAGCCTCTCACTGTTCCCTCCCTTCTCACACTGGAGGCAGATGAAGCCCTTGTGGCTGCCACACCCAGAACCTAGGGTCTCTGCACCCCAGAGTGGGAGGTGGGGTTGGGGATGGTTTGGTACAAAGTACCAGCAGGAACCAGGCTCTGTGTCCTAATTTATTATGACTACATAGCCCACATTCCTCTGCCCACGCATCCGTGGAGTCCAGAGCCCAGAAAGCCTCCTGCTGCCCTGCCAGACCGTTGAGCTCCTCAAGAGCGAAGTGTGGCACAGGCTGATCAGCTCATGCAGAATGGCAGGGCTTCAGCTGCCCAAGTGTGTGCGTAGCCAGAGCACAGCATTCATGAAGCTGTCTGACTCCACCTCCACCTCTGATAATGCGTGGGTGCTTTTGGGATAGAGCAGGAGCCTGTAGGGATTAGTCAGCAACATTTAAGGTTGGAGGGTCCTCCTGTGCTCACCTGCCCACCAGCTGCCAGGGCCTTCATGCTGCACTCACCGAACAGGCACATTCCGGGTCTTGAGGGCACGGTAATACTCCATGCCCTGCTTGAAGGGCACACGCCGGTCCTCCTGGCCCAACATCAGTAACAGTGGTGTCTTCACCTGGGTGTTTGGGGAAGAGTGGGGAGCTGTGTTGAGCTGGGCCCTGGATTCTGGATGGATGGGCAGCACACAGGGCAAGGAGGGGGCTGCATACCTGAGGGATGTATCTGATGGGCGATTTGTCCAGCATCTCAGCCCACACGCTGAGGTCTGGCAGGCAGTCACTGCTGAAAGGAAAGCCAGCCTCCACCACGCACCTGCAAGACACCGAGCTGTTGCAGCCCCAGGAATTCTGGGGCTACGGGGCTCCATGAGAATTTGAGGTAGAGGAGGGAAGGGCAGGGACCTGTGGTGTATGCCTACCAGTCAGGGATGTCAGTGGAGCCCAACATGGAGGCGATGTTGATCACGGGGTTCCGGGCCACGCAGGCCCTGTAGGTCTCTGGGTACTGACCAATCAAGTGGCAGGAAATGAAGCCACCATGGGAACCACCCATAAGGGCCACATGGCTTGCATCAAAGTGTTCCTCCTGGAGCACCTGTTCCACTGCAAACTGCAGGGTGGGACAAAGCATGCTGCAGCCAGCTGCCCGCTCAGCTGAATGGAGGCATCCCCCTGGCAGCCCATGTTTCAGCCTGTCCAGAAGCCCCAGCCCCTGCTACCTGGACATCCTTCACATCCTGGTGGCCCACATTGCCTGGGAGGGAGAGGATGCTGTCCTGGCCAAAGCCCGTGGAGCCACGATAGTTCACTGAGGGCAGGGAGGGACCAGACAGTGTAGTCAGGCAACATTCCCAGCCCCCTCGACGCTCTTTTCACACATCTGTGAAGTAGGCCCTGGGGCCAGCTATACCACAGACTGTCAAGGGGTCAAGGGGAAGGGACTCAGAGATTTGAGGCTGCCACCCAGTGACCACAGCGCCCTTTCCTTGGAAGTCCCGAGTTAGTCCTTGTTATCACTATGCCACAGAACCAGAGGCTGGGCCCCAGCAGTTCCTGGTAGTGGTTACTAGGTCTAGGCTAGAGAAAGTCCTGGAGACTAGAGTGGCACCCATGGTACTTATACAAACCAGGTCCACCCCCGTCACTCCACTGTAGTCCTAACAGAACTGTGGGTCCCTGCTCACTCACCTAGTAGTACCGCAAAGCCCATCTTGCAAAGCATGGCTGGGAACAGCATCCAGGCAGTGACAAAGGATGAATGGGGCCCCCCTGCAGACAGGGAGCGGAGGGTGAAAGGGCCAGCTAGGAAGAGGGCTGGGAGGGCAAGGGCTCTTAACGCCAGATGCCTACCGTGGGGCATGACCACCATGGGCACTTGGGTCTTATCTGGAGGGCTGCCAGGCTGCAGCAGGATTGCTTCAAAGTCAAGGCCAGCTGCAGGGAGAGGGCAGCAGTCAGCAGGGTGAGCCTAGGGGCTTCCCCAACTAAGGCCCCATCTCTAGCTGCAGGTGTGGGGCTGACCTCTGGGTCAGAGACCTGGCCAAGGTAGTCCACACCATGACACATGGACCCCAGAAGGCTCATACTTCTTCTGCCCTCGTCAGGGAACCCCATCCTGCAGCAACAGCATTCGGGATGAGGTGTGGTCACTGAGGCTTGTATGAGGCCTATTTTCTTTGGACCTGGGTCTTCCAACCACAGATGATTTGGCCTGGTGAAGCCCAGGTGATATCCAGAGCAGGCGCTCAGATGTCTAGATGCTACTTCCCATGCCCATCCACAAGAGGAACAGAAAACCTCTTAGAGGTCATCACCAGAAACCCCACAATGTGAGAGAGGAGGTAGCAAAGGTCACCGCAGAGGCTTTGTGCTGGGGAACCTGGAGAAGGCATCCCTCTGCCCCTGGCCCAGCTCACCATACTGCACATTCTCTTGCTCTGGGGGTGGCTGTAGCACCCGGATGCCCCAGTGGATGTCGGGAATGGGCTCGGCCTCCTCCAGGGACACCCACAACACTGACTGCTCCTTCCCTGCAGAAGGCAGGAACCCAACTTTCTGCCAAGGGGAAAGAATGTGTCATAGGTGGCCTGGCTGCCTCCCTGCCCTTCCCTTCTGCCCACAGTGGGAAATAGGCAGCTCTCACTATGCTGGGCCCTCTACCCACCTCCAGAAGGTACAGCATGGCTTCCTGTTGTGGGATGGTATATACCAAGGTATTCATACTCATACAATCACACACAGGCACACCCCTCCCTCCTCAGCTTCTAGGCTCTGCTGTCTCCTTTGCTCTGTAATACCAAGACAGAGCACTTCCCCAGGCACCTTGTTTTGTACGGAGCAGATTCTAGCCTAGTAGTTCGTCCCTGTGAGTGCCAAACCCTCATGGACCATGCCAAGCTGGGCCTGTGTCTTGGCCCGTCTGTATGCTGACCAGCCAGGTCAGACTCTGGGGCCAATTCCCTGACCTGGTGAGCTCTGCCTGCCCAGAACCCCTGCCTCCACAGCCTGGGACCCACCGACACTCACCAGGGTTGGAGGTAGGCTGGGTGTGGAAAACTGTGCCACCATGAGGTCCTGGTCAATTGTGAGCAACTTCCAGCTCCCACCTGACCCTCCTGGAAAAGGCAGATGCCATTAAGTGCTTAGCAGGAGCCATCACCTTTCTTACCTGCTTCTCTGTAACAGAGTCCCAGGCTGGAGACTCTATGGAAAGGTGCCCTTTTCTCCCCGAGAAGTGCCTTTCACAAACACCCAACTGCACATGGCCCCGGGTGAGCCTCCTGCTCTCAGTCTGTTGTTCATCTGACAGACACTGGCTGGGCTGGGAACTGCCAAACCTTAAGACACATCAGACCATGCAGGCACATCTGCCTGTCCCTCGATGGCTGCTGTGTGCAGGGTGGCAGCTGGGACCGGGAAGTTGGGGGTCGGGGAGCGTGCTGATTTGGGGCAGTGGTGTCCAAGCAGTTGTACAATGAGATGTAGCTTTGGAATGATACTTTGGTAGCTTTGTGGAGGAGCGGATACAGTCAGGTCAGGTGGAGGACTCAAAACACATTTCAAAGGCAGAATCACCAGGCCTAAGTATGGGGAAGACGGGGGAGTCAACACTGGGCTTTTCCTGGGCCCTCAGGTGGCAGAGCTGCCTCTGCCTGAGACAGGCACCCAAGGTTTGCAGAGCGAGAAGGATGAGTCTGGCAGATCTTGATAAGAGAGAGTTTTGTGGGTTTTAGGAGCAGAGGTGGGGGCCGTGCTGAGGCTGGGCCAGGACACATGGAACAGAGTTGAGTGCTAAAGGGCAGTAGAGCAGGGAAGCTAGTCTGTTGGTTGGGTAAGGGTCTGCACAGACAGGGGCCTTGGGGACCTGTTAGTAAAGGCTGTGGAACAGTCAGTGGTGCTGAGTGGCTGAGAATGCCATCACTGCCCCACATGTTGGAGCTCCAGTCCCCCGCTGCCTGGTTGGCTTGCTCACCAGCCCTGCCCTTACCCCCATCCCCAAAGCCTTGCTCACCAGCTGTGAGGGAGGTCACAGTGCCCACTTGGGTGTCCACAGCAAACAGGTCCTGAAGCAGAGGCAAGGCCACAGGTGCGACCACATCCAAGAGTACTCCCTCTACCTATGGGTCCCTCCCCTACCTCCTCTCTACCCTCTTGGAGAGCCCTGGCCAGACCAAGGCTGTGGACAGCTATGGTGATGGTTACTCAGTGCAGTAGGGAGTAGTGTGAGGGCCTGGGTTCAAATCCCAGCACCATCACAACTTGCTGGGTGACCCTGGGCAAGGTAAGGAATGGCTTTGAGCCCCTTTGAGTTGGCACAAGGACCAAATATCACACCCAAAAGGAGCCTGGCACACTGTGAGTGGCTTTACTCCATCCCTGGGGGAAGGCCTCAGTCCTGTCCCCATCAGCTGCCATTACAGAGTGTTCAGGGACCCACCCGAGTGGCAGTCCCCTTGACCCCCAGCTAGAAATGCCTGGGAGGGGTTGCATCTCTGCCTCAGACGAAAAGGCCTGAGTTCTGCTGTGGTGCACCAGGGCAGCCAGTCCCCTCCAGGAGAAATGAGTCCAGGATGGGCAGGCAGGGTTTTAAGGGGCTGATGAGACTTTGTGGCTGGGCATTCCACCCAGGGGCATGCACATGCAACCCCCAGGGCTCCTGGGGGTTGACCACAGGGGCTGCCCCTCAACACAATCAGCGTCCCTCACCTGCCGGCTGCGCTGAGCCGAGTCAAAGACCACTCTCTGGCTGTCAGCTGACCAGCATCCCAAAGGCAGAAGGCTGCAGTAGATCCCAGAGAAGTTCTCTGTAAAGATAGGAGGGCTGAGGCTGCATCCAGGAGTGGAGGTAGGGAGGGTAGTCTACAAGGAAGGCTAGGGTACTGGGGAATTCACCCAGGGCCCTACTCAGGCACCAGTCAGGCCCCTGCAGCTTGTAGCACACATGGGGGCACGCTACGCGATGAGGAGCTGCCTGAGTAGGTGGCTGAGGGGCAGAGGCCTCTTGGGACCCAGAGAGGACCCAGAGAGGCAGAGCTCAAGAGCTCCAGAGAGAAACCATGGGTGCTCAGAGGAAAAGCACTTGCTCTCCTGAGTAATTCCAGTTGAACCCAGGTAGGTACCAGGTGCTTTAACCAAGATATCATCTGTCCGTCTTATCTCCACTGTGGTGCTTAGCACAGCGCTTGGCACAGGGGGCTCAGTAAATCCTACCCTTTAATATCATCACTCACTTAACACTCACTATGATCCTATGAGGCAGGCAGACACAATCACCCCTCCATGAAGAAATGGGAGCTCAGGGAGGCCAGGACCCTGTCTGAGGACACAGCTAATTTAGGGCAGAGCTGGGATTCATACTAGGTTCCCACCACTGCATCCCTGCAACCCAAAGAGAAGACAAAGAGGCTATCCCTTGTCCACTGAACTCCTGGAACTGACCGGGTGGCCTGAGAAAACAAGAGACTCATCCTTGAGATGGTCCAGGAGGATCCAAGCAGAGCTATCAACACTCGAGACGGGAGCCTCTCAGCCAAGAGCCACCCTCCTGAAGACCCAGCTGACTTCAGGGCTTAGACTGGACAAAGGTTGCTGGGGTTAGGATGGTGGATGGGATAATATCATGCCCTCGGGTCCAGAGCCTCTCGAGTGTGACATTCCAACCTAGTGCACTTCCTGAGACCCACTTGAAGGAGTCATGGTTTTGGTTTGAACCAGCCATTGGAAAAATAAGAAAACTCTAATTATGACCTGCAGCACAGGAAATAATACATCATCAACTTGGGCCACTCTGATCTCAGCTTGGTCCTACCACTCCTTGCTATTGAACTGTTCCCTACGGTGACAGCCCCGCTCCCTATGGTGACAGCCCCGCTCCCTGAGGATGCTGGGCATAAGGCTGGCCCAGCAGGGAGGTAGGGCCCTCAGAAGGAACCTAGGAAAGAAGAACGGGGCAGGGATGCAACAGACGGCAGGAAAGCAGAGCTACAGGCCCCACTGCACCCACCCAGCCAGGTATGCCTTACCTCCCAGCTGCCGAGGCACAACATCTACCACCACTGAGGTAACCTTGGTATACCAGTCATACTGCAAGAGAACACAATGGTCAGGTCCAGTAGGGGACAGGCAGTTCCCTTAGGGCACAGTGCCCTGTGCCTATCCCCTTTTGCCTCAGGTAGCCCCAGGAGATGGGGGAACTGGAATAAGCCTGATGTATCTCTTTTCTGGTGACCTGGACCAGATGCCCAAGGGGCCTCAGATAGGCATGTCCCTCTGACTTTTACCAGGGGCCCAGAGCTCTTCCTGGGGAGGGTCTGGGATTGTGTAACTCCCCACTATATCCCAGCCCCTTGCAGAGCCTGGCTACATGCAGTTGAGAGCCAAGGGGAGGAGCATTCTTGCAGACGAGCATTCTCTCAAGGTGGAATGCCCCAACAGTGCAAAGCTCTCCATGGCAGCACTCTCAACCTCTAGGCCCTCCTTGAGAGGACAGGCAGAACTCACACCGCTGCTGCATTGAGGACAGAAGGGCACCTACTGAGGGCCTATGGGGAGATGATACTGGCCCTTCAGCTCTCATCCACCATCCCATCTTCTTGCTGACCACCCTCCCATCCCTGCCACCTCCAGCTCACCAGGCACAGCTGGCTGCATTGGTGATGGGGGATCAGAGATGGGTACTGCAGGTAGACAATGCGACATTGGTCTGGGCTCAGCCGGGGAGAAGAGACAGCCAGGGAGTCATCCGAGAGGAGCTCTGGGCCAGATGGAAACATGAGCATCACGCAGGCTGGCAGGGCCAACATGTGTCAGCAAAGCACAGGTGGGCATCAGCCACTTACCACACTTCCCCCCGATGAGGTCCACATAATACAGGGCTGACCTGGAACCACGAGACAGACACTCAGTCTCAAGGCCAGCTGGGCTGCAAGGCCCCTTGCCTTGCCCCACTCCCTCACCTGCGATTGGTGCAAAAGCGGATGCCCAACCGGAAGGGCTCATGCCACCAGCCCACAAACACCACACCAGCATCTCCAGGGGCCCAAAATGCCTGTAAACAGGATCAAAGGGCAGGAGTGAGCAAGGGGTGGTAGCTCAAGAAGGGTCCCAGACTCCAGGGGGGACACAGGCTGTTGCTGCTGACCTGTCCAGGGGACACATTCTCAGGGACCCCCTCAAGCACAGAGATGTTGCCACTCTCGACATCCAGCACGCAGAGCACAGGGATGCTTTTGGAAACCATGTTTTCTCCCCAGTCTTCATAAAACACAAACTGATCCCCCTGAGAACACAAGATACTCAATGCCCAGCCTGTCTATAGGACCTGCTCTGCTTCCTAAAAGCTAGTGCCTCCCCAGGTCTGACAGGCACAGTATGGGAAGGGAGCACACTGAGCCCCAGGGCTGCCCTGCCGGGCCTTCGTGGATTGACCACGAGCACCTTGATGGCTTGGTCTGGCTTCTTCAGCCTGGCTATCTCATCATCGCTGGCACTGACGTCCAAGGCTTTGGTCTGAAAGAAGGACTCGGCCTTGGGGCGCTTCTTCTCTGCCACATACAACAAGTGTGTCTCCGAGTGCGACCAGGACAGGCAGCCAAAGCAGTCTGGGTGCAGGGAGGGCCAATCAGGGGGGGCCCAGGGCTACGGCTACCCCTCCTGTCCACCCTGCCTGCTCACCAGCCAGATGCCTCACCATCCTCATAAACAGGCCCATGTTTCTCCAGCGCTGACAGGTTGAAGCTCTTGAGCTTCCGGTTCTTCTCCCAGACCTGAGGACATCTGGGCATTAGGCTGTTTGCCCGCTAACAGAGCCTTATCTGTGGGGCAGAGCCTCTCTCTTGTCACCCACTACCTGGTCCCATGCAGACTCACCTCCAGGAACTGCTTCTCTTCCCCAGGGCCCGTGCCTCCAGCCTTGCGCAGCACAGCTTTCATGGTGCCTGAAGGAGACTCTCTGCTCAGCAGTCTGTGGACATGGGGTAGCACAGGTCAGGATTATCTTGCAATAACCCCTTCCTGCTCCCTACTGGGCACACCTCTTAGGAGAGATTCTTGAGGCTCTGGCCCCACACCAGCTTCTGGAGCACCTCTAGCCCCACCTTGCCTTTCCTCCCTGAGGCAGAGACTCTACTCTCTGCAACTCCCCAGGCCACCATGGGCTCTAGTCCAGGCTGAGTTTGGAGCAAGCTTCCAGTGCTTATCAGGCCATGTCACCAGAAACTGAATGAGCTCCCAAGGGGGCAAGAACCTGGCTGCTGGCCTCCCTTCTAGGCACATGGTGAGCATTCATAAAAGGCTTGCATTGCGGACGGCTGTGGCCTTGCCCACAAGCTTCCTCCCTCAAACTTACTCCCCCCGGGTCTCCACACTGTTGCCTGCAGGTCCTGCAAACACCACTGAGTCCCCGTCATGGAACACCAGGTATTGGCGGCAGAATCGAATGTTCTCCATGCGTTCCAGGTCCCTCTGGGTCCACTCTGTGAGGGGAGGCATGAGACTGCTCACCTTGTCTTGGCTACTCCTGGCTACTGCCCCCAGCCCCACCTGACCCAGGAAGGCCTAGATCTATCTTCCCCAATCTCTCAATCTGTCTCCAGACACTGACACCCTGGCTGCAGGCTGGACAACACTTGGCCACAACCCTAGTCCAGGCCTCCAGAGCCTGAGCTGACAGCCTCTTTGAGAGAACCCCCTAGTAACCCCAGCATCCACCCTGGAATCTTGAGGGCAGCCTGGCATGTGTATGGGATGGCGTGTTGGTGGAGAGCCCTACAAGGTCCACGCCCTGAGCCCAGGTTTGACTTCTACCCCTACGCCGTCATCTCGTGCACTCATGGCCGCCATTCGATAACGCCCCGCACGCCCCCTCCCCCCCTCCACACACCTGTGTGCAGGGACCTGTGGGAGTGTAACCTCCAAGTCCAGGCCGGCTCCCTATATACCCTTACGCACTGTCAAGCAGCGAGCCCTCCACACCCCCTTCCTTCCCACCCCAGTGCGCGACCCCGTCGCCAGCCAGTTCCCCTTCGCACACACACCAGTGTGCACCGTCCGGTATTGGCCGCCGTACTGCGTGGTGACCTCCGGGCCCAGGCAGGCGGCGCTCAGCGCGGGCTGGCGGCTAAGGCCCCGATACAGAGCCGCCGCCTCCTCGGGCTCGCTCAGCAGCACCTGCGCAGGGGACACACCAGGGTCAGGCCCGGCCCGGGCTGCAGGGACCACGGGGACCGCGGGCCGAGCCCTCACCTGACGTTCCATAGTCTCCTCTCTGCCGCCGGGGCGAGGCGGGGCGTGCTCGCGCCCGGAAGTGAGGCTTCCGGGGGCGGAGCCTGGGACGGCCCGGGCTGTCTCCGCCCCTGCCCTGCGGCAATCTGTGAGGGGCGGGGCCTTCGGCTAATGGGTGAGGACCGTTGGCAGGGGGCGGGCCTTGACGGTGAGAGGACCCGGCCTGGGAGCGAGAAGTCCTGGGTGGGTGAGAGCAGGGGTCTCGCCAGGGGCGGACTAGCCAAGTGGGGGGCGGGGCCGTGGGCTGAGTCCTGGGCCTCTTACCGAGGGGCGAGGCGTTGGATCTCGGAGGAGAGGGGGCGGCCCTGTGGAAGCGGAACCCGGGAGCCCGGCTTCGGGGAGGGTAGAAGGGCCTACGAGAGAAGGGGTTGAGGGGGTGCTGCAAGGCGGAAGCAGCGCGGTCGGACGGGCATGGCCCAAGCACGCGAAGGGCGGGGCCCGAGGGGAATGGGACCAATGAGTCTTTGAGGATGAAGGGCAAGGCGGGCGGGTCCGGATTGGAGCCCTGCGAGGAATGTGGAGCCGGGAGCCTGTGAGCGTGAGCGTGAGCGTGAGCGTGAGCGTGAGCGTGAGGGTGAGGGTTGGGCGGGGCGGAGCCGGCCGCAGCGTGGATCTCCCGCGGCTCTGGGGCTGACTGTAGGGTTCCTTCGGGTCCACCACGAGGCCGACATTCACTACACAGTGCCAGGCCCTGCCCTGGAGGGAGTTCCACGCAGACGAAGAAGAGAAGGGCCAGGGTCCGGGCGGAGGGCGCGAAGCAAAGCCCTGGGGTGCGGGGCAGAGGGGCGGGTGCCAACTCTTAGGGTGCTGCCCGGACTTATCAGTCGCCAGGCCTGCCGCAAGAGCTATCTATCCCCGCAGCCTTTACCCAGCCTTCTCAGTGGCACCTTGTTGGGGACCGTGAGCTGGTGGGTCCCTGCCTTCCTCCCCAGGCCTCACCCTGAGCTCTTGGGTGTGAAAGGCCTGGTGGGCTCAGACTCCACCCAGGACCAGGGAGCTTCCTGTGGAAAAAACCTAGGCAGGCAGGTTCCCTGTGCACGTGGTACAGGATTGGCTGGGCTAAGGTGCCAACAGAGATCAGGAGAGGCTGGACAGTAAGGATGTTCCCTCCATATACCTGAGTCTGGCTGGTCTTCCACATTCAGGGCCCTGGCTCCCTGCTCCATGGCGTGCTTGTGATTGAGAGTCCACTTGTCTGGCCTGTAGCTTCCCCTTTCCCATCAGCCGCATCATTACTTACTCAAGATAACTAGTTAAGTAAAAAAAAAAAAAAAAAAAAAAAAAAAAGTCCCGGCCGGCCGGGCGCGGTGGCTCACGCCTGTAATCCCTGCACTTTGGAAGGCCGAGGCGGGCGGATCACGAGGTCAGGAGATCGAGACCATCCTGGCTAACACGGTGAAACCCTGTCTCTACTAAAAATACAAAAAATTAGCTGGGCATGGTGGCAGGCGCCTGTAGTCCCAGTTACTCGGGAGGCTGAGGCAGGAGAATGGTGTGAACCCGGGAGGCGGAGCTTGCAGTGAGCCGAGATCGCGCCACTGCACTCCATCCTGGGCGACAGCCAGAGTCCATCTTAAAAAAAAAAAAAAAAAAGTGCCAGGCGCGGTGGCTCACGCCTATAATCCTAGCACTTTGGGAGGCTGAGGCGGGTGGATCACCTGAGGCCAGGAGTTCGGGATCAGCTTGGCCAACATGGAGAAACCCTGTCTCTACTAAAAATACAAAAATTAGCCGGGCTGGGTGGCACGCGCCTGTAATCCCAGCTACTCGGGAGGCTGAGGCAGGAGAATCGCTTGAACCTGGGAAGTGGAGGTTGCAGTGAGCCGAGATCATGCCACTGCACTCCAGCCTGGGCAACAAGAGTGAAACTCCGTCTCAAGAAAAAAAAAAAAAAAGAGTCCCAACTTTCTGACGCCACTGCATTTGTCAGTATGTACAGGACTGTATCAAGGCCAGAAACAGGAGTAGAATGAGTGGCCCCAGCCACCAATTTGGGTGGAAAGATTGGAAAATAGGATGTTCATCAAGCATTGTTTATAATAGGAACACTGGGAACATAGTGCCTGTTCCTTAGATTGTGTGTGGTAGACTGGCTATGAACTAATGGTGTATCTCTCTGGAGGTTGAGCACTGGAAGACGAACATTTAAGTACCTGAAATAAACGTGGAAATAAACAGAAAGCTAGAAAACAGGATATATTGCACCTTCTGGCTTCTGTTTAAAATGAAGACTGGAACAACAAACAGGAAAGAAGGACACGCATCAAAATGTTAATTCTGGGGAGAGGGCCAGAGGTGAAGCTGGGATTCCTGTTTATCTGTGTTAAAAAAAAAAAAAAAAAAAAAAAAGGTCTAGCAACTCTGGGTGACTTCGGTAAGGAGGTACTCCTGACCATCTGAGGAAGGCCTAAGGTCTGGCAGCCGGTGAGAGTTTGGGGGTTGGAAAATTCGGAGCAAGGCAGAGAGGTGTAGGGCTTGTTGGCAGCACCAGGGGGCAGCACTTGTTCACTGCCTCCCTGGAACCAGGTCCCAGAAAGCTGTGTATGCAGCCAACACACCTGAAGGCCATGGAGGTGCTGTCCCTCAACAGCCTGCGCACTGACTGCCTGCTCCAGGTCCAAGCTTGGGACCTCCCCTTGGGCACCTTTGTGGAGGGCCCATTGTCTTTGGATGGCTTGGTGTGGACTCAGCCCCGTGCTGTGCCAGCACTTCTGCAACTTTGTCCATCCTTTTCCCTTTAACCATGGACAGGATTGTCGCAAATTTGGGGATTTGCTCCTTCAGCTAAGCCTTCCCACTTGAGAAACCATCCCAGAAACAGTCTGTAGGTTGTTTATATCAAGTCCTTTTATTCTGATACCACAGAATTACCTTGTCACAATACAGGGGGAGGGACACTGAAGTACCACGAGTTCTCACAGAGCACAGAAGGACAGCACACAATTCACAAGGTCATGTGGAGGACTCGGGTCATTGCACTTACAACTGTAAACTTGTTTGTTTGACTTTGTACAGCACTCTTCCCCCCTCAAATAAAGAAGGAGAGAAGGAAAGAAAGGGAGAGAGGGAGGAGGAAGGGGAAAGCAAAAACAAGACATGAAAGCTAGAGGAAAAGGTATTGAGTGGCCACCACTCTCCAGGGTAGTGCACTTGGAGAGAAGGAGCTGATTTGACCCCAGAAACTGAATGAGGCAGAAACACACACACACACACACACGCACGCACGCACGCACATACACACATGATCATGTGCATACACATACAATATCTCACGACTGCCATGGCTCTCCAGTGCCACCCCAGTGCACATGGCAGCAGGGCTGCTGGCACCCAGGGAGACAGAGATGGCATCTCCGAGGAGTTTCAGTTGATTAGGCCTGTCCCTCTAACCCTGTTGGAGTCCATGATGACAAGTATTTACAGCATGGGGGTGGGTAAGAGGAGAGCAGACGGGACAACAGGGCAGGACCATGCTGTCCTGGCAAAGGACCTGCCTGGAAAACTCCCTACAGGCTCCAGAAGGCAAGGCATAGTTGCCACCACTGCTGTTCTTTCACTGTGGGCCCTCAGACCACATGCTCTGCCCAAGGATTGTAGGGGAGGGCTGTCACTGTGAAGTGAGTGCACTGGGCCCTGAAGTGAGCAGAGAGAGGAGGCAATGCCCTTGCTCATGATGCTGGGGAGAGGGGTATGGAGAAGGCCTGGGCTGCATGCTAGAGACTCCTTGCCCATTTGGAGATGTGTCTGTTGCTCTCTACTTTCCAAGGCACCAAGTGCTGGTCCCTCAGCTTCTGGCTGCATTGTCCCCAGAGTCACAACTGCATCCATGCAAGGGCCAGGAAGGACAGTCCATGGACCAGAGGCCTGCTCCAGCCACCTTCACAGAGGGGCGATGATGTATCCTGTGGGTACAGTGGGGGATGAGGAGTGGCAGATGTCAGAATTTCAAACTCAGAGGGCTTGGCCAGAAAGGAAATTTGCTGAAAAGTCAGTACTTTAGAGCCTGAGACTAGGCCTGCTGGAGGCTGACCTCCTAACATTTCCCTGCCTGTTCCCTACTTCTTGTCCCATCCCCTGGCCTGTAGTGGAAAGGACTATTGCCTTGGTCTCCAAGGCACATCCCCACACAGACCTGGTCCTGGGTGGCCAGAGGTGTTAGGTGATGGCTTCCCTCAGCCCTTGCTCAGATGGCTGCATTCAGCCCATACCTGATCTTTGGGATGAGGCAGGTATTCCATGGGTGGGGTGAGGCCAAGTCCCAGAAAGGCAAGGGTGTTAAGTCCAACACAAAGGTTGGCAGCTTCCTGTCCCATCCATAGCTACCAGAGGTGAGCGAGGAGCCCTCTCTGAAGGGGTGTGTAGATCTTATAGAAAAGCATGAGAAATGCGGACCCCTGAGAAATGCATGGTGCAAACCAGAGCACTCTGGACGAAGGTCAGGCCTTGAAGGGTCAGGCAGGTACTGCCTGCCGCACTCCTGGCTCAATGGTAAAAAAGCTGATGAGCAGCGGGACGCTTGGGCTTTGGAGAAGGGGGTGAGCAGGGAGCATAGGTCCTGGGGACAGATGCAGAGAGGGTCACACAGGACCTTCTGTAAGATTTGCTATTGAGAAACTTCACAAGAAACTTAGCTTGAAGCCACTGTTTATATGAACAGTTCCAGATGACCACTGTCAACTGTTCTCACCACAAGTGCCAAAGGCCCAGCTCTTCCTGAGCATCCATTGACCCCCTAGCTCCAGCCCAGATCTCCTGGCTCACAGTCCTTTGAGCCTCCTAGCCACAGAGGAGAGGCATGAAACAGGTGCAGTCAAGAGCTGGGGTCCCTCGGGCACAGCCTGGCTCTGCTCTTGCCTCTGCCTCTCTGGCTGTGGATGCCGCCCAGCTCTGCCCTTGCGTGGTGCCCTCTGGGAAAGGGCTGTCAGATGCCTCTGGCTCAGGGTTGGGGTAGGAAGGGAAAATGACAGACAGACAGATATCCTACAGCAAACCTTCAGAATGTCCATACACACACATCCTGTGCAGGCTCCTACCATTGCGTCTGCTCTGGGGATTCCTTTTTACCTGCTGTCCTGGACAGAGAAAACTGCAGGGTATGTGGGGGCCTTTTACTGCCTGCCCTGCAGCCTGGCACGCTCAGGCAACAATTCTGGCAGGTCCTCACTAGCTTGTGCAGAAGTCAGCTAGAAGTGCTCCTGAAGGAGAGGTTCTGAGGCAAAAAGAACTCCAAGCAAGAGGGTCAAGCATTTAAAATGGATGAAATCGTGCAAAGAGGCTGCGAGCTGTGCATGCTCCACTGCAGGACAGGCGGTGACTCACCTGGCAGCAGCGAGTCCTGCCACAGGTCAAACATGCCACAGACTGAGAATTTCACACACACAATGGGAGCAGGGGTGGGGTGGGGAGGGGTGGGGGTTTTATGAGTGTATCTATCCAGTTTCTCAATTGCATGTTTGCAATTAACTCCTTATACATAACATGGAATTTATTAAATATTAACAGTTGTCATTGAGGGTTTATATTTCATTGCATAGAACGTTAGAGATGAGACTTGTGGCTGTGCCCCAGATGAAAGGAGGCCCCCAAGGGAAGAGCCCTGGGGAGGAATGCTGCCCAGTCCACCGGATGGATAGACAGTGCCACATTCCCCCGCACAGGGCTCTGGGCCTTTCCCTTGGCTGGCAGAAGTCCTGGCCCCTCTGCTCTGAGTACACCCACTGGTGATGGCTTAAGAACGACTGGAATTGCACAGTAAACAGAGGCGGGCTGGGAGGCCTCCCCAGACCTCGCCCTGGGGTTGTGCTCTTGGTGGCCTGCTGCCCCCTATTGCTTCTAAGTCAACATTCTCCCTGTGCTGAGCAGGGGCAGAGCAGAGAGGAAACCAAACCATCAGTCACAAGGTGGTGGTGGAGGGGGAGAGGCAAGGGAGTGAGCCAAGAGAAGAGAGAAAGGGGGAGAGAGAAACAAAAGAAAAATGTTTATGAGGTATACACGTAAATCAAACTGGAATGATTAAGGCTGTTCTTGAAATCAAAAGAAATCCCCAGGTGTACAGACGAGGAGCCGGCTGGTTGAGACAATGGCGGTGCCGCTGGGATGCTCACGATGGCTAGGGGGATGGCTTTGAGATGGTGGCAGTGTGCTAGCACGCTGCCACCCACGGGCTGGGAGAAGCCTCAGCCGGCGCCCACGCTGCTTTTCGGTGCTATGGCCTCTTATTTCAGCGATGAGACAGTGTTAGGTCCTAATGTTTGTAAAGTTCTCCCAACCCCTGGCCACATGGAGGTCTGCTCCGATGTCACCCAGAGGGCATGTGACGGGCAGGGCCCTGTGCCACAGAGGGATCCGGGCCAGCTGGAATGTGAAGGAAACGGAGCCCAGGGCCCCCAGCCCTCAGTCAAAGCCCCTCTCCAAGGCTGTGGAAAAACTTCTGGCATCTCGGAGGGAGGGCAGTGTGTGCCCAAACTCTGTGTATAACGCACGGGAAGCCTGGCCGGCCAGGCCGCAAAAAGGCGGCTGTGGGAAGTACGGCAAGACACCATGGTGGCAGGGTTTCTGGAGAGGGTTCTCCCTCCCAACAAGGGCTGTGCCTTGAAGGTGGTGCCCTGCAGAGAGCAGCATCTCTGGAAAGACAATCAAAGGTCCCCTGGCCAGTGGTCCGACTTGTCCAGCAGATGCTTCACCCAGGCAGCTGCTGTGAGAAAACATCACGTCCTCAACTGAGGCCTGCCTGCCACGTCCCACCTGGTGAGTCTTTGGGCCAAGGGTTTGCCAGATTGTAGATGCTTGAAAGAGAAAAGGAGGGAGGGAGGAAGGAAAGAAGAAAAGAAAGGATTCTGTCAAGAATTGTAGATAGCTGCTTCTCACCCTCACATTCCTCTCAGCCATCTGCCTGTGCTAGCGGCCACCTCCTCACCCACGGGGTGCCATGCCACTCAGGCTTGGGGAGATGGGTGCTTGGGCAGGTTGGAGGTCACAGAGAGGACAGCAAGAAAGAAGAATCAGGTCAGCCAGGAAGGGACACTTCTTTTAATGTAACAAAAGTTCCTTTTTTTTTTTTTTTTTTGGCTTAAGAGTGATGGAGAAGGGATTTGGTTTGAAATGGCAAACCTCTCCAAGCCCATCTCTGAAATTGCCGTAAAGAATTTCAGGAGAGGGATACTCACGGCAGCACTGTCCACTTGACCCAATCATTAGCCGAATGCTAGAACTCAAGGGAGATTTCTTTAACTATAAAGTCAGTGGTCTCAGTGGCCCAACCACACCATGTGGCAGGACGCAGAACAAAGCTGTGTCTGTGCTTCCTTTCCCTGCTCAGGAGCCATACCCTGGCCCCAAACCCAAGGTAGGTACTGTCATGAATCCAGGCCATGGGCTGTCCCTCCTTCCCCCACTTTCAGCACCACTTGTGATTTCACATCTGTTCCAGGGCAACTCCAAGGAAACATCAGCTGAGCGGGAAGCCGCAGGAAGCCCGCTGTGGGAGGGTGAAGGCAGGAAGAACGCTAAGGGCTGCACTATGGCTACTGTAATTAGAATAAATTCCAGGCTCCTTACTTGGCCTGCACAACCCACCCCAGCTGGCTCCCACCCCCTTGGACTTTACCCCTGACCACCTCTCCCCTCCACTGTGGCCCTGGCTATACTGGCCTTTGCCCTGTCCCTGGTCCCATCCCAGCATCCGATCATCCGTCAGTGCTGTTCCCTCCCCTTTTTTCATCCCACCGCAGTCGTCCTCCTCCCTCAAGCTTCCCTCACATATCTTCTGCTCTGAGCACTTTGTCTAGAGCAGACCCCACTGCTTCCATAGCTCTGCTTCTCTGGCTTTATAACACTCATCACTTTCAGAAAGTACCTTTTTAATTGAATTTTATTTTTAAACTTATTTATTCTCTATCTCCTTTAATGGATTGTCAGCTTCAGAGGGCAGGGACTTGGTTTTGTTCTCTGCCATATCCCCAGATCCTGGAAGAGTGCCTGGCACATACCTGGGGCTTGACAAACATTTGTTGAATAAATGGACGGAAGCCTGGGCCTTTCCAGGGCCCCACTGCTTTTCCAGAGAAAGGTAGCCTGTGAGGTATCACACCTAGCTCCTTCCCTCCCACAACCAGTGCTGGCCCGGGCCCAGCATCTGCCAGCCCCAGGGCTCCCTTGAAGTGACCTGCTCACTGACCGCCAGGCCCCGCCATGGATAACACATACATGCTTGTGCACCGTGAGAAGCACCCTGAAGGGGCAAGGAGGGAGAAGAGGAGGGTCCGAGGGCTATGGGATGATGGTCAGTGGTCCTGGCTGTGCACAGAGCTGTACCAACAGCCAGGTGATTCTCCTCCCACCCAGGATGATGCACTTCCTCCTCCTCCCACAGAGGCAGGGCCAAGGCCAGGGCCAGGGCCAGGGCCAGGACAGGCTCCAGGAAGTGGTGTCCCAACCTGCCTTGGCCACTGCAGCCCAGACAGGGTGAGGGCTCCCATCCTGAGGCCCTTCTGCCCTCTCCCTGAGCTGACTTAGTCTGGGGCTGAGACTCCCTTTCCTCTATGTCCCTTCCTGTCTGCCTCTCTACTCCTTCCACTCTTCTATCCTGTGGGCCACAAGCTCAGCCTGTGAAGCCAGGAGTGTTTTGACTTCATTCCCAGAGCTGCAGATGTGACTCTGTGGGGTTTGGGGACTCTAATCTCTTCCAAGTGGCTGGAGCAAAGGCACCAGCAGCAGACATCAGGGAAGAAGCATGTTCCCCTACAGGTGCCACAGACTACCAGGTCCTTCAGGATGACTTTGAACTCAGTGCCCAGCACATAGACTTCAAGTTGTGAGGTGCAGTTAGCCGTGCTGGGCTCTTCTCCAAGGGTGCCACCTGACTTGTCTGGCACCATCTCAGGCAGCTCTGTGGCCCCTGCCTCTGCGGGGTAGAGGGCTGCTGGGCCCATCGCAGCTGAAGGAAACCCAACAGGCCCTTCCCAGTTCACACTTGTCAGAACTGGCTAGCTGTCATCAGCCAGGCCTTGGCCCTTCACCCCTCCTCCGGCCCATCTCACCCTGATCCTGACACTCACTGTTATACGCAGAGTCCAGAGCTGCGCCCAGGCCTCTGACTCCAGAGATTTTTCCACAGCAATGATACCTCTCTTCATTTCTTCAAGAGCCTGTGGAGCATTTAGAGGAGGGCTGGAGAGGAGTTGCATCCCTGGAGGCCTACCTACAACCCAGTGCCAGCCCAGTGCTGTGAGAGCCCTGCAGGGGATGGCAGATGGTTTGAAAGCCAGGGCACTGGCCCTGGCTTTGGCCCCTCCTTTGCTGGGGACCCCTACTGTGTTGGCCCCATGGTAGGGGCTCTGTGCACAGTGTCCCTCCTTTTTCTCCTCCCACATTCAGAGAAGGGAACATTGCAGCTCTGGGTACTGAACCAGCCGAAGACTGGACTCCTCCCAGAGGACCCCTTCGGACTTAGAGCCCCACCCCCACCCCCAGTGCCTCGGGCCTTTCCCAGAAGAGGCAAGGTACAGGCTGCTTGTACTCACCATGCTGGGCATGGTCACCAGAATGAGGAAAATTTTTTGCCAAAAGCAGAGACAGCTGTGACAAAGAAAGAGGAGAGAGCCATCAGGAAATTGGGCCAGACCCCTCCCAGTCAGGGCCACTTGGCATAGTGAAGGCAAGCTCAGCCCAAGGGGCAGAGATTGCCCGGAGAACAACTGGGCATCAGCAGGTGGGCTCTCTGGCTGGCCTCTGCCTGGGTGACTGAGTCTGGAATCATCTCACAGACCCAGCCTGTACCAGAGTAGCCACCCACCACAGACCAGTTGCAGGCAGTGCATACCTTCCGTCAGTTTGCCAGCTTGCTCGGCTGCCCCGCCAGGGAGGATCTTGGAGAACACGCTCTCCCCATCGGCACCTGGCTGGCCGGCGGGAGCCCCTGGGGTTCCTCCAGGCCTGGCTCCAGCCTTCACACCTAGGAGGAAAGAAATCGCCATAATGAGCTATGCACGGCCTGGCTCTTTAGGGTCTAAGAGGGCAAGTACCCACGAGAGAATCTGAACACAGGTACCCTATAAGGTGGGAAGGTGAGAAGGAGGCTAGGGAAATAAAGAGAAGAAGGTAAGAACAGGAAGACAAGGGGTGGGAGAAGGCAGAAAAAAGGAGGTTGAGGAAGGGAAAGAAGAAGAAAGGGAAAAAAAGGCAGAGAAGAGCAGGAAAGGGGAAGGAAGGAGGGAGCAAGAAGCCATGGTCCCCACCCTGTGCTCACCAGTGCCTTCCTGCTTCTCTGCCCAAAGCTGCTTGGGCCCTAAAGCCCCTGTGCTGGTGACCTCATTGGCTTATTCTAACCCCAGGCTTGTTTTCTGCTGGGGAGGTCTACAGCCCCTGGGGCACCTTCTCAGGGATTAGTGAGGGCATGCAGTGTGGGGGAGCTCAGGGCACAGGTGGTATAGAGAGAGAACAGCCTGGGTGCTCTGGGCCACAGCCAAGGGTGTCAAAGGATAGGCTCACCTGCAGGTCCAGGTCCTGGTGCTGGCTGGGCCTGAGGAGCCCTCCCCTGTTGCGGTGCTTTGGCTGTCCCTTTAGAGCCATTTGTCTGTTCTGCCCGTGGCTGCAACACAGAACCTATAGCTAAGATTCTGCCCATGCCCAGCCTGGAACCAAGGGGATGTCCAAGCTTCATTCATAGCATCTTCCCTGGTTACAACCCATGCATGGGAGCTCTGCTTACCGGTCCTGCTGGTTGAGGACCTGTGGCTGTGCTGGGGCCTGGCTGAGGCTTCCCTGCAGGCTGGCTGGCAGCAGGGGCTGAGCCCCGGGTGGTTGGCTGGCTCTGTTGCTGCAGCCGAGCCTGTGTCAGAGCCTGCTGTGGGGGCTGCAGCCCAAGACCTTGCTGCTGCTGCTGTGTCTGTGGCTGGCGTGATGCTGCCCCAGAGGGTATTTGCCTGGATGATGGTGACTGTGACTGCTGTGGTCCTGGAGCTGCCTGCCGACCTTGCAGCTGCGGCTGCGCCTGGGGTTCTGCCTTTGACTGCAGTGCAGCGGGCCCGGAGTGGGCTTGCCGGGAGCCCTTCTTGCTGTCAGAGGCATGATGGTATGCGGATGAAGCACGGGATGGCTGTGAGTACTCAGCAGAGCTGGGATACCCAGGCTGACCCTTCTTCGGCATAGCTGGAGCAGAGCTGGGCTGAGAGTGGGGCCGGGCCTCATGGCGACCCAGGTCCCGAGCGTGTGGTTTGGCAGCACGCCGTCCCGGCTCCTCACCAGTGTGGCGGCCTGAGTGCCGCCCGTGGTCACCGTGCCGGTGTTCCTTGGCTGAGGCATGGCGGCCTGGGCCACCCTCATCATGAGGCCACAGGCCCTCCTCAGGGGGTTCATCGTAGTCATGGTAGCTGTGCCTGGCAGGGCCTCGCTTCTGGGAGGAGGAGGAAACTGCATGGCCCCCGTGGTGCCTGAACCGGTCAGAGCGGGCATCCCGGGGCTTATCAAACCAGTCCGTCTCCTCCTGGCCCAGGTGATACGCTTCAGAGACCAAAAACAGAATACCATCAACCCCCGGGCTAGCCGCAGGGGGAGGCCTAGCTGAAGCCATGCAAAGAAACCAAGAGAGTGGGTGCCACAGCCACAAGCAGATCAGCAGGCCCCCAGCCCACCCTCCCGCAACCACGGACCAGGGCACAGATGGAGCAGGCAAGGGCAGCCTGCCTGCAGCAGGGCCCACCAGATGAGGCGCCAGACCAGACCCTGCTGGGACATCTTAGGGCCCAGGGCCCCACAGGTAGGCAGGCCCCCCAGCTGCTGAGTATCCGCAGAAATCACCCCTGGCTGCCATTACCTTCGCTGTCGGAAACCACGCAATGGGAATCATCCAGGATGTAGCCCTCCTCACGCTTATATGCGTGGGCCCGAGGTCCGTCCTTGACATGTTCCTGGACATCAGGCATGGAGTGGCTGGAGCAGAACTGTGGGCAGGTATCCCCGCCGGGAGGGAGGGGCCCTCCGGCAGGGCGGGGCCTCCCCAAAGGACTGACGGGGCTCTCCTCTTCAGAGGCCTGGCTCCGCATGGGGGGTCGTACCCGGCTGTGGGCCATACTTAGGGATGAGGGCTTGGGGCCCGCTTTTTGAAGTCGCTCCACAGCCTCCCGTTCCCTTTCGTACCCCTTGCCCCAGCCACTGAAGTCGTGGCTGGACAGCTTCTCCCCACTGTATGCAGAAGGTGCCCGGGACCGGCTGCTCCCGCCATAAATGCGGTCGTCCTCCACTGCGTCCCGGCTGGACATCCCATAGTATTTTTGCTGCTCATACACGTTCTTCTTGAGCCCATAGGTGATTTCATCCTGGAACTTCCTGCCCCGAGAGACCAGGCTGCTGCTGACTGCAGGTGGGGGGTAGGACGCCAGGTCTGACTCTACGTCTTTGGCCTCTTCAATAGGCGAGAACTTGGATATCTTTTGCTCCATGCCCTGCTTCCGGTGCTTGCTGCGCTTTGAGGAGATGGCAGCTGGAGCCAGGCTCTTGGAGGGATGCTTGGGCCCCATGGGCCCTGGACCATACTTCTCTACTCGAGCCCCATGCCTGTAGTCACTGTCACCATAGTAGTGGGTACTGGCTGGTCGACCATTGCTCTCCATGCTCCGGAGGTGGCCACCCTTCCCGCGGGGATCGTATGAGTCCTCCTCAGATTCCTCTTCTCCTCTGGCATAGCAGCAGGGCAGTGTGGGCCCGTCAAGGACACCTGGTTCTCCAGGCTCCTTCCCTGGACGCCCACTGCTGCCTGGCCCCAGGGGCTCCAGCCGTTGGCTATCAGGAGCAGTAGAGGTGCTGTCCTTGGTCAGTTCACTGATGTCATCAATCATTACGTAGTTTCGAGGAACGTTCTGCTCCAGACTGGTATAGTGTGAGTCAGAGGGGTAGGTGGGGGCTGGGCTCTGGCTCACACTGCCACGGTCACCAGCCCGGGGCACCTCAGGGACCTTGCCCTGCTCATAGCCGCTGCTCACTGCTGGGCCACTGTAGCTGGTTTCAGATGGGGCTGAAGACATGGGCACAACGGGGCTGGCGATCACCTCATAGTTGGTGGGCACCTTCTGCTCCAAGTCGGCTAGCGATGTCTGGCGTGGCTTCTGCAGTGGGGCACGGCTATCAGCGGGGACTGGAAAAAGGGTGCTCTGTGTGGTTGGCATGGGTGTTTGGCCTGCATAGTGGCCTGTGGGGCGGAAAGCCTGCTGGTTTGGCAGGCCAGGCTCAGCTGGGTAACTGGCACCAGGAGGAAAGGCAGGAGCTGGGTACGTGCTGGGGCCAGGGTAGGTGGGGGCCTGGTGGGCTGGGAATCCGTTCTGAGTTGGCCCACCACTGCCTGCAGAATACTGTGGGGCTGGAGGCTGGAAGCGGGGCTGCTGGAAGGCAGTGGGACCAGAGGGGGTGGCAGGAGCAGCGGCAGTGGCAGGGAAGTCCACAAACTGGCCAGCGGGAGTGGTGCAGCCCTGGAGCCGCAGCTGGTTGAGCTCACTGTCCGATAGGTAGTCACGATGCTCGCCAAGACCACGCAAGGGTGGGTAGTCACGGCCACCCCGGTCTTTGGCCAAAGACTCTTTGCGTTGTGTGATACCCAACTCCAGGTACTTGAGCTTGGCGTCAATCTCCTTCTCCTCCTCATCCAGCTCTGCCTGCTTCTTGCGCAGTTTGGTGGACTCATGCTCCACCAGCCGCAGGTCCCGGTCCAGCTCCCGGAGCAGGCTGGCCTTGGTAGCAGGGACAGTGGTGGGCCCCGTCAGCCCTCGCTGCAGCAGGCTGGCTGCATACAGCTGTGGGGAGGCCTGGCCAGCCAGGGGAAGGTGAGCCTCCTCTGGAGGGGGGCTGGGCAGTGTCCGCTTCACCTTGCGGACCAGGCTGTTGGGTGGCAACGCCGACACCTGAGACAGAGGGAAGGGTGGGCAGCACTGAGACCCAAGGTGTGGTGACTTGATGGGGTGTGGGGTGGCAGAACCCAGGCCTGGGCTGGGGAAGGAGCTGGGTTCCATCTTGCTGGTGCCCTGATTTACCAGGCAGCCTGGAGGCCTACCCTGCCCACCCATAGGCCTTGGTTTCTTTGCCATAGAGGGAAGATCTGTGATTATTTTACAGCCCTTCTCTTTCCCAGAGCTTTGGGAAGCAGGAGGGTACGGGCAGATTCCCTTCATGCCAATGTCCTGTACTGGCCCAGCACATGGCTTTGAGAACCCCTGCACATCTCCAATGGGCCTGCCACCCTCTGCCTCACATTGAGGTAAGAAGAGTACAGCTGTGGCTCTGGGTTTGGGGCCTAGCAGCTGACAGGGGTTGAGATCAGTGGAGTATGAACAGGAGGCATGGAGTGGAGAGGGTCCTGGGCCCGCCAGGCTCCCTAGAGGATCATGGGAAGGGACACATGTAGATTGTATGCCAATCGTGGCAGGCTCTGAGTCATTCTGCATCCTGCCCTAGTCCTCTCTAAAGTGGAAGGCTCCTCAGCTGCCTGCCCACCCTCTTCCTCTAGTGCCCTGCACTGCCCTCTGCCAAACCCTCTGGGCTGTGCTCTTGGCCTGGTCCCCAGCTCCCTCCATGTCCCTCGGTCAACCTGCTGTTCTCTGGAGCCACCAGTGCACCCGTAAGTCCTATCCAGCCCTACCTCCAGCAGCATGGCTTCCTGGTCAAGGTTCCCTAACAGTGCCTACCATGGGGTCCTCCTTGCCTACCCTAGACACTCTGCATTGCCTGAAGGTCCACATTGCCTGGTAGTTCACTCTGTCTTCTCCCTTTTTCTCTCGCTCCTAGCCTTCCCAGAATGCCCCATGCCCTTGGGTTTCATGGACCACCCAAATTCCAATATATACTGGGAAGTGACTCCTATAGGATTCTTACTTTTTACCTTGCCAAGTAACTACCTAAAAACCTCCCACCTACATCCACCATATGTCATAATAAAAATTATAGTGTGCCCTCAAAATTTCAGGGTGGGCCTTTTATGGAATAAATTTAGCCTTTTGAACCCCTCACTCTGTTGTCTCTTTTCTTATTTTGGCCACGCATCATGAGTGCCTATCATGGCCTGGTCTCACATGGCCAGCCCATGGGACCTCTGTGCCTGCAGCCAGGACCACCCTGCCTCTCTGACCTGCCCTCCCTGCCAGCCTAGAGTCCTGATCCCACCCACACCCCTATATGGCCTGCATACACCAAGACTTCACTACCCAAGATTATCACCTCCACAAACCCCATTCTAAGGCTCCACTTTTCTCGTCTCTGTGTCACACCCTGAAAATGGGCAAATCTACCTTACGATGCCTCTGGCTCCTGCCTCCTCTGCCAGGTCTCTTCCTTCAGCCCACCCTCCCACATTCTGCCCAGGAAACTTTCCAAAACATCTGCTTTGTCCCATCTCACATGCCTAAAACCTCCAGAGGCTTCCAGGGTCTTTAGGAAAAGCCCATCCTCCTCAGCCTGGCACTCAGTTGTTGGCATTAGGCCCTCACAACCCTCTATTCTCACTTTGGCTGCAGCCCACAGCCAAGCCACTTCTCACAGTCCCCATCCATCACTGGCAAATAAAGCCACAACCAAGGGTAAGCTTATGCTTCTGAATCCCCTATCTAGGGGAGCAGACAGATGTGTAAACAGATTTACCGAGGGCCAGGTAGGGGCAGAGAACACCCTGGGGCAGAGAGCACACTGCAGCCCGCTGGGATGGGCCTCTAGTGCTAGGCCATAGGGGTGTGGGCTTCCTGTGTGGCAATGGAAACCAGGCCAGGACTGAGAGGACGAGAGCAGCCGCGCCAGGTTCATATGACTGATTTTCTTAGGAAACACCCATAGATTAAGTTTGGAGTGGAAGGGGTCCAGACTAGAAGTGAGAGCTGAAGAGGCCTAAAGGGGGAGGTAGCAGGGGCTGGACCAGGTGTGGGTGGTGAAGGGACAGTGCTGGGAGGAGGCTGAAGCTTCTAGTAGGGTATGTGGCTGGAAGGCTGTGGGGGCCCATGTGTGTGTCTGTATCTGCCAGGCTGTCTGCCGGGCTGCAGGCTCTTTCAGATGTGCACCAGGGAGCATCTGCTCATTGACTCTTTCCCCTGGGCCTCTGGGGCCAGAGATGCCTCTACTCCCACCCCAGAAGAAGCCCCTCCCTGTGGGGGCCCCTCGGGCTAGGCAGAGACCCCTGTCCCACCCTGGAACAGCCCCTGTTCCCATACCTGGCTACCCAGTCCCCCCTGGTGCTGGTAGAGGGAGAATCTCTCTTTGGCAGACTCTTCGGCGGTGGGGCTGAGGGGCTTAGGGTCAGACAGGGACCGCTGCAGGGTCTTCATGGGGCGAGGCAGCGTCTGCTGGCGGAGAGCGCTGTCAGCCGTGAAGTGCTTCTGGGGACTCACGTGAGCTTTGTTCAGCCTCTCACTGGAAGCAAAGGAGGTGTCCAGGAGCCGGTGAGGGGACAGGGGTGAGACTGGTGAGTAGAGGACCTGAGGGGACTTGGGAGGCTGGCGGCTCACAAGCTGTGAGAGAGACTCCGGAGGCAGGTGGGCCTGGTACCCAATCTCCAGGGGATCTGGCTTCTTTTTTTCAAATCTGCCCAGAGGCCCTGGGGTGACGATCTGGATGCCAGGCAGGTAGGGGCTGATGGCAGTTGGCCCTACAAGCTGCGGCCCGGCTACACCCTGGGCCTGCCCATCTGGCTCCGTCTGGCAGGCCAGGCTCTCCCCACGCCCAGTCTTCTCTGGCGCCGATATGTACCTGACGATCTCCACCTTGGGATCGGTGGCAGCTGTGATGTGGATGGCTGGAGAGACCCTGGGCAGCTGGTCAGGCTCCGTCTGCACGGAGCAGTCACTGATGGTCTGGATGCCCACGCTGCTCATGGCCCTCACAGTGGCAGCAGCACTGGATGATGAGGCAGTGGCATCGTGCTTGCTGTCAGAGCCTGAGTCTGAGTGGCGGGGAAGACGAGACCTGCGGCGGCGCACTGGCTGCTCCCACTCAGCACTGTCTTCGTCGTCCGTCTGCACACTGCAGTCAGCACTCCGCCGTGCCCGGCGTCGCCGACTCAAGAGGTAGCGGCTCTCCCCATCCTCATCGTCTGTCTGCACGCTGCTGTCGGCAATCCTCCTGACCACACAGGGCTCAGTCCCAGACTCTAGCTCACAGGCATCCCGCAGGCGTGGCATGGAGTGCCGCTTCTTGATGCCACTACGGCTGGCCTCCCACTGCTCCTCCGTTTGCAGTGACATGTCTGAGGCAGAGCTGGGGAGACCCCGGTGCAGCACAGGCTCACGAGGCTGCCCAAGTCCTTCAGGCCCTGCCATGGCAATGAAGGCTGCATGTGTAAGGGGGGGCCAATACTGGCCATTCTGGGCCAACTCAGCAGCCGCTAGGGGAGGCCCTCGGCCAGGTGCCTCACAGGCTGCAGGAAAGGGAGCCTTCTGCCGCTGCTTCTGCTCCTCTAGCTGCTGCTGCAGCTGCTGCTGCAGCTGCTGGATCTGCTCCAGCTGCAGACGCTGCTGCGCTAGCTGTTCCCGCTGCAGTGCAAATTGAGCCTGGCGTTCCTCTTGCTGCTGCTGCAGCACATGGTGCTTGATGGTCTGCAGCTCCTGCAACTCCCGCTGCACCAGCAGCTGCTCCTCCTCACGGTGCCTCTGCAGCTCCACACGTTCCCGCTCTAGCTCCTCTTGCAGCCGAAGTTGTCGCAGCTTCTCCAACTCCACCCGCTCCCGCTCTAGCTGGAGCAGCTGCTCCTGTTGCTTCCGCTGCCTCTCCTCCTGTGATGCTTCCTCTTTCTCGAACCCTGGCCGGCTGAGGGCCCCACTGCCACCCCCAGGAGCAGCATCTGCTGGTGGCTTCTGGCCAGCTAGTGGGGCAGGAGCTGGGGCTCCTGCAGCCTCCTTGATGGCAGCAGGGGTGGTTGTGGGAAGAGGCTCTTCCCGTGCAGCCCCTACTGGCATCTCTGGCCTTGAAGGGCCCCCAGCCCCAGGGGCCTTGGCAGCAGCAGGTTTCCCCAGATAGACAGGCCCTTCTGCAGGTGGAACACTGGAAGCAATGGGAAATCTACTTGGTGCAGGATAGCGGTACAGCCCTGTGGGTCCAAGAGGTACCCGGGGGGCAATCATGGGCACACGTGTCAGACTGGTGAGTGGCACGGCTGTGATTCCACCAGATGCGTAAGGCCTGTACATGCCACCACGCACCATGGGCCGCAGGACTGAGGCAGGCTGGGTGGTGATGGGCAGTGTTGCAGCAATTGGGGTATTGATAGTCGAGTAGATCATGCCATCAGCTGCACGTACAGTGGCTGTGGACGGCAGCAGCTGTCTGACTGCTGTTCCTTGGCCTGCTGCAGGCCCATACTGGGCCAAGTTCCCAGGACTTGGGTGGCCCTCTGGAAAGGTGGGGTTACCAAGGAGTCCAGGTCTGAGGGGAACCAGACTCTGTGGAGCACTGAGCCCGGGCCCGTGCTGGGGCTGGTACTGCACAAGGTCAGGGCCACCACCACCACTGCCATGCCGCCCACCATACTGGTCCATGGAGTTGAGGGCAGCGCACATGCGACTGATTTCACGGGCTGTGGTGGCACTGTACTGGGCCAGGCTGGCCTCCTGGAAGCCAACTGCATCTCCCCGTGGGCCGTACCTGTGGTCTGAGTAGATGTTCGACACTGAGCTATAGCGCCGCATGGGAAGCGGGTGAGCCAAAAGGTCTGTAGGATGACGCAGGTCCGTGACTGAGCCATACTGCAAGCCCTGCCCTAGGTAGCGTCCATCCGCAAAGCCCAGGCTGTAGGAGTGCTTCAGTGAGCTGAGGTCCATAGCCGAGTCTCGTCCAGGACCCTGGAAGAGCTGCCCGATCCTCTGGGCATGGTAGTTGAGGCCAGCCTCAGCCAAATTGGTGTCAGACATGGAGGAGTACAGCCTACCAGGCAGGCCTTGTGGGTAGGGCCTCTGCTCCTCATGGGGCCCAGGCCCCACCACCCCCTGTGCCCGGTAGGTTGGGGGCTCAGGAGGCTCAGGGTCCCGGGGACCATAGAAGGGGCTGCTGCTTTGGCCAGGTGGGGCAGCATCTGCCATGCTCTTCTCAGGCACACTGGGGGCCGGGTGGAAGGTGCCAGTGCAGCTGCTGCCAAAGGGGAGCTTGTAGACCATGTCACAGCATGCCAGCTGGCTCTCAGGCCTCATCCCGGTAAGGTCCAGGGCACCCGCAGGCTCCTCTGGGAGCAGTGTGGTCACAGTGCCTGCTGTGCCCTCTCCCATCTGCACCACCACTGTGTGTGGCTTCCTGGCACCTGGCAGAGCATGTGACCGCAGCTCTGCAGGGGTGGCCCGGTGGGGCTCGGCACCTGGCTCTGGCACTGGGCCTGGCTTGAGGCCAATGCTCTGGGCGGTGCCCATCTGAGTGATCAAAACGTCTCTTCTGGCCAGAGGAGCTACTTGGTTGGGTAGGTTATATCTGGCAAACTTGGCCTCCCTGGGTCTTCCCCGGGGCCCACTTCGGTATGGGGCTGTCTGGACAGCCTGCTCTACTTGTTTGACCTGGGCCAGGCACACAGGGCTACCCCCACCCTGGCCAAAGTCAAGGCGGCTCTGGTAGGGGTCTCCATAGACCACAGGCTGCTTTTGTTGAGCCATGAACACAGACGAGGCCATGGTGATGCTCACGGTGGTGGCAGTAGCAAGGAAGGTATGCTCCTGGGCATTGAGGTTGATAACCAAGGGCTGCACGGCGGTCGACTGCCGTCCTGGGATTGGATCCAGGGCAAGACCATACTTCCTCGCTTCCACAGCAAGAGAGGTGAGGTCCATGCCCTGGTCAGTGAGGATGATGGGAGTGGGCTTGACAGCTGTACGGAGGTCTACCACTGCAGTGCCAGGGGTCCTGGGGCCTGGCTCAACCCTAGACGTCCCAGGGACAGAGGAGATCCGGCACAGGGAGATGTTCTCAGCAGGGAGGGCACCCCAGCCATATAGTGCCAGGGGCCCATCTGCACCAGCACTGGGCACCCGTGGAAAGCCAGGTGGCCCAGGTGGCTCTGGGGGCAGCTGAGACACACTCGGAGGTGTTGTCTGGCTGTAGCCATGGGTGGTGGGCTGGGTTTCAGTAGGTGAGCAGAGCGGGGAGGTGGAGGCACTGGCATGTACCATCCTGGTCTGGCTGGAGGCGTCAGATGCCAGCGTGATGACCATAAAGGGAGCCTCTTGAGAGGACTCCTGCCACACCAGGCGAGGCGTGCTGGGTCGATGTGGTGTTTGTGTACCCTGGGCTACCATAGGTGATGGAGTGGGGGCACCAGGGCTCCGTGGCATGTCTGAGGCAGGGGCTGGACTTGGCGTCTGTGTAGAGAACTCTGCTGTGGCCCTTGGGCCCATCTTGCCAGGGGAGAATGTGGGACTCTCTGAGGGGGAAGACGGGGAGAGAGGTGGGCTGGAGCTTGCAAAGTAGGAATATGCCCGGGAAGGCTGAGGAGTGCCACCCTCACCGTCACTCGCACTCAAGGGCTTCTCTCTAGCAGCTCGTCCAGCTGCAGCAAGGCCACTGGGGGCCTGGGGTAGATCCTCAGTTTGGGACCCATAGTTTGCAGTGGTTGGGCTGTGTCCATAGCTGTGGGCTGTGGAAGATGGTGAAGGACTACGCTCGGAGCCTGCTGGGGAGGCTGGAGTCATATATCCTCGTGGCAGCCCAGCTGGACAAGGAGCCACAGCTGTGGTGGCTGGGGTCCCAGGGCCCTGGGAAAAGGGCATGCCTATCTCCTTGGAGGCTGAGCTGGGGGAGGCAGGAGAGCTGTGCAGCTTGAGGGGGTCCTGAGTCTCCTTTGCAAAATGCTGAGTGACACGGACATCGGGAATAACTCGGCCCCCGCTGCTGTCTGAGGAGGTGGGGGTAGAGAAGGACACAGGGGCAGCGAGCTGGGTGGGACTGGTACCAGGGGTAAGGGGGCCACCATTTTGCTTCATTGGGTCCATGTATGCACTCTCAGCATTTAGAAACTGCTTCTCCTTCTTTTTGTCCTCAGCAAAAGCCAGGTCTCGTGAGGAGGCCTGCCGCATGCGGACTATGCTCTGTGATGTCTGAAGGATTTCTTCGTACACGGCTGCTCCCAGGCTGGCTGGCGTGCCCTCTGCGGCAGGCTGAGCAGCCTGGCCATACTCACGGTCTGTAGTGTCTTGATATTCGAAGGAGCCCAGGCCCCGGGGGCCTGTGGGCTGAGAGGGGCCGCCATGGGGTCCCCGGGCCCCTGCTGCCTGGCCTTGCTGCCTCTGGAGCAGCTCAGCTTTGCGCATCATCTCCTCATAAGCCTCCTCAGCGCTCTTGAGCGGCCGTCCGGAACTGGGAGTGGTGGAGCTGCCGGAGGGTGTCTCGGTTGGTGAGTAGAGGGACATGAAGGTGGGCAGGTTGTACTCACTGCCTGACTTGTAAAGCCGGCTAGGGCCACCATCCAAGGCCTCAGCCTCAGAGTCAAGGGAGGGTGAGGGTGAGTACTCAGAGCAGGAGGAGCGGTGTAGCTCCTCCATCTCGGCCGCCTGCCTCAGCTCCTCCGTCGGGGAGGCATCCTCGATGGGTGACAAGTTACTGGGTGGTGTCTTGGAGCGCTCTCGCCTCCGCTGGGCCCGCAGTTCTTCCTTGTCCCGCCGGGTCTTGCGGGCCGTGCTGCGGATGCGCTGCTGCTCCACCTCCCGCATCTTCTCTTGCTCACGAAGCAGCTCCTCTTCCTCCCGCAGCTCCTCCTCCTCTGAGGAGTCCTCGATGGTGGGTAGCAGGGGCCCGTGGGAGCGGTGCCGGGCCTTGCGCTGCTGCTTTGCTTCTTCTAGACGCTGCCTGCGGCTGGGGCTGCTGTCACTGTCCTCCTCTAGGGAGGACAGAGAGGTGGGAGAGGTGCCCGAGGTGTAGCTGGGTGTGGAGGCAGGCAATGTAGAGGAGTGCTCACCACGGGAGCGGTCCTCAGGGGAGCCCGTTAGGCTCTCCATCTCCAGCTCAGGCTCCCGGTCCAGACTGGGGTCTGGGCCTTGGCCCAGGTCCAACTCATGACCATAACTTCCCGTGCTGTTGAGCTCAATGGTCTTGAAGCGACGGAGCCCACCCTGCAGGGTCCCACTGCCATCGGTAGCCTCTGCTGAGCCTCCCTCAGGGAGCAGCTCCTCATAGCCCGTGGTGGCATTGTGGGGCAGGCGCCTCTTGGGCAGTGCTGCTGGTTCTTGGCTAGGCTCAGGCCTGGGTCTGGGGCCACCTTTCTGGGTGCCATGTTTGGCCAGGCCACGCCCGGAGGTGGCAGTGTCATCCTCCTCCAGGTTGTCTTCCTCGGCGCTCATCTCGAGAATCTGCCGTCGCATGAAATCCTCATCAGTCAGTTCTGCTGCCCGGGCTGGGGGCTGGGGTGGAAGAGGGGACAGGCCACCCTCACTGCTGTCCTCCACATAGTCGTGCCTCAATTGGCTGCCAAAGTCGTCTGAGGACTCGGCAGTGTCCTGCTGCTCTCTCCGGCGCCTCCACTCAGCAGAGTCTTCGTCTTCCTCCAGGATATCCTCCAGCTCCTCATCAGAGTCAAAGGCCTCAGGCGTGATGGACAAGGAGTGGGGCCGCTGCTTCTGCTCCTCGCCAGTACCGCTGGAGAGTGGCTTGCTCCGCTCACTTGGGGCCAGGCCCTGGGCCTGCAGCAAAGGCCGCATGCTGCTCCCCACCTTGTGGATCTCGGAGGGGCTGGGTGGATGTGGCCCTGTCACCCCTGCACTGTCCAGCTGTTCCACCTCCTGCTGCACGACTCCTGTGATCTCACTCTGGGAGCTAGAGATGCCGTCAGAGGAATAGCCTGTGTCACTGAGGCTCTGTGGGCTCCGAGACGCATCCTGAGAGTAAGGCTTGCCCACCAGGTCCTGCAGCAGGGTGAAAAGCAGACACTGACTCCCCATGGCAAAGCTCGTGGTGGGAACCCAATCCTCCCTGTCAATCCCAGGACCCTGGGGAAGAGTCTGTCCATTTCCCAAGGGTTTAGGGCCCGCCACCCACCCTATCTCCTTCTGGCCTTGAATAACCTGAAGGTTCCATGGCAAGCCCAAACCAGCCCTTGGTCTTCAAAGAGAAACTTTACTAGATCAAAGGGTATCAAAACCCAGCAAAGCATCTGACAAGGTGCCAGACACAGCACCAGTGTAAAACCCACAGTCTCCAAGCGTGCCAGAACCTCATCTAGACTTTCCTTCTACTGTGTCCCTTCCCTCCTGTGTGGCCCCAAGGCACCTGTCCTGAGCCTACAGCCTCAGCCACCCAGGGAGGCAAGCCTTTCCATAGACTGTCCTGTCTGAAAGCTAGGGTCTCTGGGAAGTGAATGGGACTGACCTCCGCCTCCCCACCCTTGGGGGCTTCTGGAACAGCCTTGACGACAGGGGTGGCAGGTTCAGCCCTCCTCACCCCACTCTTTACTTTAGGAGTCGCAGGGGTTGGGGTAGTCTCTGGAGGTGGCTTCGGCATGGGCTCAGCTTTAGTGGGGACTCGGGTCTTCTTTTCCTGGACACTGCTTGGGGTCTTGCTGGGTTCAGAAGCCCTGAGGGGCTTGGCCTGGGGGCTGGCCTTGCTGGGCAGAGGGCTGGCCTTGGTGGATAGAGGGCTGGCCTTGGCAGGCAGGGGGCCTGAAGGCTGGCCCAGCCCCTGTGGCCCTTTCTGCTTCAGAGGGGATGTTCCAGATGCACGGTGAGGGGCCCCTACAGGGGGCTGCTGTGAGGTGGGCGGCGGCAGGGGGGTCGGCTCTCCTAGGCTGCCCTCCAGTAGCCGCTTGGTTTGGCAGTTCAGACAGAGCCACTCTGTTTTCTGCAAGGAAATGGGAGAGGGGGTTGATGAAAATTAAAAAGACACT
Organism: Homo sapiens; assembly: GCF_000001405.40. Lineage (NCBI taxonomy): Eukaryota > Metazoa > Chordata > Mammalia > Primates > Hominidae > Homo > Homo sapiens. Next base: position 49,650,565 of record NC_000003.12, on the reverse strand, counting down.
GAAGTCCTCAAATAATATTTCCATAACTATTTCTGTAACCTTAGGGAGGAGAGAACTTTCAAAGCATAACACCAAAGACATAAGGAGAAAAAGACTGACCAATTTACTGCCCCCAAATAACAAATTCCCCTACCTTTAAGATGAACACACACAAAGTCAGAATGCAAGTAACAACCCCAAAGAAGAGTACTTTCCTTAACCCACAGAGAACTTTTCACCAGGCCAGAAAAGGGGGAGAACTGTGGGGGATGGGAGGGCCTAGCCCTAAGCACAGGGGAAGCTGAGGTCTCAATCTGAGGGAGCAAACGGCTCCTAGTGGGCTGGTATGGAGTCCAGCAGTTGAGAACCCTTGTGGAAGAGGAGTGGCATCCAAGCATGGAGCACTTCCTGGAGGCACTATGCTTCCCCTGCCTCCCAGCTCTCAGGTCTGACTCCATCCTTCCCCACACTCTTTCCCAGGTAAGGGCTATGCTAGATAGGGTGCAGACTCCTGGGGCCAGGGGAGGCTGTCTGGGAGTAACCCTGCTTGGTGGAGGACAGAGGGGCTGAGCAGTCCTCCCTGCTCAAATCCCCAGCCCAAGTCACCTTGTCTAAGGCCAGCAGAGACCCTCAGGTAGAGGCCTCCTCCTGCCCCCAGGGCTCTGGACTGTTCCTCTGATGGGGACTATGTGTGGTGGCCCTTGTGTCAGGGGCCCTGCTCCTTCCAGAGCTGGACTGGGATCAAATTCTCAACCATCAGTCCACCACTCTCAGGATCCTCTACTGTTTCAGGCCCAGTGCTGGGGGCTGAAGACAGCCATGACTCAGCAGACAGACAGGCACTGGCATGCAGCCTTTCTGGAGCCCACAACCCCAAACAGGTCATTTACAAGTATGACACAGGTATCAATGGTGAAGCCCCCAGAACACAAGAAGCGAAGTCCATGTCTCCCAGCCCCAGCTGCTTTGTACAGGCATAGGGTTTGGGCATCTCTGAGGCCTAAATGGGTGATTCCTGCAGCAGGTCTGAGGCTGACAGGGGCATGTCTCCCAGTAGCCTCCTCCAGAGTCAGGGCTCCTCCTTGGCAGGATTTGAAGTCCTTCTCTGGCCCACATGGGATGGAGAATGAGAGTTACAGTGGAGCCCAGAGCAGGGTCCCACAGACACCTGTGCCTGTTCTTACTCTGTGGCGCAGAGCCTTAGTGCTCCATCCGTCCTGCAGGGAACTCACTCATCCCAGGTGCCTGGACATACAGGCTCCCACCAGCAACTCTGCCACCGAGGTGGACCATAAGAACCACAAGGTCACAGAGCCAGAGGACTGGAAAAGGAGGTGACCTTTGGCCCTTGCCACCCCCAGGAAGGCTGACAACCTCAGTACCCTCACTTCACATGCTGCCTCTGGCAGCCTTGGAAGCCTGGTACCCCCAGGGTGCCTGCCCTTAGCCTGGCATCCTAGGGCCACCATGGCAGATAACATGTCAATGATTCTGCCCTGGTTTGCTGTCCACAGAGAGCTACACTCCACTTCTCTGCTCTGGGCTTCAGCAGAGGCTAGGCTGGGCAGGTGGCAGGGCCTTGGTGTGTGTTGAGGGACAGGCCTGCTCCCCAGGCTGGTTACTCAGGGTCGAGACTGCTTCTCTCCCACTGGAGCTTCTGCTCTTCCCCGAGGCCCAACCTCATGCACAAGTCCCAGGCAGAGGAATGGGGCAGTGGCCCAGCTGTGGAGGGGGACCCTTTAGATGCCCTACATACATATACTCACTCTGTTCTCTGCACAGCCCAGCCCTAACACCACTACTGACTCCCTTGAACCTTATCTGATGCTCAATGTGTCTCCACACAAAACCCCACAAGGCAGTAAGTGCTGGCCACTGGCCAGGCCCTGGGCTCACTTGGCCTGGCAGGGTGCACCCCCAGAGGTGCCTGGGGAAAATACAGATAGGTTGAGACCGAGCCCCAGATGAACAGGACATGGGAGAGCACAGAGCCTGATCCAGGAACCCTAGCTCACATGCCCCCAGCATCACCTGTGTACACAATGGAAATTCCCCCATGTCAGAAAGGACTGTGAGATGGCAAAATGACCCTGGAGAGATGGCAGGGCTATAGGCAGAGATCAAGAGAGAGAGCTCTGGAAATGATCAAACAGCCCCTTCCCCAGCCCTATGGTCAGCATGATGGGTTTAGGATCTAGGCCCAGTGGGCTGGCCCAAGGCAATGCTGCCCTAACTCCACTTTGGAGCCCTGTGCACACCCATCCCATGTTAGGCCTCTCAAAGTTTGGATATCTGCCCTGGCCCACCTTGGTGGCCTGGCAAACTCCTAACCCCATCTCTGGCCTGCGAACCCCACACAGAAGCAACAGTCTAAATGAAGCAAGTCACCTTGGAAGGGTAGTCTGGATGGAGGAAGCAGACCTAATGTTAAGTGCTCTGACCAAATGCTGGAGAGGCCAGCTTGCCTGAGCCCAGAGGCCCAGCTCTCAGCAGAGATGTTACCTGTGGTCACATGCTCCCTGGTGCTTTGCTCCTTCACACATTTATTCATGGAGACAGCCAGGTTGCAGGTTGCCTGGCAGGCCCTCTTGCTCCTGGCTCTGCTATAGTAGGCAGTGAGGAAGGGAGAGCAGGCAGGAAGAGGCGTGTGAAGTAAGGGCTAAAAATAAACATTGACCTGGCTGCTGGAGGCCCTTCACAAGCCCTCTGGGAGTGGGGAAGAAGGGTACAGGGCACTGGGGCTGGTAGGAGTAGAGCCAGGGGAGACCTGGCCCAGGCCCAAGTCTTCTGGGGAATGAGAATCGGGTGGAAGGCAGGCCATGTAGAATCTCTGTGCCTGGGGGCTGGGACAGCTGGGGTCCCAATTCCTTTATTCATTCTATTCTCATTTTCTCCAACCCCAACATACCCCTACCTCCATCCCAATCATTCATTCCCTTATTCTTCCGCTCGTTTCCATTCCGCAATTTCAGTGTTCATTCCTCATTCAGCCATCCATTCATTGCACAGCCCTCTCGTACTCTGCCTCACTCAGCCCATGCCAGCTCCAGTCCTTGGGAAAGTGCTGCCTGCTTACCCCTTCGCCTGGCCTCTTTGACAAAAGGGCAGGGGATGGATAATGGGGTGGCTCTGATGACTACTTCTGCCTCATTCCCTCTGTCCAGTTCCTTTCTAGGGCAGGAAGATACAAATTCCCCAAGGACAATCATCAACTAACAGTGGGAGAGGCAGGTGTGTATGCCATCAGATGGCACTCAGTGGTTCAGGGCATCACTATTTAGGGTAAAGAAGGGGAAACGGGATGACTGAGTTAGTGGGGTGCCCTCTAGGCACGTGAGAGCTGCTGCCTTCTGGGACCACTGGCCATTGTGCCTTGTGAGCCAGGACAGATCCTGCACTGTCTGCCATCATCTGAATGAACCTACATTCCACGTAATCTCTTCATGTGTGGAGCTGGCCTGCATGCCAGTATGGTTATGGTGACACCGTTCCAGTCAATGCCCTATGGCCAGCTGCCTGGCCCTAAACACCCTCAGCCCTGCTGCCAGACCAGGGGGCTGTGAATGAGAACTCCAGAGAAAAGGATGCCCAGGGGTCATCTTGGAGGACACTGGACCACAGGGATGGCCATCACTGGTGCTGCTATTCCTCTCCTGACTCTGCGACCCTGAGCCTCCCTGTTGCTGGACATGCCTAAGCTCCTTCTTTCTGGGCCTCTTCCTCCCATAAAATAAACCCACCATGGTGTCCCCAGTGTGTATCCTTGTAGCTGGGCTGTAACCCCCTCACCCCCCAGCACCAAATGTGTTTGTTCCCTGTGGGGCATCCCTCATACCAAAAGCTTACACCAGCCACAGGGTCCATCCACACCCAGATAGGGGCTCATGGGGACGCTTCCTTTCTCACACAGAGACCCTCTTTTAGGATACTCCTGTTCCAAAATCCTGGCTTAAGGGCTGACTGTGTCAGGCCTTGCATAAGCATCTGAGGTACAGCATCTCACCTGGTTCTCACGGAAACCTAAAAGGGAGTATTGTGGTCCCTATTCTACATGGGAGGCAACAGGACCTCTGGCCTGATGCCCCTGCTGCAACCCCTACCCCAATGAGCAAGCCCAGCCCCATGTATCACAGGTGCAAGGGACTTTGCCCAGGGAGGCCCGACTTCTCAAGGGCACAGCTGGAATTTTGGCAATGATGATATAATAAGAGACTGGTAATGTTACTGTCACAATTCCAATTCAACTAATTTCTTCACAAACTCTATTTTGAACTGAACGTCAATTAAAAATTAAGCCAGAGAGTACTATTATCCTTCCAAAAGACAAATAGGTAAAAAAAACTGGAATCAACAACTCTTAATTATGAAATGACTCACTAAATAGCACTATGGTTATTTTTTTTCAGAGGAAAGTTCAAAAGGAAAAAGGATCCAATTCTACTCTCTCCTCTATTGTGTGCTCTGAACTCCCAATCTAGAAAGAAGAAAGATTTCTACAGCTCAGAAATGTTCAGGAAAATTTCCAACCTATGGGGAAAATTCCCAACCCACTGGCCCAGATGGTTGACTGTGGCCTCAGGTGGAGTCCCAGGAGGTCTAACAGGGCTGTGGGAGCTATGAGGGGGGCTCCACGGGTCTGTCCCTTCTTTGTGCACAAAGACACAGCACAGTCGTTCTTAAGCAGGCAAGGTCCAGAGAGAGACAGCCATGGCAGACCCACCCTTAGGACCTGGAGAAGGACCTGCTGGCCTTACCACCACACTCCCAAGGCAGGGTAAGTGTCTCTGGCAAGTGCTGAGAAATCAGAAACCTCTAACCAAGAACACACCAAGTAGGTCACAGAGAAGCACAAAATTGCTCAGGATGCCAAGTGGCCATTGACTGAGGTGAGATCCAAGACAGACCACAGCCTGGTTAGGGGCCTCAGTGAAGAAAAGCAATGCTGAAGGGATGGTGAACATATCAGCACCAGCCCCTTGCAAGACCCAAGGCAGGTGAAGCTGCACAGAGGTTTTGGTCATTGTGTGGGTAAGGGAGGATAAGGACGGAAGGACTAAGGCTGTGAGCATGGGTGGGAGAGAGGCCAGATTCTTGTGACAGTGGGGAGGCAGAGCTGGCAGGGCTTGGTCCATGGAGCAGGTGCAGAGGTTAAAGAGGAGGAGGTGAGGATGACCCCGGGCTGCTGGCTTGCATCTCTGGTGGTGGATGGTGGTACAGTCTCTATGGTGGGAATCATGGGAGAGGCATTATGGCCGCCTATCCACACCTTCCCTAGAATAGCTGCAGGCCCTCTGGGGACAGCAGCATTGATAGGGAGAGCTATGAGAAAGGAGTTAGAGAGACTTCATCACCCCTGACTGCTGTCAGGAGCAGCCTGAGCTGGGGATGAGGTAGGACCAGGACTAGGACCAGGACATCCCCCAGCTTTCTTTCAGGCCCATGGGACCCATCAGACCCTATGGAGATGAGAGTGGTCCTGGCTAAGGAGGGGGCAGTGGGGCAGGACATGGAGACAGCAGGAAATTGAGAGAGGTGTGATGGGGGGAACACCGGCCATCAAGAGACAGAAGCTCCAGGGTCCAGGATAGCCAGAACCAAGCAGCTAATGAGAGGCCTAGGCCAGAATCCAGACGTTTCATCTAGTCAGCGTGTGAACGAAACTCTTCTGTTTGGGCAGAATCAGCACTTCCCGTGGCCTGGCCCAGGGACGGCCAAGAGGAACTGTCAGGAACATTTATGCTCCTGGACAGAGACAGTTTTCCCCTCCCATTCGTGCACATTCTGCTTAATAAGGAAATGTGGGCTGGGAGGTCTCTTGGGGACAGGAGTCCTCCAGGCCAGGCCAACTCAGAAGTCCACTGGGGCTCACAGTCGCTCAGTGTCAGTGTGCCCCACCTGACCAGCAGTGAGCTTGTGCCTGGAGGTCTCTGGGCAGAGCAGCCAGCTAGGGTTCTCCTAGTCTTGTGGTGACACCCTGGTGCACCCCTTTCCCCGAGCCAGTGAGGCAAACTGTCGCCAGTGAGCCACCAGATCTAGAGCTTGGAGAGTTGGCTTCGTGGTGCCTAGAAGACCAGATGGGTGCCACATGAGGAGGTCAGTTGTCTTGCTCAGGGCTGCCCTTCCCTGCATATTGGAAAGTGTGGCCTTTGGTGGCCAAAGTAGTCTTCCTAGTCATGCTGGGGTCCCACGGGGACTCCTGTGGAGTCCTGGCCCAAGGGAAGTCAGAACAAGGTGCCACAGAGGCCATGGCAACATCATGCTCTCCTCTCTTGTCCCATCCTGGGCCAGTGGTGGTTTGCACTCCGCACACCCCTGTGCCACCATCAGCTACAAATGGCTCAGCCCAAGAGACCAGAGGGCTCAGGTGGCTCCCCATGTGCAAGAGGCAGGGCCTTGGCTCGAACATCTCCTAACGTGACACAGCTGGGAAACACATTCATCTATCAAGACTGAGGGCACTCTAAGGAGACACACCAAGCTACGCCCAAGGCAGCATGGTAAGGGTCACATGGGTGACCCTGGGCCAGGGAGAGTGGGCCACAGGACTGAGGGAGGAGCAGAAGCAGCATCTGCTCCTGGCCCAGGCTGGTCTAATTCTGCCAGGGCACCTTCACCTTCTGAGCCTCTTGGGCTGGACTCCAGGCTTCGAGGGAACACTGAACCTTACACTGGGCCTCCTGCTCCCTCCTGCCTAGCACTGCACAGTGCTCAGTGCCCTTCCCTGGAGCAGGGGCTGCGGAGAGAATGGCCACAACCCCAGGTCTGTCTCAAACCTTCCTGTGGGAAAGAGAAGCATCTCTGAGCATCCCCAGTAGCAGCTCTAAGGAGAGCCCAGCCCCAGCCTGGGTAAAACATGTGGACCAAAGGCTGTGACTTTGACAAGTAGACGTCAACACTTATGACCTCAGAAGAGACAATCAAGGTTGAATACCACCTTGCTGGGCTGGAGCCTGGACAGTGGGACATGCCCTGCCCCATTGTGAGAAAGCCTCCCACCCCACCCTGGATGTGGGACGCAACCCTCTGCATCATGGCCATTCGATCCCCACCCCTCTGAAGGTCACAGGTCCATGGCAGTGTGGGACCTCAGGTTCTCCTATCTGAGCAGGGGAGGTTGGTGTCTTTCATCAGGGCCATGCCCATGGTAGCTGGAAATGGGGAGGCCAGCTCAGGGACTCTGGGATCAGCCTTAGGGCACTAGTCTGAGTCAGTAGGCACCATTACCCCCAACTCTGAGTGAAAGTTAGTTCTGAGTAGAACTGGGGCCTGAGGTAGGGACAGGAAAGGGAATGCAGCCCCTCTGCAGCATTAGTTGTACAGGAGCAGCCCCATGGCTGCTGCAGACCCAGAACTCTTTCTGGTTCCCATGACACTCACTACCCAGGCCCGGCCTCTCATCAAGGTTCAAGGGAGCATGCTTGGTCCAGCTCTTACCTCCACCAGGTGGGGTGTTGGGTTGAAGCCACACAGGTTGCACACCTGGAGCCTGCAGGTGGTGCATGTGTTATAGTTGGCTGGGCTCTTGCTGCCCACGTTGAGCTCGGCTTGGCACAGTGGGCAGATGGCCCTTTCCTTCGGCATGGTCTTTGGCTTGGCAGCAGCCTTCGATGCTGCCTGATGTTCTGCTCTGCCATGCTTTGGACTGGTTGTTCCCCCAGTTTTCGGCAGGGCTCCAGGTCCAGATCCAGGACCCATTCTAGCCCCAGGCTCAGTTTTGGCTCCAGGTGCTGGCCCAGGCCCGGGCCCTGAGCCCAAGGGTTTTGGGCCAGCCTCCTTGCTGGCATCATTGAAGACGATCTTAGGTGTCCCCTTGCTGGGGGCAGGCTGGCCCTGGGTGTCAGCCTCGGGCTGCACAGACATGAGGGTGCTCGCCTGGGTTAGCAGTGACGCGCCAAGGCCGAAGAGCTTACCAGTGAGGCCCTCCTGGGTCTGCTCAGTGGCACCAAGCCCAGCGGGCACTGCGGTGGCACTTTTGGCCGGGGCCTCTCCTGCAGGTGGCCTGGGCTCAGCTGTGGAAGGCTTGGTGGGTTGAGGGGGCTGAGGAGACACCCTCCCCACCTCTGGAGGGGCAGCTGCTTGGGCAGGCCCCGGCACTGAGGTGGCCCTGGCTGTCTCAGCCTGGCGGGACCCAGGCTGTGGTCCTCCTGGGCCCCGAGATCTCTCTTGGTCTGGCTTCCCCAGGGGCTGTTTGGCCGGGGAGTGGGCAGGAGACAGGGCTGGGGAGTGCAGCTGCTGCTGGCTCTTGGAGCGAGGTGCAGTGGTCATGTCCATTCCCAGAGCCCTCTGCATCTGACAGTTCAGACAGAGCCACTCCTTCACCTGAGGAGAAAAGCAAAATAGTCAGCAGGGTGGCCAGGATTGGCAGTACTCATGGCCCAGGTCAGTGCAGGCCCCACAGCAGCCAAGGCCACTCCTAGCACAGGCAGGAGCACCAAGCCCTGCTCAGGCATTTCTGGGCTGCCAGGTGGCAGGGCTGAAGGACAGATGGCACTCCCCTGCCCTCTAGGAGTTGCCAGGCATGTGAGGCAGTGGAGGCAGTCCCATCCCCCACCCCACCCCAACCACCAACTCACTGCCTGCCAGACCCTCCTGCTTGAGAGTCCTCCCCGCCACCCCCTGGCAGTGCCTCAGATCTGTGCACCCCAACCTCCCGCTCGGATGAACCCAGTAGCCTTCCCCTGCTTCCCACTTCAGGCCATTTGCACATAGCAGCCAGACTGATCTTTTAAAACCTAACCCAAGAGGAAAGGCATGGCCCTAGAGCAGTGCTTATATGCAATGGGTATTCAGTAAAAACTCACATAATGAATAAATAAGTGAAGAGTAATACGTGGGAGAAGGAGGCATAGAGAATAAAAAGAAACCATGATTCCTATCCTGAAGAAGCTTAGAGTCTAGCTGAAGAAACAAGATACTACAGAATGAAAAATCTTGAGAACAAAATAAGCGAGGGTAAAGTAATGCAATGTAAGTGACTGATGTTAAGTAGAATTTTTTAAAGCCTTTTTTTTTCCCTTAAGGAAGATAGCTTTTTAAAGAAGTGGGATAATTCATGCCTCCAGAGCAAACGAGACATGTGCCGCTATCCATGTGATAAACACATAGTTTCCCTCTGCCATTAGCCCTGTGCAGGGATGGGCACGTGACCTGGCAAACAGAGTCGGTTAGAGCCCTCCACGTTATCTGGTAATGAACAACAGGAGAGAGGGTCTTTATTCGTTTTCCTTTGGATTACTAATCAGAAGGATGTAGCTTTGCAGCAGCAGTAGTCTTCTTTCCCAACATACAGAGAGATGCTAAGAATGATGTCCATAGATGGTAGGAGTCAACGAAAGGAGAAAGGAGTAGATCTGATGACTTCATTCCATTCCCTGGATCTGGCTATGCCCCAAGTCTACCCTTGGACTTCCAGTTACATGACCCAATAATTTTTCTCCAAAAACCCACATGTAAATCAGAGCATCTCACCAATAGGATCAAACACTCTAAGTGGATTTCCACCACACCTTGGGAACTCTTCAGCACAACTCTGTGACCCAACCCAGCCCCACCCCAGCCTCCCCCTCTCTCTGGTCTCTTTTCCTGCCATCTCCCCTTGGCTGTTTCACTGCAGACACTCTAGGCTGTCTGCTCTGCCAAGTGGTCCCCTGAGCTCATTTCTGTACCAGGGCCTTTGTACTCCTTATTCCCTCTGCCCCCTGGCCCAGCTTGTTGTACAGATTTCAGATGAGGTAACACTTTCCCACCAGGACCTCCTCTGGCCACACAATCTAAAATGCTCTCCTTTGGCCAGGTGCGGTGGCTCACACCTGTAATCCAGGCACTTTGGGAGGCAGAGGCAGGAGGATCATTTGAGGTCAGGAGTTCGAGACCTGCCTGACCAACATGGTGAAACCCCATCTCTACTGAAAATAGTAAGAATTGGCCAGGTGTGGTGGCGAACGCCTGTAATCTCAGCTACTTGGGAGGCTGAGGCAGGAGAATTGCTTGAACCCAGGAGGCGGAGGTTGCAGTAAGCCAAGACTGTGCCGCTGCACTCCAGCCTGGGCAACAGAGTGAGACTCCATCTCAAAATAATTAAATAAATAAATAAAAATAAAACACCCTCCGGGTACTCTGTGTCAAATCACCCAGCTTATTTTCTCCATAGTGCTTATTCTTTCCCAAAGTGTCTACTGATTTGTTGTTTACAAGGTGTCTTCTGTGCCCCAAAGCAGCCCATGAGCTCTCGTTGATAGGGTGTTCTCAGGGCTGCACACAACATGTGGTACAGAGCAGGGCTCATCCCAGAGGGGCTTGCTTCATTCATCCTGGCAATTTGGTCATGCAGGTCATAGCTCAACAAGGTGGAAGCCCCGAGATTTGGTGCCTCAATGAAGAGTCTCCTCCTCATCAACCAGAGCTGAGGCTGGAGGCCAAGGTTGTTCTCTGTCTGTGGTTGCAGCCAGAGGTTCTAAATGCACCCTATTGGCCACCCAGTCATCACCAGGGGAAGGTGCCGTCTCATCTCTGGGGCAGAAGGCCCCTTTTATTTACCCACACGTGGCTCCAGCCCTGCTCTCTGCCTTGAGGCCCCAGGGCTACTGCTACAGGTTGACTTGCCAGTTGGGGGACCTGGGCTCAGGTGCCTTATCCCAGCAACCCAAGGGCAGCAGCCAAGAAGAGGGAGAACACTGCACTTTGGCAAGCACCCCCTTGTGCCAAGCACCACATAGGGCATGTTCACAGGCATTCTCTCATTTTGTCCTCACAGGAGAGAAAACCAAGATCTGAGATGTTTTAGCAATGTGTTCTCAATGGTTCCCTGGCTAGGAAGTGTTGCTGCTGGCAAGATCAGCCCTGACAGCTCTGCGTAGCTCCTAAACCACAGCCTGGACAGCCTGGAGCCTGGTGCCTTCTGTAGTCCTGCCTCTTCCAAAGGCCAAGTCAGGCTCTAGAAGTCAGCACTGCAAACCCTGGCAGAGCCCCCCAAAGGCCAATCCCAGTTCTAGAAACTCTAAGAACAGTGATGCCGAGGCAGTGAGGTGAGAAGCCATCCCACTAGCTGGGAACAATTAACCCACCCAAATGCTTTTTAAGAAGCAAGGCAGGCCGTGCACCGTGGCTCACGCCTGTAATCCCAGCACTTTGAGAGGCAGAGGCGGGCGGATCATGAGGTCAGGAGATCGAGACCATCCTGGCTAACATGGTGAAACCCCGTCTCTACTAAAAATAGAAAAAATTAGCCGGGTGTGGTGGCACATGCCTGTAGTCCCAGCTACTTGGGAGGCTGAGACAGGAGAATCGCTTGAACCTGGGAGGCAGAGGTTGTAGTGAGCCGAGATCATGCCACTGCACTCCAGCCTGGGCAACAGAGCGAGACTCTGTCTCAAAAAAAAAAAAAAAAAGAAAAAGAAAGAAAGAAGCAAGGCAGCTTTGTCTATGTTTGGGTAGAGAAAGCCAGAGAGAAAACAATTTCAGTCCCTGAACCCAGTCTAAAGACCTCTTTAGAAAGGTCATTCTTGGGAGGGAGGGGCTTATTCCCATCAAAGTGAGAGTTCCCCAGAGCAGGCCATTTCTACTCATCCAGAGAGGGACCCTGGAAGGGGATTACTCCTCAGAGGGGAAGCTCAGCCTCTGGCCCAGGGTGGCAGCCACAAATTCAGTTCTTCCCGTGGGTGCCCAGCCCACACCCAACGTCCCATCTCTCTCATTCACCTGGGCACTGCAGCATGCCCTGAGGTGAGACTTCTTCCTGGGAAAGGGAATTTAGGAGGTAAGGCTTCTTATCCTGCAACTTTGGGGTGACTGTCCCTGGGGTTCTGAATCAGGCTGAACAAAGGCACGTGCCAAACCGCCTGCACTCACCGCCAGAACTTTCCTTTCCCCAGCCCCTGTCATCCAGGCTGTGGCACAGGCATCTCACCTAAAATAGAACTTCTCCAAGAAAAGGCTGAAACGCCCCTCAGTGACTCATCGCCCAGATGGGTGCAGCTATTTCTATCCAGCCTCTTCCAGACGGTAAGGAACCTTGACCGCACCCTCCCCACAGCCCCTCCCAGGCTCAGGCCCAGCATGCAAGGCCTCCTAAGGAGGACACTGGCTGAGGGAGCTCTCTGAGGCCAGCAATACATCCCCCTCTCTGCCTCCCCGACAGATCCCCAGCAGTTTCCTGGGAGGAGCCCAACCTCAGTCTCTTCCTCCATACTGCAAGGCCCCTATCCCCACACTCAGGGGGATGGAGGCTGTCCACGGGGTAGGGAGAGAGATGATGGCTGTGCACCCCAACCCACCCGCCCACCCAGCCTGGGTATACATGAATAGTTCTGTGGCAGACTCCACTGGCCTGAGTGCCAGTACAGTTAGAGCCTTCCTTAGCTGCACACAGTGATGCCTCCTCATCAAGAGGTTGAACCCAGAAGGCTCCCTGTGGCTCCTAGGCCCTCTCCAAGCTGGCTCTCCATCAGAATCAGAGGGACTATCCTTTTACCAGTGTGACAAGAAGCCTCAGCTAGGGTTCTGCTGTCTAATACCTCCAAGATCCTGATCTGGCACATGGGCAGGAGATGTGCAGGCTACCAGCCACGAGCCTCGTGTCTCAGGAGCCTTCCTGGGGCTACCCTAAGGTGGACAGCTCTGTCAGACATTAGCTTTGAATGAGCTGACTCTTCTTGCTAGCAAGGAAGCCCATCTTGCCATCTCCAAGGACTGGTAGGGACCTCCATGGAAGCCCGTGCACCCCGACCCAGTGGGGGCCTAAGTGGCAGTAAGGATGGGAAGGCTCAGTGCAGTACAAGGTCAAGAGGTGGTTTAAGAGGTGGGGGAAGCAGAAGCTGCAGGAAGCCTTCCTACAGGCTTTGCAGGGAGCCACTGCCACCTGTCTGCTAGGGACTTGGAAACATAGGACCCTGTGGGCTCTGTAGCTCTGAGAGGACTTTCTCCCTGAGAAGAGTCTTTTTTAGCTGCTTCCTTACTCAAACTATTCAGTGTGCAGAAGGGCAGCTAAGGTGGCACTGGCCAAGGATCCAGAGGCTTGGGGCCCAAGCTGGAGGCTGTATGAACTCTAAGTTGAATGAGCAGCTGTGATCTGTCTGCAATGGTCACTCCCTGGTAATTCCTCCACTGGGCTCTGGAGCAAGGAGGGCAGTTCTGGGAAGAGCTTCTACATCTTCCCTGCAGGAACACTGGCTGCACAGAGTGTCTCAGCCCTCAAGGGTGGGACTCAGCCTTGCTTGCCATATCTGGCCCCAAAGGATGCTCACAGGGTGGAGTCTACCTCACGGTCACCTCCATGGCTGTCAGGAAGCTCTGAGAGCCCCCCGAAGTCACATGTTCTCTTCCCACTCGCCTCCTCTCACCCCCCCAGCAGCAAGGAAAAGGAAGGTTGCAGACGTCACTCAGCCTTCTTCCTGTGGAGAGCCCCAGCCCTACCAGGGAGAGCAGGCATTCAGTGTTTCAGATCACTCAGCACTGACATCACGCCTGATGCCGCATTTATGCTTTCCATTTTGGTACAAGTTGAAACATCACAGAAACAGCTCATAAAGGAGCCCTCCCTGCAGGTGCCAAATCTAGAGGTTCCTGGGAGGGCCCCACTGGCCAGTGTGACTATATGCCTTTCTGGGCTATGAGTCACTGGCCAGGTCTCATCAGGAGGAACATACCTTCCCATGCCCCCTGGACAACAAGGACAGGCCGATGTGCAGAAGGGCAGCTAAGGTGGCAGCTGAGAGGGAGGGAGTCAGGCCTAGCCTGGATACTCACCCTGGTACAGCAATAGACATGTTGCCTGCCCCATCTAGCACCTTACTGTCAGCTAGCTGACCTCAGGCTTAGGAAGCAGGTACCACAGGGTCCCAGTGGGCAGGGTCACACTGATCCAGAGCTGGACCAGCCAGGGGAGGCCTGTGCCAATCTATCAGAGCCCTGAGGAAGGTCTTGGGAACCTGCCCAACATCTGAGGTCAGGATCTGGGGAGTGGAGGCTGAACCTAATCGCACCTGGGGCTAGAAGACCTCACTGGCTTGGATCTCCACGAAAGGGAGAGGATCCGTCCCCTTGCTGATCCCTGGACACATCTGTCTCTCTGCCCTCAATATCTCTTAACTCCTCCCACACTGCTCTGGACAGCCCCCCTCCCGACCCAGGATGATCTGGTGTACCCTGTAACACACCCCATCCATGACTGGCCAACTCCCCTGCACCCTCCCCATACACACTCCTCTTAGTCACCAGTAACCCTCTCCAGGAGAGGCTGGACCCTTGGACTAGCCTCAACTTCTCCTTAAAATCCCCAGGACCCTTTGGTTCATGCCCAGCTTCCCCTCCTGGCTTCTGCTGCCCTCCCTCCAGGCCCCTTTATCCTGGCCTGCAAGTCCTTGGCCCTCGCCTCTTAAACTCCTGCTAAATGACTTCCATGGTCACTCCAGATGACCTGCAACCCACATGGGGCTGAGCTGCAGACCACTTCTCAAAGCTCACCGACTGGAATAATTAATTGCTGTACATTGCATTATATGTAAATTTTAGCTAAAAAAGAGAAACCTTAAATAAATACTGAACTCTAGTTAATGATACGCTTGAAGTGCTTAGTGGGAAGTATACTGATATCAGCGATGTACTTTTTTTTTTTTTTTGGAGGGGGACAGGGTCTGGTTCTGAAGTGCAGTGCCATGATCATGGCTCTCTGCAACCTCCACCTCCCAGACTCAAGTGATCCTCCCACCTCAGCCTCCCGAGTAGATGGGACTACAGGCATGGCGCCACCACACCCAGCTAATTTTTGTATTTTTTTTGGTAGAGACAGGGTTTTGCCATGTTACTCAGGCTGCTCCTGAATCCCTGGGCTCAAGCAATCCTCCCACCTTCGCCTCTCAAAGTGCTGGTATTACAGGTGTGAGCCACCATGCCTGGCCCACTGCAATGTACTTTGACATTCAACAAAAAGATGGATGGATAGATGGACAGACAGAAGAACAAATAGATGGTAGAATGGATACGTGATAAAGCCAGGAGAGGAGGGGTTCATTATAAATCCAGATAGTGGCTTTGTGGGTGTTCCTTGTACAATTCTTTCAACAATTTTGTAGGCTTGAAAATATTCATAACTTGAGGTTGGGGGTAAAAATGACTTGTCAACCTGGTTGTTCTGTTTTGCTCCACCCAGCAAGGCATCAAGAGCTCCTGTGATGGGCTCTTGGCAGTTGACTCCCCACTACTGCTCAGATATTCTCCCCTCCTGGATCCCTTGGCCCTCCACTTGCTGGCCTTTCTACTCTTCTTTGCTTATCCTTGCCAGCCACCTTTGCTGGGTTCTTCTCAGTGCTGGGGAGCCCAGATCCTGACACCTCTTCTCTCTGTCCACATCTCTCCTATGGCACTTTAAATGTCACTATATGCTTGTGAATATGAAACAAAAGTCTCCATCCCAACCTGCCTGTTTCATGCCAGGGTCTTAGATTTGTCAGGCACCTTCAACTTGGCAATGGCCCAAACAGAAAAATTCTCTATCTCCATCTCCTACCCTCCACATCCAATCCAATTCTGTCTGTTTAGCCACCCAAACACACCAGGAATCTATCATGGCTCTTCGCAGTCATCATCACCACTACCCCAGCCTCAGCCTCAGCCCCCTCTGCCACTCTGGCTCCCAGAGCCCACCCGCTACCCCTGCAGGCTGTTCTTCACATAGCAGCTGGGCGGGGGAGGGGTGTATATATATGTGTGTGTATGTGTATGTGTTGTTTTAGTGTATATGTATATATATGCACACACATATATAGTGTGTGTTAAAATAAATATTAAATTGTAATTTTAACCATCTTAAAGTATACAATTCAGTGGCATTAATAATTCATAATGTGTAACCATCACCTCTGTCTATTTCCAGAGGGTTTTTAAAATTAGCATTATTTTTGGCCGGACACTGCGGCTCACGCCTGTAATCCCAGCACTTTGGGAGGGTGAGGCGTGTGGATCACTTGAGGTCAGGATTTCGAGACCAGACTGGCCAATGTGGTGAAACCCCATTTCTACTAAAAATACAAAACTTAGCCGGGTGTGGTGGCACATGCCTGTAATCCCAGCTACTTGGGAGGCTGGAGGTAGAGGTTGCCGTGAGCCAAGATTGCATCACTGCACTTGAGCCTGGGCGACAAAGCGAGACTCCATCTCAAATGAACAAATAAAAAAAAAATTTTGCATTGTTTTTATTGTGGTAAAATACACATAAATTTACTACCTTAACCATTTTTAAGTGTACAGGTCAGTGGTATTGTATTCATAATGCTGTACAACCATCACCACCATTCATCTTCGTAATTCTTTCCATCTTGCAAATCTGAAACTGTACCCGTGAAACTCCCCATTCCCCCTTCCTCCAGCTCTTTTTTTTTTTTTTTAAAGGCAGAGTCTTGCTCTGTCATCAGGCTGGAGTGCAGTGGCACTATCTCAGCTCACTGCAACCTCCGCCTCCTGGGTTCAAGCAATTCCCCTGCCTCAGCCTCCCAAGTAGCTGGGACTACAGGCATGGGCCAACACACCCCGCTAATTTTTTTTTGTATTTTAGTAGAGATGGGGTTTCACCATGTTGGCCAAGATGGTCTCGATCTCCTGACCTTGTGATCCGCCTGCCTCGGCCTCCCAAAGTGCTGGGATTACAGGCATGAGCCACTGCACCCGGCTCCCCTCTTCCTCCAGCTCTTGACAACTACCATTCTACTTTCTGTCTCTGTGACTTTGACTACTCTGACCACCTCATATTTGTCTTTTTGTGACTGGCTTATTTCACTTAGCATAATGTCCTTAAGGTTCGTCCATGTTGTATCATGTGTCAGATTGTCCTTCCTCTTTAAGGCTGAATGATATTTCGTTGTGTGTATGTATGTATATACATATATTTTGCATATTTGCTCATTTGTCAATGGGCTGTTGGTTGTTTTCACATTTTAGCTATTGTGAAAAATGCTGCTGTGAACATGGGTGTACAAATATCTCTTCAAGACCTTCCTTTCAATTCATTTGAGTGTATACCCAGAAGTGGAATTGTTGGATCATATGGTAATTCTATTTATAATTTTTTGAGGAACTGCCATACTGTTTTCCAGAGTGGCTGTACCATTTTACATTCCTAAAAACAGTGCACAAGGGTTCCAATTTCTCCACATTCTTGCCAACATTTATTTATTTATTTTTACAGCAGCCATCCTTAACGAGTATGAGATGGTATCTCACCGTAGTTTCAATTTGAATTTCTCTAATGATTAGTCATGTTGAGTATCTTTTCTTTTTTTCTTTTTTTTTTTTTTGAGACAGAGTCTCGCTCAGTTGTCCAGGCTGGAGTGCAGTGGCGTGATCTTGGCTCACTGCAACCTCCACCTCCTAGGTTCAAGCGATTCTCCTGCCTCAGCCTCCTGAGCAGCTAGGATTACAAGTGCCCACCACCACACCCAGCTAACTTTTGTATTTTCAGTAGAGACAGAGTTTCTCCATGTTGGCCAGTCTCAAACTCTTGACCTCAGGTGATCCACCCGCCTCAGCCTCCCAAAGTGCTAGGATTACAGGTGTGAGCCACCATAGCCGACCTATGTTGAGTATCTTTTAGGGAGTTATTAGCCATTTGTATATCTTCCTTGGAGAAATGTTTCTTCAAGTCCTTTGCCCATTTTGTTTTTCAGAGACAGGTTCTAGCTATTTGCCTAGGCTGGTCTCAAACTCCTAGGCTCAGGATACCCTCCCACCTTAGCCTCTCAAGTATCTGGGAAGACAGGTGTGTATCACCACACCTGACTCCTCTTTGCTCCCCCCCACTTTTTTTTTAGACACAGTCTGGCTCTGTCACCCAGTAGTGCGATCTTGATTCACTGCAACCTCCGCCTCCTGGGCTCAAGCGATTCTCCTGCCTCAGCCACCCGAGCAGCTGGGAGCACAGGTGCCCACCACCACGTCTGGCTTATTTTTTTATTTTTAGTAGAGATGGGGCTTCACCATGTTGCCCAAGCTGGTCTCAAACTCCTGAGCTCAGGCAATCTGCCTGCCTGAGCCTCCCAAAGTCCTGGGATTACAGGCATGAGCCACTGCGCCTGGCCTCTTTGCCCACTTTTAATTGGGTTTTTGTTTGTTTATTTCTGTTGTTGAGTTGTAAGACTTCTCTGTATATTCTGGATATCAATCCCTTATCAAATATATAATTAGCAAGTATTTTCTCCCATTCTGTGGGTTGCCTTTTTACTCTGTTAATAGTGCCTTTAGATGTAAAAAATTTTTAAATTTTCATGAAGTCTATTTTGTCTATTTTTTCTTTTGTTGCCTGTGCTGTTGGTGTCATATCCAAGAAACCACTGCCAAATCCAATGTTGTGAAGCTTATCCCCTATGTTGTCTTCTAAGAGTTTTATAGTTTTAGCTCTTATGTTTAGGTATTTGATCTATTTTGAGTTAATTTTTGTATATGATGTAAGGAAAAGGTCCAACTTCATTTTTTTGCATGTAGATATCCAGTTTTCCCAACACCATTTGTTGAAAAGATTGTTCTTTCCCTACTGAATGGTCTTGGCACTCTTATCAAAAATCATCTGACCGTATATGTGAGGGTTTATTTCTGGGCTACGTATTCTACTCTATTGGTCTATATGTCTCTATGCCAGTACCACACTGTTTTGATTACCGTAACTTTGTAGTAAGTTTTGAAATCAGGAAGTGTGAGTTCTTCAGCTTTGTTCTTCTTTTTCACAATTATTTTGGCTATTTGAAGGGCCCTTGAGATTGCATCAGAGGGGTGTTTTAAATGCACATCTGACCTTCCTACTGCCACCTTCCCAAACCTTGGGAGTGCATCAGGAGACCCCAGCAAGCCCAGCAGGACCTGCATGCCTTCTGGTCCTGTCCTGTGGTACAGCTGTCCTGGACCTTTGCTCCTGAACCCTCACATGAACAAAGCACATCCCCTCAGGCCTCCTCTTTTTCCAACTGCCTCCCATCCAGCAATTCTGACATTCTACAGCCTAATGCTCTCTTTGGAGAAGCCCCCAATAACTTTTTTTTTTTTTTTTTTGAGACAGAGTCTTACTCTGTCACCCTGGCTGGAGGGCAGTGGCATGATCATGGCTCATGTAGCCTAGATTTTCCCAGGCTCAAGTGATCTTCTGACCTCAGCCTCCCAAATACTTGGGACTACAGGCATGCACCACCATGTATCTTTGCACCATGTATTTTTTTTGTAGAGATGGGGTTTCGCCATGTTGCCCAGACTAGTCTTGAACTCCTGGGCTCAAGTGATCTGCCCACCTCAGCTGCTCAAAGTGTTGGGATTACAGGTGTGAGCCACCATGCCCAACTACCCCCAGGAATCTTGTCTCAGCATCGTACCAACAGCACCCGCCATAGCCCTCCCCTCCTTGACCCCAGATGTGATTGTGTGTTTGCTTGTGTGGTTCTTGGTGGCAGTGGTGCCTCCTGCACTGGTCTGAAGGCTTCACAGAGCTGAGCAGCACATCTGCTTCATTTCTACCTGTTTCTCCAGTGTCTGGGACAGTTCCCGGCTATCAATAGGACTGAAAAGCACTGTGGAGGGAGGCAAGGACAGGAAGAAGGGAGAGGGCTGCCCTCTGACTCAGTGGGTTAAACATGCCTGTCCAGGCCAAAGGCTGAGCAAAATAAAGAGTAGAAGCAGCAAAACCAACAGGTTACCAGCCAGCAACTGGGAACTT
This sequence comes from Homo sapiens, assembly GCF_000001405.40. Lineage (NCBI taxonomy): Eukaryota > Metazoa > Chordata > Mammalia > Primates > Hominidae > Homo > Homo sapiens. The sequence continues at coordinate 49,630,902 of NC_000003.12, read as the reverse complement.
TACCAAGATTTCCTGGTCCCTGCCTCTTCCTGCCTCTGGCTCTCTTTCCATCACCTCCCTTTCCTGCCTCCCCTTCTTGTGCCTTCTTCCACTTCTTCCAACTCCTACTTTATTCATGGATTTCTTTTTTTCTCTACCATTTTTACTGCATTTTCTTTTTATTCTGTTTCCTTTGCCCTTAGATATGAAAACAAGTGTTTTAGGAGTAAAATTTCTTATTTTCAGATCTGAATTAATTTTACATTCATTCTTAGCTTAACTTATGGCCCTCTTCCATAACTAAAAGGTAGAATTCCATGCCTGTTGTCTCCTCACGGCCCCAGTGGCTGTGGCCTCCACCCTGCAGTGGTCCAAGCAAGTAAGCAGGCCAAAGGTCCTGTCTTCTGGGAACATGGACCACTTCGGGGCATGTACTAAGCAACAGGGCTGGCTGCTCCAGAGTGACTAAAGTTTGGAGAGTATTTCTCTATTGACTTGGAGACTGTTTAGGTCAAAGTGGCTACTCTAAAGCAAACTGCCCAAGGACTAGCTATTCGGTGGGAGAAAGGCCTCCTGAAGGGCCTGCCACCTGGAGATCCACTTCCATTTTGTTTGGAGGTGAGCATTGGAAGGCTGGGCAGACACCCTCCTGGGCCCAGGAAAGCAGAAGACACCTTTACCTCCCCTCAGTACACTGCTGGTCCCATGTCCTGAAACCTGCTCCTCATTCCTCTCTGGCCCAGGTGGCAGTGTGGCCAGGAGGGAGTAGAGGGAATGAGACAAGGCTGCTGGCTGTAGCAGAGGGATCTGTACTGAACTCACAGCACCACCCCCGAGCCATCTGGAGCCCTGGCCCTTGCCGGAAAGCAGTGGGATGCAGGCAGGGGAGAGAGAGGCTCGGAGCCACTGCACTGTCTCCCTCCCTTCTCCACGCCGCCCACCCTGGGAAACTGCGTAGGCTCATGGTTTGCCATTGGGTAGGAGTTGGGGATGGTATGGGTTAAATATCCTTGGCTTGGCCTCAGCAAAGTCCAGACCTTGGAATGGATGAGGTAAGACCATGCTTACTCCTCTGTAGTTTTCCTAGAGAGGCTTATAAGTAATTCTGACTAGAGCAAGGGTGGTGGGAGGCAGATGGACCACCTTGGCCTGGAAGGCTGGGGATGGGGTGGCAGCCCTGCTGCTCCCCACAGGGGCAGAGCGTGGGCCCCTTCACTCTAGATGGTGCTCTGGGAGGATTCAGCTGATCAGACTGGAGGCTCGGGCATGCAGGCAACCCTGCCTCTGCACCGCAGTCACTCCTGGGATGCTGTTCTGAGGATGAGGACAGACTGGCATCTGCAGGAGCTCCAGGCCAGGATGTGCTTCTGGGGCTGCTCTGAGTGGGGCATGGAAGTCCCTGAGAAGCCTATAGAAGCAGGCTATGCCTGCCCCAGGCCACGGTTCATATTCCCCAGCAACTCACTCCCATCCCCACTGCCCACCCCAACTGCATCTTCTCATCTTCTACTTAGCAGGCTCAGGCCCATGCCTTGTCTCCCTCCCACCCCCAACTGTCAGAATAGAAGCCTAACAAGGGCAACACGGGCCACCCTTCTGGTGCAGAAAGGGGTGGCGGGCCCACATGTAAGTCACTGAAGAACGGAAAGGTGGACTAGCAGGCCTGAGCAGGCATGGGCATTAGCAAAGGCACTGATGCCAATCCTTGGAATCCTGCTTTTCCTTCAGAGAAATCTGACATTCAGGAAATTCAAGTATTTGTCCAAAACCCCACATCTACAGAGAGAAAAGGAGAATGGTCTTCCTGCCTTCTCCTTGTCAGTAAGGACTGAATGCTAACACCTCTGGCCCCCTGGCATCAGTGCATTGTCAGAGGGAGGGTCTCTTGTGGGTGGTGAGAAATGTTCAGGCCTCAAACAGAAACACCCAGTCTTTCTCTGTGGTTTCGGACAGGTTAAATTACTCGCTTGCCCTGAGCTACGAGGACTGGGGATATCCAGAAAGAAATGGCCTCCACCAAGAAGAGTATCTGGGACTGCCCTATTTGTTCTGAACCAGCTTCAGCCTTAGCAAAATGGACTATGGATGGGGAAAATGAGGCTGCAAATCCCTGGGGGAAAGCTGGAGACCAAGCCACTGGTCTAGATCCACAGCTCTTTTGCTCCAGAATAACCCAGAATAAGCCAAGACTTCCTAAGACTCAGTCTCCTCATCTGTAAACAGGGACTGTGCTCTGAGCTCCTTCCCCAATTTCCATACAGTCTCAACATGCTCTAGGCACTCAGAAACCCAGCAAACTACATGGGCAGGCCTCCTGCTCTCTGCTGGATGGGCAGAATGGTGAGTACCATGTCTGTCTGTGTAAGTGTAGTAGACCTCCAGCAGCCTAGGGCTGATAGGGGAAACTTGGGTCCGCTGGCCAGAAAAACAGTGATTCCAGATCTCAGACACTGCTGCTAGCCAAATGGAGCTAACTGTGTGTGATTCCCATCTCCAGATCTCATCTGCTGTTTCTGCAGCACTCAGCTAAAGTAATAACTCTGACTGATGCCATCATACACAAAAACAAAAACACCAAGTCCTGGTGACCACTGCCCAGTGGGGCCAAGTTCTTTCCCTCCTTTCTGTGCATTTGTCCTCATGCAGCCATTCGGCACAACTGTTCAATCACACTCCAGATCTACACAGCAGCTTGAGTTCCAAACCAGCCAGTAAGTCTCTATTAGTGACACACATGAACAAAGTTCCATTTTCTGCGGTCACATTTCAAAGTTCCAAGCACAGTTTCACTAGTCATCTTGGAGATGCCCTGAAAGCCTCCATGTCACTTGTGTGGCCCACGTCCTTCTCTGGGACTGCTATATCCCTCTGTCCACTGGGAAGCTGAGGAACAACGCATCCTGCCGACACGCCCTGGACACAGCACCCAGGCTGCTGGACCTCCTCAACCAGGCTCAGCGTGACTACACTAGCAGCTCCAGGCATACTACCCAGCCCACACAGGATCCCCAGGACACTCTCCAGTTGCCAGTGTCTGCAGTGCATCTGCGCTGGGACTGGCAGTACCTCTACCTTTTTCTACTCTGATTGGGCCACTCCTGGGAAGTGAGGAACTGAAAAAGAAAGTGAGTGCTGTAGCTGAGTTTCCTGGAAAAGGTCACTCTCTCTGACCCCATCACCCACCCAGACACCTAACTTCAGAACCAGCCCCTTACACATGCCCAGAATCTCAGGCCAGGCAGGAGTTCAGCCCAGAGACACCAGGGCAATCCCAGCCTTCTTGACTGACATAACATCAAGTTAGAAGTGGCCAGGACAGATGTAGTCTGACTAGGACAGATCTAACAGCAGGTGTGTGAGCAAAGCCTGCAAACCTGTTTTCTCATCACATGGAAGCATGACCAGGAAGGTGAACCTGCTCTTAGCAAAGTGACAAAGAGCAACTGCACTGGTTCACGAATTATGCTTTATCACCCCTCAGGAAGATGTGCCAAGGATTATTTTTTCCTTAACAAGAACACCACTGAAAGCCAACTCTAGAGAAGCGAAGGTTCTACCTGAAAACCCCAGCAGAGAAGGGTATTCACCATGTGTGAACTTGGAGAAGGGACCAGGTCAGCAATTCCCAAACTGGGTGCCATGGAACAGCAGCTCCTAAGATGTTCTGTGAAAGCAAGTCTGGGAAAGGCTGCCAACCATAGCCCTGTCCTGGAACTCTGTGATGCCCCTCAGGACACTGAAAATCCTGAGGAATCTCACAGCAAAGAAACATTTCATTTGTCCAGCCCAGCATTTGTTTGAAGTATTTGGCTGAGACCCACTCTTCACCAAACACTATGGATCTGAAGTAAGTGTGAGGCCCCATCTTCTCCTGGCCCTGAGCCTCAGCTTCCTCCCAGCACAATGAGGCAGATGGACTGAGTGTCTCCAAGGTCTTCCTACTCTGCTGTTTTTCCAGGCACAGCCAAAGGCTGGCTCCCTTCCCACCTCATTGAAGGTCCTGGGCTTGGAGAGCCTATAGGCAGGGGCCATGGTTTGGTGAGGAATGGGATGCCCACCAGGAGCCTGGGGCCACCATGTGTGGCTCTTCCTTATCCCCACCCACCTCACTCGGAGTTGTCCAGGTGCTGTGCTGCATCTCAAGGGAGCTGGAACCCAGAGGGGCAAGGCCAGCATGAGGAGGGGATGTCCCATAGCGGTACAGTCCACCTGCCAAGCCTCCCTGTTCCTGTGAGGGGCTTCTGGCTTCTCACTGGCAGAAACACACAGGTGAGCTTCCCTGGCCTTAATCGTATTGTTCCAAATTCTGAACAGCAAGCACTTACCTAACTGAACAGTGCAGGATGGCCTGTTTCTAATCACAGATGCAATAATCACGAGCATGCACGCCTCTTCAGGAAGCCCCCACACTCCAGGAGCAACTCCAAAGGCACTGAGTCATCTCCCCACACCGACAGCTCCTTCCTCAGAATCTCACACTTACCTCTCACAAACCACACGTCCCACACCCACAGCACCTCATGGCATATATAGACCCTGACCTGTGAACAATTATTCTCACTCAGCCCCCTCCCACATGGTCCAAACGGCTCCAGCTGCTGTTAATCCCAGAGGCAGCCATGCCCGTGCCTGCAGCCAGCCTCTCTCCATCCTATCCAAAGACGGATTCTTGTGGGGAGAAACAGAGGCTTCTACTCCCAGAGGAGTAGGAGGAAATCAGCAGACCTACTCTGTTCATTTTAAAGCGATGGCCCCAACTCATTTGGTGAGACATCCCACAGTCATTCAAAGCATCCTGAACAAAGCCAGGCTGGGGCTGTGGACCCAGAGTCCTCTTGTCCTCTTGGGCGAAAAAGAAGCCAAACTCACAGAAATGGTCCTACAGTGGCCTCTTGGTGAGTGTAGGACACTGTCATCCTTGGTGAATGCTTGGTTCCCAGCCTGGTTCTTTACCCCAAGGTCATTTCTTTAGGGATGGGGTAGCTGCCCCACCACCTCAGGTCCCCAGCTGACTAGAACTAAAGCCAAGAAGAGGTGCTTCCCAGAGCCCAGCTGGAAGGCAGTTTCCTGCCTCCCCTGAAACTTTTCTCCCCTCACCAGCATCCCCATCTAGGGCCTGCTGTCAAAGACAGAGGCCTCCTGGCCTAGATCAGGGAAATTTGCCTCCCTCTGTGTCCTAGAGCTGCTCATGGCCCACTCCAAATGAGTTCCATTGGGAAAAATTGTTCATAAGATTGTCTTTGGTCCTCTCGAAGGCCATTTTTCCAGACCAAACTTGGACCAGGTTAGAAAGTATCTTCTACTCTCAGACTCTACCCAAGCTTTCAGGGGATGCAGAAATCCCTTGGGAGATCTGGGGCCAGGCCCTGTTCTTTGCTGCCACATCCTGGAACCAGGACACATCCCTGCAGGAGGACACAAATGCTGGTGGTCAAGGGAAATGACCAGGAAAAGAGAGTTGGTGAAAGAGGGGAAGGGAACCAGGGGAGGTATGGTAATGAGGTAGCAGGTGAGTGGGGAGCCGGCGCAGAAGTGGTTACCTGGGTGAGATGAGGGTTGGGGTTGAACCCACACTGGTTGCAGACCTTGTTGTGACACTGGGTGCAGGTGTTGAAGTTTGGCTGGCTGGGGGTCGACGTGAGGTCCGAAGTCTTGCATATGGGACACAGCGTGCTGCTGGGAAGGGGGGCGATCTGAGGGACGGAGTAGGGTGATGTGGGGGTGCTGCCTCTGTCCGGTGACACTGAGGGGGACCGCCCTGATCTCTGTGTCCTGCTGTCTACCTGCAGCGTCCTGCGGGGACCATCAGCCTCCTGGCCTGCTGGTCCCTGTGCCCTTGTCTCTCGGGGGCTCTCATGGCCAGGAGTGGTAGCAGAAGCCTGCTTCGGAGTTGGGGAAGCTGCTCTCTGGTTACCCAGGGGTTCCTTGGGGTCCAGTCTCCGGGAAGTGCTGAAATGACATTGAAAATGACTGTTAGAGATACAGCTTAGAGAAGCAGCTTGCGGAGGTCTCTACCAAGCTAGGTGACCCTGCCAAGCCCCATCACCACCCTCTTCCTCCTGCCCAGAAGAATCATCATGGCCCTCATTTGCTGTGTCCTGTGCTGAGCCTTGACAAGCATCTCCAACTTGAACCCTTGGCACCAGGGCATGAGGCAGGATTAAAACATGTCCTCTCACATTCTGATAAAGTACAGACTCTGATTCAGTAGATCTGAGTAGGGCCTGCATTGTAAGAAGCTCTAAGGTGATGCCAATACTCTCATCTGAGGCCCATGCTTTGAATACCAAGATTCTAAACCTACATGTTAGAAATAACTGGGATGGGCCAGGTATGGTGGCTCAAGCCTGTAATCCCAGCACTTTGGGAGGCCAAGGCAGGTAGATCACTTGAGGTCAGAAGTTCAAGACCAGCCTGCCCAACATGGTGAAACCCCATCTCTACTAAAAATACAAAAATTAGCTGAGCTTGGTGGCGCACACCTGTAAACCCAGCTACATGGGAGGCTGAGGTGGGAGAATCACTTGAACCCAGGAGGCAGAGGTTGCAGTGAGCAGAGATCGTGCCACTGAACTCCAGCCTGGGCAACAGAGTGAGACCCTGTCTAAAAAAAAAAAAAAAAAGGCTGGGCACGTTGGCTCACGCCTGGAATCCCCGCACTTTGGGAGGCCGAGGCGGGCACATCAAGAGGTCGGGAGATCGAAACCATCCTGGCCAACATGGGTGAAACCCCGTCTCTACTAAAAATACAAAAAATTAGCCAGGTGTGGTGGTGGGCGCCTGTAGGCCCAGCTACTTGGGAGGCTGAGGCAGAAGAATGGCGTGAACCCGGGAGGTGGAGCTTGCAGTGAGCCAAGATCGTGCCACTGCACTCCAGCCTGGGCAACAGAGCGAGACTCCATTTCAAAAAAAAAGAAAAGAAAGAAATACCTAGGGTGATTTTTAAAATTCCGACTCCCAGACTGCACCTCAGTCGAATTACATAAAAATCTATGGAGGCAGGACCCTGGCATTAGTATTTTTTCCTCCCTAGGTGATTCCAACATGAGCCCAAGTTACTATATTGAGATACCATACTGGCCAATCTGCTATATCCTGCCTTGAACCCCTTCAGAGGCTGACCCTAGATTGCTGGGGATGGGGGATACTGCAATGCCTAGTTAATGCCATCTCCTGTATCAGGGGCCTGCCTCTACACAAAGGAGCCTTCCTTCTGGTAGCCCTCTGGCAAGCCTGATGCCAGACCAAATCTACCAAGATGGGATAAAGTGTTACTTTTCCACTAGTGTGAAGCTGGGTGGGGCTGGAGTTCCAGGATCCAGCCTTGAGGAACCACTGAGTGAGGTCCAATGCATCTAACCCTCACCTCCATCCCAATCTGGCTGCAAAGGAGCCAACAGTGTTGGGTAGTTCCATGAGGTAGAAAGCAAACTGTCAGGCTAAATGTCAATCATATATTCCTTCTCCTTTGACCCAACTTAAGTTCATCTCTGCAATTTTCCTCTTTTCCAGTTTGAAAGAGGATGAGCACAAAAAGCCAAAGACAATGCTTTATACTGCTTCCCTGAAATTCTCTCCCTGCTTTAGTCTGTACTCATTGGGGTGAATGCTGGCACTCAGGAAACAGGGCTGACTTGCTGAGAGCAGTGTGGAGGCCCAGCCTGTGCAGGAGACTGCCCTGGTAGCTGCTGCCTCAGTGCCCCAGGAGAAGATTCTAAGTTTGCTGCCCCCATCTGAAGGCCATCTGCTTGCCAAAAAGATTTAAGAGCCAACTGATAGGGCAGCTTAGAACAAGCCATTTCAGGGGGAAGATGAGGAGCCCGCCTGGGGACACCCACCCCAAGATACTCTGCAATCCTTCCTCCCTTCTGAGGAACTGGCGGGTAGAGAAACATATCCTTGGTCTAATAAAGACTCTCCTAAAAAAAAGAAACACTATTAAATAGTGTTTAACATTCCTGTCATCAACCATCAGTGGCACAGACCTAACTATCCAGTCACAGACCCGCCAATTGCTTCTTCAGCAAGACAACCAGAGTTTGAGTCCAACCCCTCAGGGCCATCTTTGCCACCAGCTGTGAAGCCTAGCATGGTGGTGGCCACAGCATCAGTGGCCCACACTGGGAACCTGGGCTTCTCTGGGCCCTTTCAGTATACTAATTTCTAGGTATCCTAAAGAAATATTTCCCACTTGTCCAAATTAATAGTTTCATTTTTTACATAAATTATTTAAGACTGGAGTTTAAAGGCAGCCCTTGAAAGCAAATCAGAAGCTACTGAGAGCTTTTTACAACATGTGAATGGGCTGTGGCCCCCTCTCCAGGTGGTGCAAGCCTTCTGAGAAATGTAGCCATTTCTATTGTATTTGTGTTGCCCAATAAGTAGCAGGCAATCTATATATACAGTGACTTTTTAAATCAATGTTGTATCACAATATAGTCTTTCTGGAGACATTTAGGGTTCTAAACTCAGCTGTGGTGACAGTGAATAAACAAGCAATGTCTTCTGCACCCAGCAAAGTCTGCATGCAAGGGCAGTGTTCCTGGCATTGATGTGCACCCACACACCTCATGGTAGCCATCATGACACCTGGAGATCGCGATATATGTCCACGGTCTTTGTATTCTCCCATCTTCCTAGATGCTTCCTTATATCCTCTCCTTGATCTTCAAGCTTCCAAACACCTCCTTTTGTCTCTTAACTGCCACTGATGACCTGCTGACCATCTCACAAAAAAAGTGGGACCCACCAGAAGAAACCTGCACAACCTCAGCCTCCCTACTCCTGTCCCCCAGTGTTCACCTGCCTCCCAATCCCAAGGCCCACTTCTCACCTTCACAAATTCTCCCCTATCCTTCATCATCCATTTCCCCCTCTCTATTGGATCATTTCAATTATCATACAAACAAGCTTCTCCCATCCTAAACAACAAAAAAGTAGAAGCAGCAGTACTTTGCTCCACTACTCCTTCAGCTACTGCCCCATTTCTCTCCTCTTCTTTACAGCAAAACTCCTTAAAATAATTATCTCCACTTGCCTGGCAAGGTGACTTGCCAGGTTGCCAAGTCATAATCCCAACTTGGGAGACTGAGGCAGGAGGATCTCTTGAGCCCAGGAGATCAAGGTTACGGTAAGCTAGGACGACGCTGCTGTGCTCCAGCCTGAGTGACAGAGCAAGACTCTGTCTCTAAAATAAATAATAAAAGAACTGCCTCCACTCACTACCTCCCACTCCTCTCCTCTCTCCCTCTCAACCTACCCCTCCAACCTGGCTTTTGCCCATCACTCCACAGACATTACTCAGGTCACAGTCAGTAGGGACCTCCACATCATCAAATCCGACAGTCACATCTCAGTTCCTCATCTCATTTGACCATCAGCAGCACTTGATCCTGGGTGATCACTCCCTTCTTCCTGAAATAAGTTCACTATTTGCCTTCGGGAATACCACCTTCTCCTGAATTTCCTCCTCCTGCCTGGCCACACCTTTCTAATCTCTTCTGCAGATTCTTCCTCATCTGCCAACCCCAGAACACCACTCCTTACACTGGAGAGACCCAGGGCTCAGTCTTTACACAAACGTGCTTCTGTGAGTACTCACAATCCCTAAGTCTCAAGACTTACCCAGTCTCAGGGCTTTAAATCCACTTTCCACTGATACCCACCAAATGTCTATCTCTGGCCCAGAACTCTGCTCTGAACTCTTCACCTGTCTAACTGCCAACTCCACATCTTCACAGAGATGCCCTGTAGGCATCTCCACCTTGATACACCCAAGCTGAGCCCCTGATCTTCCCCCTAAATGTGGGCCTCCTAGTCTCCCCCTTGGTGCCGTCTCTGCCTCCCTTCCTGTCTCATCCTAAGTCAATCCAGCAGTATATCTTGTTGGTTTCTGAAGCTGGCCACTACTACCTACTCCCTCCTCCTCACCCCACCTGGTTTGAGCCATTCTCAGTTGCCAGGATAAGTCTTTTTGTGTGTGTGTGTGTGAGTCTCCTTCTGTTGCCCAGGCTGGAGCGCAGTGATGCAATCTCGGCTCACTGCAATGTAGCTGGGACTACAGGCGCACACCAGCATGCTTCGCTAATTTTTTGTATTTTTAGTAGAGTCGGAGTTTCGCCATGTTGGCCAGGCTTTGAACTCCTGACCTCAAGTGATCCGCCCACCTCAGCCTCCCAAAATGCTGGGATTACAGGCATGAGCCACCAAGCCCAGCCCCAGAATAAGGCTTTAAATACACAAGTCAGGCCACTTCTCTGCTTTGCTTAAGCCTTGCACTGGCTTCCTTTCCCTCCCAAAGGAAAAGCCAAAAGTCTTACAATGGCCCATAAGGCCCCATGAGATTTTGCCCCTTTCCCTCTGGCCTCATCTCTGATTATCCTCTCCCTGATTCCACTTCCCTTATGCCAGGCCCACTCCTGACATGTGCATTTGGCCATTGGATTTGCTGTTCTTTGTTTTTTTTTTCTTTTTTTTTTCTTTAGTTTTGTTTTGTTTTTGAGACGGAGTCTCACTCTGTCGCCCAGGCTGGAGTACAGTGCTGCGATCTCAGCTCACGGCAACCTCCGCCTCCCGGGTTCAAGCAATTCTTCTGTCTCAGCCTCCCAAGTAGCTGGGACTACAGGCATGTGCCACCATGCCCAGCTGATTTTTGTATTTTTAGTAGACACGAGGTTTCACCATATTGGCCAGGTTGGTCTTGAACTCCTGACCTTGTGATCCGCCCGCCTCGGATTTGCTGTTCTTTCTGCAGACACTTGCTCCCTCTCAAGTTTTTGCTCTGGTGGCATCCTTTCAGGGACACTTACCCTGAATCTATTTAAAACTGTGCTTGTCTCCCCTGCCTCTTTGTTCTCTGTGGCACTGAGCACCTTCTGACCCATCATATAACAAATTTATTGCTTTTGTATATCCTTTGGGATCCCTGCATTAAACTGCCAGTTCTGTGTGGGCACAGTCTCCGTGTGCTTTCCTCACAGCTGTGTCCCAGGGCCTACCACAGTGCCTGGCACAAACTGGATGCTCAATATTTATTTCCTGAATGGGGTGACTGTAAGCACTAAATGACTCAGAGCAGTAAAATGTGGCCCCAAAGTTTTAAAGCTGAGGAAACACGGCAAGTGCCTGGCATGACACTCGGCCCTTCTCTGGGTCTGACTTCATGCAGGAGAGAACTTCAGGAACAATACCTAAAGTTCCTCCCTATAGCAGTTGGCTACACCCCCAGCCGTACCATAGAAGGCTCTGCTGACAATAATTGTGGTAATGCTGACCGAGCCCTCACCATGAGCCACCTGTCACATAGTAACTGCTTTAAGCCTCACAGCAAATTCACTGGATAGGATCTATTTTGCCCATTTTACAGATGAGAAAACTGCCACACATAAAAGTTAAGTAACATACAAAGCCATCATGACTTGCAAATGGTGGAGCTGGGATTCCAATATCTAGGCCACCAGTCCATGTCCTTAACCACATCCCACACTGCCTTTCTAGGGTAGCTGTAGAGGGGGTAGAAAGCATTGCAGTTTGGGTTCTTTGGATTATTTTTTCTGAAGAGCTGCTTACGTGGAAGCTCCCTGGGAAGAGGTTTCACCATTTTGCTCCCCACTATATCCTTAGGACCCAGCGCCACGCTTGGCATTGAATGGACACTCAGTAAGCACATGCACAACAACCAGAACAATGTGTGAACAGTAGAATGAGCTCACAGAGTGGGGCTGGGCTAGGGCCATGACACCATTCACCTGGGACTTAACTAGCAACGCTGGGAGACTCAGAGAGAAAATGACTCCAACAATAGATATTTATTCATTCATTCATTCAGGAATTCACATTTACTGACCCCTGGATTAGTTCCAGGCCCTATAATAGGTATTGATGGTATAAAGGAATGATATCTCTTCAATGGAAGGTGGGTCCACAGGTGTTCATATTTTATTCTTCACATCTTATACATGTTGTATAGGTATTCTTATATTCTTTATAAAGTCATTTAATATTTAATTAAAATATTTTTTTAAAAAATGATTCATATAGGAGTCCAGTCCTCCAAGAGCCTCTGGTCTAGAGTAGAGACAGATGTGCAAACAAATCCCTGCAAGACACACTGCTGCATGGTCCAGTGATGGACAGAGGCAGAAGTCTTTGAGGATGAGAAGACATTTAAACTGGGTCTTAAAAGATGAGCTGTTCATGCCAAGGTGACAGGGCATGCTAGGCAGAGGCAACAGCATGCACGAAGACCCAGAGGCACAGCAGAGCATGCTCAGTCTGAGTAGCTACGCAGGATAAGCTTGGAAGACGTAAGTCATTGGTGCTCCCAGCACCTAGAACAGCTCCCAGCAATCGTGTGATAGTGTGTGTTGAACTACCTGAGCTAATTGGGAAGCTAAAAGCTAAAATGAGCACAGCCTGTAAGGTTTTCACATAGGGGAATGTTTAGGGTCTCTTCAAGGAGAAGAAGATGATGAGGTAGGAAACCAGTGAGAATAAGGCACTGGCCCAGGAGATAGTCTGTGTGGCAAGAGGAAGGGAAGGTACAGCAGCAGGTATTCTGGCTTTGGCTCCAGGGAGGAGTGTTCCTTTTAATTGAGATGGGGAATCCAGGGAGAGAAGTCAATTAGTGGGTAAGAAATGGGAAGCGAAATCACAAAATCACAAGTTTGGGTTTGGTTTGGTTGTGTTGAGGTGGGGGTAGGGGGTAAGAGACATTAAGAGATGGGTCACAGCTTCAGTTCAATTCAGATAAGTGTAGATATTTTTATCTGGGAGAGTTACAGGTCTTGTTCACAGACAATTCTCAGGCTAGAAATCACCCAGAAAGCTTTGTGGGGAGGACCAAAGTTCATAGGAGTAGAGGAGATGTCAGAACCAGAGAAGTCAGGGAAAGGAGAAAAAAGAGAATGACCCCACAGGGTTATAGAAGTTCCCATGAGGAGGAGCACTCAACAATGCCCCATGCCATGATGAGTCTACGTATGTGAAAGCCGAGAAGTCACAGGAAGAAAGGCTACACCTATGAGTGCCACACACCATAAATGCCCAAGCCCTGTCCCAAACCAGTCCAGCTTGGGAGGGGCCAGTTCCTTCTCCAGCTGAACACAAGGGCCCACCGTGGCAGGAGCTCCAGGGGTCATAACTGTCTGTACCACACACCTGAACACACATTCCATGAGAGCCACAGTGACTACACCCGTCCAAGGCCTCCTCAGGAGGGAAGAGGTAAGCCCTCCAGGAGGCTCTTCTTAAGAGACACAAACAAAGGTCTCCGCCAAAATATGGCCGCTGGGCAGGAGAAAGAAGGGAATGAGGAAAAAGAGAGGGAGGTGTCCACAGGCAGGACCCAGCCCACCCCAAGGAAGACTTGGTCTTGTGGATGTGGCCTCATCAGCAGAGAGGCCCCTTGAGGCCACTGCTCCTCCCAGCAGCCATGGGAGTCCTATTGCTGGGGAGGGCCAGGGTAAGGGTGTGTAAGCAAGGAGGGGAGAGGGGTGCCGCCATAAAGGAGACACAAGAGACAGGAAGGGCAGAGAGATGAAGGAGTGGCTAGAAGTCAAACAGGGAAGACTAGAAATGCCTTATCTAGGGACAAATTATAAAATTATATATATATATATATATATATATATATATATATAATGTATTTTATTTTTTATTTTACTTTAAGTTCTGGGACACATGTGCAGAACGTGCAGGTTTGTTACATAGGTATACATGTGCCATGGTGGTTTGCTACACCTATTAACCCGTCATCTAGGTTTTAAGCCCCACATGCATTAGATATTGGGACAAATATATTTTTAAGATGGCCAAGAAAGGTAAACAATGTACAAACAGCCAGATTTCTACCAGCTTTTCTTCCTTTCAGCATTTAAGGCTATTAGCTGATCAGAAACAATCTTAACTCAGAGCTGTTTGCCAAGGCAGGAAGGAGCCCCCTGGCCACAGGAGGGCTGCTGGGAACGGGAACAGAGAAAATTCAGTTAGCCTCTCCCCCACCAATCCTTAGTACCCTGTGGCCTCCTGTCCCATCCCAGGACCACTGCTGGGAGACATAATCCTGATTGCACTGGTGAGAGGCTGGGCTCCCCTCTGTCAGAAGCCCCCAGAAAGGCACGAGGCCAGCGTCAGTGACTAAAAAATGCTTCAGACACCAGTGACGTCCATAATGGCAGAACCACCAGGAGAGATGTGGCTGCCCTGGTGCACAGTGGGAAGGAGGGCCTGACCAGGCTGATTCAGACCAGACGGAAAAGCAGCCAGGCATGGAGCCAGTGCAGGCGCCAGAGGGAAAACCAAGCTGGGCCCCACAAGGCAGCATTCCAGAGCATGCCCCCCACCGCCTTCAGTTGAGGATTTGAAAGAAATGTTTTCCATTAATAAATGGCTGTCTTTGCTCACCAGGAGGGGAGTGAACTTAAAGAAACTGTTTCTCTAAGTCAGAGTGGCCAGAAGAGCCCCACAGCTTCAAAAGAGGTTTTGATGAATTCATGGCTGACCTTTCTGTAATGGGCAATTAGGGATGGGCAGATGCTGTGGGAGGACCCTCTCCTTTGAGTCCCAGGGCAGGAAGGACTACTGGGCCACGCCAGTGGTTCCTGTGCACCCAGGCAGCAAAGCAGAGGCTGTAGAGCAGTGGGTGCTGGGGCCAGGTCCAGTGTCCTAGAGCTTCTCTCTCAGGAATGGATATGAGAATCTAGAAAGTTTAGGCTTAGAAAAAAATTCCAGTTTTTGCACAAGAAAACATATCCTGGCCTGCCCAGCCTTCAAGCCAGTGGCCTCCTGCCTTTTTAATCATGTGCCTCTATCAATACAACATGTTTCAGCATCTCCAACATATGAATATTCATCTACCAATTATATAAATGCATATTTTTTATAAAACCCACCTCCCCAAGTGGAAAAGTTTTAAAAGATGAGATAGACAATAAATATAAACAGAAATTTCCATATGTTCTGCCTTGTCCCTCCCGTATTCCTCAACCCCTTGGCATATGTGTCCTAGTTGAGGCCACTGCTAAGAAAATTCTTACACTCTTAATCGCCAGTCCTTAAAATAGTCTCTGTTGGTTTCCCAGACCAGATTCAGTCCTACCCTCCACCAGGCTCCATGGAAAGTGTACTTAGGTCAGTGACAGGGAGGCCCCCAGCCATCAAGGGCTGGCCTCATCAGCTTCCTGATTGTCCTAGGGGCCAAAAAGAATTTGCAGTGCTGACGGCAATAGCACAAAGGTAAGGATCTCCATAAAACGCAGCCACAGCCACAGAAAGAGCCTGTGATTGCCCAAGAAGATGGCATCATGGGCTCAAAGCCTCTAAGGTGCTGTCTGCTGGCTGGAGAGGGAAGGTACCACACCCAGGGTTCCTGGGCAGGGTGAGAGGTCATGCCATAGGCAGAGCTCCCTTGAGGCCGACATCTTCTCTTCCTAACTTCCCAGCCCCTTTATGTTGTAGTCCCACTCTGATGGTAAGTTTCCAAGACTCAAAAGACCCCAGAGTAACCCAGAGAGCTAGGTCCTTGGTAGAGCTGGGGACAAAGCACCATGGTGGCCATGCATCAGTATACACCAGTGACGCCAGGTGTATACTGATGCACTTGGGCAGACATGCACTCAACACCCCTGAGCAGACAAACCCACATGAAGGAACCATCAGTGTTACCAGGTACCTGCCACCTCCACTCATCCTTTCCACTCAGAAATGTCTGGCAGGTGGGACTCTTCCTGTGGCCAAATAACAAGGCTCAATTTGTTCCAGGCCAGCCTGTTTGGGCCAGAAGAGAACATGTTTAAGGCAGTGAGCTCTGACTGCTCTGATGTTGCTGAGAGAAAGAGTCCAGCATGAGACTGCAGGTGGGTCAGCAAGGGGAGAATGTGACAAGAGGGACTGGTAGGAACAAGACTTGCTGCCATTAAACATAGGCTAGAAGAAGCTGCCAGCATCAGACGGGGAGACCACCAGGAGTCTGAAAGCAAGGGGAATCCAGGCCACAAATGCCACAAAAGTAAACCTTGGGGACCTCATTCCCCAGCCCTGGGGCCTGAGTGGGTCTACTAGATTGAGAACATCTTTCAGGGAAAATTGATTTGCTTTTGGTTTCCTCTGGGACCAGCTAGTCTCCAGAATCCAGAGCAAGGATAGGAAATAAGGGTAACATAAGGGTAACTTTCCTTTAACCCCAATAAATTGGTAGTGACCGCCTGGGAAGTGGGCTTGGGAAGGATTCATGGGAAAGATTGTCACCATCAATTAAGCACAAAGGCCATGGACTTGTCATCCATGATGTAGAACAAAACCAAACCCTTAGACCTGCCTCAAGTGACATCCATATTCTTGTAGTGTCTCACTAAGAATTGCACCAGGCCCACCTCAGGCCAAATTCTAGAAAGAGACCAGTAGGTATACAGTAGTGGTTCATGTGGCGTTTACCTTTGATCTTCCCCTCAGTCCCATTTTTACCTCTATCCCATGGCTTTTCCAGAATAGCAAGAGCTATATGTGGCCACCAGTCAGCTGACGTGTCAAATGCCATGAGTTCAGTATAACTTTAAAGACTGAATGTCGGCCGGGCGCGGTGGCTCACGCCTGTAATCCCAGCACTTTGGTAGGCCAAGGCGGGTGGATCACGAGGTCAGGAGATCAAGACCATCCTGGCTAACACGGTGAAACCCTGTCTCTACTAAAAATACAAAAAATTAGCTGGGCGTGGTGGCGGGCATCTGTAGTCCCAGCTACTTGGGAGGCTGAGACAGGAGAATGGCATGAACCTGGGAGGCAGAGCTTGCAGTGAGCCGAGATCAAGCCACTGCACTCTGGCCTGGGCGACAGAGCGAGACTCCGTCTCACAAAAAAAAAAAAAAAAAAAAAAAAGACTGAATGTCTCTTGCACCATGGTGCCGGTGACAAGCACTGTGTGAATGACGGCTCATCTGAGGGCAAGTAAGTAGTGGTGAGGTTACTACTCCTTTAATCACAGCATCTCCATGTATGTCTTAGGGAATTTATCTCTAGAAGTTTTTATTCATTCATTCATTTAAAAAGAACTCATAGAAACCACGTTTCCTGAGTTCTTGAATGTCTGAACGCATCTTCATGACCTTTACACTTGAACTACAGCTGGGCATGGCGGTTCATGCCTGTAATCCCAGCACTTTGGGAGGCCAAGGCAGGTGGATCACTTGAAGTCAGGAGTTTGAGACCAGCCTGGCCAACATGGAGAAACCCCATCTCTACCAAAACTACAAAAAAAAAAAAAGAAAATTAGCCAGGCCTGGTGGCACACACCTGTAGTCCCAGCTACTTGGGAGGTTGAGGCAGAAGAATCGCTTGAACTCAGGAGGTGGAGGTTGCAGTGAGCTGAGACTGCACCACTCCACTCCTGCCTGGGCAACAGAGCAAAAACTCTGTCTCAAAAAAAAATAATAATAATAATAATAATAAAAACTTGAACAACAGGTTGGCTGGATATAAATTCTGGGTTTACACTTTCTCTCCCTCAGGACTTCAGAGATATAGCTAGCCCCTCTGTTTTCTGTCGTTGATTATTACTGTGGAGAGCTCTGGGCCAGCCCTTCTCTCTCTCTCTCTCTCTCTCTCTCTCTCTCTCTCTCTCTCTCTCGCTCTGTGTGTGTATATATATATATATAAACTTTTCCCCTCTGGATGCAATAGAGCTATTTTTTTCTCTTTGGAATTGAGTGACACCACCAAGATACGTTTTTGGGTTGAATATGTGTGTTTTTCAAAATTCAGTCTGGCCTTTTTTGTTGTTGTTGTTGTTGTTTTCTTTAGATGGAGTTTCACTCTTGTTGCCCAGTCTGGAGTGCAATGGCACTATCTCTACTCACTGCTACCTCCGCCTCCCAGGTTCAAGCAATTCTCCTGCCTCAGCCTCCCAAGTAGCTGGGATTATAGGCATGTGCCACCATGCCCAGGTAGTTTTTGTATTTTTAGTAGAGACGGGGTTTCTCCATGTTGGTCAGGCTGGTCTGAAACTCCTGACCTCAGGTGATCTGCCTGCCTTGGCCTCCCAAAGTGCTGGGATTACAGGTGTGAGCCACCATGCCTGGCCCCTGGCCTTTCAAACAAAAGATTTATGTGTTCTTTTATTTCAGGGGGAAAGTTTTCTTCCATTATATCTTTGAATATTTTTGTGTTCCTTTTGTTTTGTTCTCTTCTCCAGAGATACCAATTATACCCATTTTGAATTTCCTTTGTTTTTCTATTGTCTGAATTGCTGGCAACCCATAGTTTTCCCCTCACCTGCCACACCCTGCTCAATTCCTTGGGTAATTCCACCTCCCTAGTAACTCCTTGGCATCACACAGGGCTCAAAGATACTCCCTAAGCTTATCCGCATATGTTGGCTTTGCTAACCAGTCCAATAGATCATAATTTGTTTTGGCCCTCTGGACTCTGACAAGTGTCCCCTCCTAAAATCCTCCATCCTGGACTGATTTTGATCCTGGACTTGAAAAATCATTATTTGGCCAGGCGTGGTGGCTCACGCCTTTAATCCCAGCACTTTGGGAGGCCGAGGCAGGCAGATCACAAGGTCAGGAGATCGAGACCATCCTGGCTAACACAGTGAAACCCCATCTCTGCTAAAAATACAAAAAATTAGCCAGGCATGGCGGCATGCGCCTGTAATCCCAGCTACTTGGGAGGCTGGGGAAGGAGGACGGCGTGAACCCGGGAGGCGGAGCTTGCAGTGAGCCGAGATTGCACCACTGCACTCCAGCCTGGGCAACAGAACGAGACTCTGTCTCAAAAAAAAAAAAAATCATTCTTTGTTTGTTGTATTTCAGGTTACAGGTGTTTGTTATTTTTGTTGAAGGTAAAGTTTTCTTTTCTGTTTCTTATTCCTCTTGCAGTTTTTGGAAGGAAAAAATGTCTTTTTTCCTACTTAGTCATCAGACTTGGGTAATAGCTCATCAGCAGGAAATTCCTAGGGGAGCTAGGACAGGTGGGAGCCCATGCTGGGAGCCAAGAGAAATAGAGGGAGGGAAGAGAAGGCAGGCAGATGGCCAGGCCAGAGTCACTACCCAGAGCCAAGACCTAGGTCAGCAGCTCCTTGAGGAGCTCCCCCTATGATCTCCTAGACTCTCCAGATGACCCTGGCCTGGGAAACCAAAAGAACCCAAGACATTGACATTTCTCTGAGAAGTCACAGTGCATTCCTGCACTAAGACCTTCCTGGCCTTTCCAGTCTACAGTGACTGGGGCACTTTTTAAGAGTGTTCTAGGCCAACCAGGTATCTCCATGTGTTCCCCTACTAGGCTCGGCTTTCTGAGGGAACGTCTAACTGGACAGGTAAATTCTCAACCACCTTTCCACAGACTTCTAAGGAGCTTTGGCCCCAGTGCCAGCCCTCTTCACATTTCCCAACCTCGTCTTCTGGGAGTACCATGGCTCTCAAGTATAGCCCAGGAGTTCTGATGCAGCCCAAGTCACGGAGGCTCCTGCTCCCCAGCCAGCCCCAGGCTTATAGACACCTGCATTAGGACCCCGCATGATACAACTTTGGGTTGTGCAGCATCACAGTGTTCTGACCTAGGTCAGCTCCTAAAGCTAGGAAGCTCAAATCGGGAGACTGAAGTCATTACATAAAGCTGAGCCAGCTTTTCCCAGGTTCCAGCTACTGCAAATCCTACTACTACAGCCTTTTACCAAGGGGACAATGCTGTGCTTGTCAGCTCTCTTCAAAATTTTGCTACAATCTGGAAGTCAAGACAAACTAAGAGAAAACTGCAAGCCTTTGTGACTAGGGAGGAAGCAAGCCACTTCCCATAGTCCTGCCCCAAACAGGGCAGAAGCCAGGACTTTGACCCAGAAACCTCAAGTTCCTGACCAGTCATCAGACCCAATACTGATGAGAGACTCAGCACTCAGCCTGCCCTTAGGGGCTGCCTGGACACATCTTTAGCCCACAAAGATGGCTAAGGGTCTACTTCACACTCAGCCCTGCTCTAGGCACAGGAAGAGAGATACAGGCCAACAATGCAGTTGGCAAGATCACCCAATGTCTGCATCACTATGCAGACACTAAATGCATGCATGAATTTGCTGAACATCTGCTGTGCTCAGGGGACTGGACTGGCCCCAGAAACATCCCAGTGTATGAGGCATCCCAGAGCCTCCTGTTTGAGACTTCCAGGGAAACCCTGCCTGGGACCCCTTAATACCTTTCTAATGGGAAGTCAGTGGAATTAAAAAACAATGCCTATTGTCTATTTTGTGGGAGAAAGAAACACCAAGCTAATATCTATTCATCCCATGTTAAAAACTTCTCTGTCCAGAAATCAGGCCTACTTGTTTTTTTTTTTTTTTTTTTTTTGAGATGAAATTTCGCTCTTGTTGCCCAGGCTGGAGTGCAGTGGTGTGATCTCGGCTCACTGCAACCTCCACCTCCCAGGTTCAAGCAATTCTCCTGACTCAGCCTCCTGAGTAGCTGGGATTACAGGCCTGAGCGACCACACCCAGCTAATTTTTTGTATTTTTAGTAGAGATGGGGTTTTGCCATGTTGGCCAGGCAGATCTTGAACTCCTGATCTCAGGTGATCCACCCGCCTAGAAATAACAGGTAGTAAAATAAGAATGAAACCCTCTGAACTCTACCTTTGCCTTGCAATTTCAAATTTATTACAATCAAAAGAATACAAAGCAAGTGTTCTCACACACAAAACTCCATCTATCACATACAAAAGCATGGGAACTTGAACGTGCATGTGTGTGTTTGGTGGGAGGGGTCAGTGGTCTGGGGGCTCCCAGAAGGAGAAATCAATGTGGACTGGCAGAGTCTCAGAAAACCCTGGAGGAAGCCATGGGGAAGAGGGGTGGTTCCAGAGAAAAGTGGGCCATCTGGCTTTCCTCTACACACAGTGACCACAGAGTCCTCAGAGTTTGGCACAGGGCCTGGCCCAGAGCAGGGCTCAGTGAATGTTTGTGGAATGAATGACCCACGGGCTCGGGTGATTGATCAGAGAAGCAGAGGCTCTGTGTGGTAGCGGTGGCTGGCACACTGGGCATAGAACACAGAGGACCCACTGCAATAATCCCGGGGCCTGCAAGGGCATCCCAGGCTGACGATAGACAAGTCTGGGGGAGAAAAGACTCTGAAGTCTGGTACAGAGACATGAGAGTAGGCCCTGCTTAGGAGTCTCACTCAGACAGCCTGTTTGAAAAAGGCCTGGCTTTCCTGTGGTAGCTGCCACAATCATAGTCACATGTGTGAACGCTCATACCAGTTATATTGTGCTAAGTGCTCACTCTTCCCACCTAATCCCACCATATGCATGTCAGGCACAGCAGCATATGCAGGGTTACCACCCGACCCTGGACACCCTTGCCCACAGCCTTCAAAGCACTCTACCATGTGGCTCCTCCTATCCAGGCAGTTTTTCCTCTTCCTGCAGTGCCGTTGGCAGGGATACCTGAGGCTCCTCATCTGACCCCAACTTCTAACAGCTCATGCTCTATTCTCTTTCTACAAGGCAGTTTCCTTAAAAGCCAATTCAGGCCAAGCGTGTGGTGGCTCACACCTATAGTCCCAGCACTTTGGGAGGCTGAGGTGGGAGGATCGCTTGTGCCTAGGAGTTTGAAACCAGCCTGGGCAACATAGGAAGATCCCATCTCTACAAAAAAAAAAAAAAATTAGCCAAGCATGGTGGCATGTGCCTGTGGTCCCAGCTTCTTGAGAGCCTGAGGCAAATGGATCCCTTGAGCCTAGGAGGTTGAGGTTGCAGTAAGCTATGATTGCACCACTGTGCTCTGCAATCCAGTCTATGTGACAGAGTGAGACCCTGTCTCAAAAAAAAAAAAAAAAAAAAAAAGTCAATTTAACCTTCAAAACCTGGTTTAAGCATCCTGCCGTCTATGGGCCCTCACCAGATTCCTCAGTTCCCAGAAATCTGCTATGCCTTCCTGCAGACTTTTCATGGCCTCATGCAGGAGGGCTCCTTGTGTGCTTGTGGGCCCCCTTTGGCCTCCCTCTCTCTCCTCACCTGCATGCAGCATGAAGCTAAATGCCCAGACAGGGCTGATGCTAAGGACGTATTGACCTACTGAATGCAATTCTTTTTTTTTTTTTTTCCCGAGACGGAGTCTTGCTCTATCACCCAGGCTAGAGTGCAGTGGCACGATCTCGGCTCACTGCAACCTCCGCCTCCTGGGTTCAAGCAATTCTCCTGCCTCAGCCTCTCAAGTAGCTGGGATTACAGGCGCCTGCCACCATGCCCAGCTAGTTTTTGTATTTTTAGTAGAGACAGGGTTTCACCATGTTGGCCAGGAGGGTCTTGAACTCCTGACCTCGTGATCCACCCACCTCAGCCTCCCAAAGTGCTGGGATTATAGGCGTGAGCCACCACGCCAAGCCTGAATGCAATTTTTTATAAGGCTTATGAAAGACGTTGAGACTGATTTAAAAATGCCATCTCAAGACAGTAACTGAGACTCAAGATTCCAGCAGGAAAAACATCTCCTCTTCTAAATAATACCCACTGCAACATCAAAGGACATTTAAAAAGGAAAGCCATCCACCACTTTCCAGCCTTTGACATTACCGTGTCCATGGTTCCACATGCCTGTCAGCCTAGTTGCAAAAAAATGTACATAGATGGTGGTCTGTTTTCCTTTCTTGCCAACTATGCAGTCTTTCCTCTGTGGTTTCCTTGTTTTTCACTTCTGAAGGGTCTAACTCAGAAGGAGAAATCTAATACCTATCTGTGGCACTTTGGCTCCTGCCTTTCCTTCTCTCTCAGCCCGTGAGAGTCAGGAAGGTGCTGGGGGTTCATTTCTAGATTCTCCCTGTGGACAATTCCACTATTGGCCACTTGGGGAGATTGCCTCCCGCTGGCAGAGACCACCCAGTGAGAGGCTTCCCGCAGGAGAGGACCTCTATCCCTCCATACCCTCCTCCCATTCTTCCCTCCCACCTCAGAGATTGATTCTCAGTCCCCCTCACTGTTCAGCCTGATGTGGGGTAACAGCCACGAAGGCCTGGCCTAAGGCCAAAACCTCCCATCCAAGGAGCCATCAATCCCTTTCAGGTGGCTGGACCCACCCTTGACGAGAAGAGGCCCTCCCTCTGGTATACTGACCACCAGGAGCTCCCTCCTCTACTCTCTTCCCCTTTCCAGGGCTCAGCGTCTAGGGAGCACAGATTCAGGGATGCCCATGTTCCTACCTGACGTGTGTTCACACATTGAGAGCATTAAATTCAGCTACTGTGGCCTAAATTCCATCAAGACAGATGCTGTCATAAAGGAAATATCTGCCTGAGAGTGGTGATTAAGACCTGAGAAAAAAGTGTGATGAACTACTGTGTGCACACGTGCATGTGTGTGTAGTGTGTGCTCACACGTGAGTGTGCACATGCACTGTGTGCATGTGTGTGTGAGCATGTGACAGCATATGTGATCACACCCTACATGGCACGTTGCTAGCCACTGACTAATGAGTAATATACTGCCAAGCAGTCCTGCTCCCAAAGAGAAGGGCAAGTGCTCTGAGGGACTAGCCCAGCCCTGAATCACCACACCCAGAATGCCTGGGCCAGACTGAGCCAACAGAGGGACCAGGGCCACCCCAGCATGAGGAAATACAGTGCCAAATGCCCAGTAGGCACTGAGAAAAACATTAGCCTTGCCTTCCTCCCTTTCTTCCTTCCCTGGCTTGACAACAAGTGGAGTGGGCAGGAAGCCTGGATTCTGATGCCAAAATCTTCAGAGTAGTAGGAAGTAATGAGAAGTCCAGGCAGCAGTGCTAAGGGAGAGATAATGGTAGAACTGTATGGCCTGTGTCTGACAAAAGAGGAGAGACCAGGGTCTGAGAGCCAAGCTCATGCAAAGGTCCGCTGGCCCAGATGATCAGGCAAGTGCATGGGGGTCTGCACAGCCCTGCTGAGGGAGTAAGGAGAATATTGCAAACTGAGGCGCCCACCACCATGTCCGGCTAATTTTTGTATTTTTAGTAGAGATGGGGTTTCACCATGTTGGCCAGGCTGGTCTCCAACTCCTGACCTCAGGTGATCCGCCCGCCTCGGCCTCCCAAAGTGCTGGGATTACAGGTGTGAGCCACCGTGCCCAGCCTGCAAATAATATTTTGGCATGGTCAGGTTTTTACCCAGCAGAAGGAATGTCTGGGGAAGGTGCTGGGGACTCAAGGTAGCTTGATAGTTCCAGAGAACAGAGTGGGGTACCTGGGATGGAGGATGTGAATACAGATCCAAATACAAAAGGGGGAGGTGGAAGGGGTCAGGGCTCCAATGGTGGCCAGAGCACCACAAGTGTGTGGCTTTACTGCATGTCAGGTCCTCACTGGGAGCTTCACGGTCCCTGGCACTGGGCTGCACTGCAGATGCTGGCTACCTCGTAGTGAGCAAGGCACACAAGGCCACTCAATTCATAGGACTTGCCTTATGGTGCAGGATATAAGCAAAGATCAAGAAGACAAATAGGTAAGTCCAATTCATTCAGAGTATGATAGGTGCTTAGAAGAACAATATGAATGAGAAAGGAGAGAAACTACCCTGGTGGGTCAGGGGGCACTTCTGAAAAGGAGACACCAGAGCAGAGTCATGCCAAAAATATATATATATTTTTAATATATATTATATATATTTTTAATATATATAATATATATTTTTAATATATATTATATATATTTTATATATAATATATACATATATAATATATGTATATATAATATATACATATATAATATATGTATATATAATATATATACATATATAATATATGTATATATAATATATACATATATAATATATGTATATATAATATATACGTATATATTATATATTATATGTTATATATAAAAAATTATATATTTTTATATAATATATTTATAATTATATATAATATAATATATTATGTATATAAATATATATTTCTATGTATATATAAATATATATTTTTTATTTATATAAATACATATATTTTATTATATATTTATATATATTTATATATAAATAGATTTTATATCTATTTATATCTATTTATATAGACATAAATATATTTATATCTATATATAAATAGATATAAATATATTATATATAAATATATATATTTATATCTATTTATACAAAATATATTTATATATATAAATATATTTATATATTATATATTATATATATTTTTATATATATTTATATATTATATATATTTATATATTATATACATTTATATGTTATATATTTTATATATATTATATATAATATATATTACATATATGTAATATATATTATATATAATATATATTACATATATGTAATATATATTATATTTATATATAATATATAATATATATTATATATAAATATATAATATATATAATATATAATATATATTATATAAAATATATATAATATATATTATATATTATATATATATTATATAATATATATTATATATAATATATATTATATAATATATATTATATATAATATATATTATATAATATATATAATATATATTATATATAAATATAAAATATAAATTATATAAATATATAAAATATATATTTATATATTAAATATATATTTATAAATATATATTTATATATTATATATATTTATAAATATATATATATAATATAATATATAATATATAAAATATATATGTATATATATGTATATATATATTTTTTTGAGACAGAGTTTCGCTCTTGTTGCCCAGGCTGGAGTGCAATGGCATGGTCTCCACTGCAACCTCCACCTCCCAGGTTCAAGCAATTCTCCTGCCTCAGCCTCCCAAGTAGCTATGATTACAGGCACCCACCACCATGTCTGGCTAATTTTTGTATTTTTAGTAGAGATGGGGTTTCACCATGTTGGCCAAGCTGGTCTCAAACTCCTGACCTCAGGTGATCTGCCCACCTCAGCCTCCCAAAGTGCTGGGATTACAGGCGTGAGCTACCGCGCCCAGCCTGCAAATATTAATATATTGGGAGAGGCCATGCCAAGGCCCTGGGAAGGACATCCCAGAGGAAGAAATGACAGGGTCTTAGGCTTTGAGGCGGGGTTGTGGATTGCAGGTAGGGAGCAGCAAGCACGCCAGTGTGGCTGAAGGGGTGTAGTCAGGGGAAATATGGGGAGGGGTGGGGGATGTAGGTGTGGGAGGCCTGGGAAATGGGAGCAGACTGTGTTCCTGGACCCATTCTGAAACCTCAGCATCTTGTCCAGTGCTCAAATGTATGTCCCTGCTCCAGCTGTCCACCAGGCTGTTGCAGTACTCAAGAATCTATGCATCATTCACACTAGCCAAAAGGTGAAAGCAACCATGTCCACTGATAGATGAATGGGTAAAAAAAGTGTGTTATATATATGCAATGGAGTATTATTCGACCCTTAAAAGGAAGGAAATTCTGATACATGCTACAATATGGATGAACCTTCAAGAAACGATAAGTGAAATTTGCCAGTCACAAAAGGACAAATACTGTAGAATTCCACTTACACGAGGTACCTAGAATTGTCAAATTCATAGAGATAGAAACTAAAACAGTAGTTATCATGAGCTGGGGGAAAATGGGGAGTTACTACTGTTCAATGGGTACAGAGTTTCTGTTTGGGATGATGAAAAAGTTCTGGAGATGGATGGTGGTGATGGCTAAACAACAATGTGAATGTATCTAATACCACTGAACTGTACACCTAAAAATGGTTAAAATGACACATTTTGAGCTGGGCACAGTGGCATGTACCTGTAGTCCCAGCTACTCAGGAGGCTGAGGCAGGAGGATCACTTGAGCCCAGGAGTTGAAGGCCAACCTGGGTAACATAGTGAGACCCCATCTCTTTAGAAGAAAAAAAAAAGGTACATTTTATGTGACATATATTTTACCACAATAAATAAAACAAAACAAGATAAAACAAAAGCAATGAAGTACTGATACATGCATACTACAATGTGGATGAACCTTAAAAACATTAGGCCAAGTAAGAGAAGCCAGGCACAAAAGGATACCTATTTTATGATTCCATTTATATGAACTATCCAAAATAGATAAATCCATAGAGACAGAAAGCAGACTAGTGGTTAGAAGGGGAGGGGAAAATGGGGAGCAACTGCTTAATGAGTGTGGGGTTTTCTTTTGGGGTGGCAAAAATGGTTTGGAACTAGATAGAGGTGATGGTTGCATAATATTGTGAATGCATTAAATACCACTGGATTGTTCACTTTAAATTGGTTAATTTTATATGATGTGAATTCACAGAGAAAGAGAGAATCCCCGTGTAAGATCAGAGAACCCTTCTAATGGACTGCAGAGATCCTCACCTTGTTCCTACCATGAGGTAGGCTTCACCTAACACACCCACAAACCTGCAGACCTTCATCCTCTTCCTGACCCATAGGGTCTACTCAGCACTCCTCATACATGAGGGCCCTCTTAGACAAAGCTCCAGTCATTTGCTCATTCAATAATCATGGTATAATCTAACAGGCCTACACTGCCTAGGGTGGCAACCTCAGCAGGCAACTCCTAAGATACACCCTAAGAAGTCAGGAACCAAAGAAGGAATTGGGCAAGGCTGGTGACATCTGCTCACCACCACTTCAACTGGCCCCATAGGAGGAACAGTTTACCTAGGTTCCACAGTAGCCAGGTAGCAACCACCAACAAGAGGTGGGTGAGTCACAGAGGCAAGCACACTTCCTGTGACAGCTCAGAGGCTTTCCCCAGGCCTAGCGCAAAGCAGGAAGGCATCAGGGTGGGACCTGCGGCCCTCAAGTTTCCAGGCTGGTTGTCCTTGAGGGGCCAGCAGTGGAGGGGCATGACTTGAGGGGCCCAGCCCTGGCCACAGATGTGGAAGACCAGGCCCCAGCTGCCCAGTGAGAGGCAGGTATGGCCAAGTGGGTCAGGCTGAATCTGCTGGCCAAGCATGAAGTGCCAGGAGCAACACTGCAGGGAGCTGCGTGGGATGTCAGCATCTTCCGTGCCATGCCCTGACTCACAGCACACCTCTCCCTTCACTCTGCCCATGAGCGTGATCTGAAGAAGGGGCAGAGTGTGCAGAAGAGAGGAGGCCAGACTATGGGAGAAGATCAGAAACTGGTCGTTTCTTAGCATGCGACAGACATTTTACACCCATCAGTTAATCATCCTCATAACAGCACTGCACTGGAGGTCTAGACGAGGAAATTGAGATTTAAAGAGAGGGCCAGCTGCAGTGGCTCACGCCTGTAATCCCAGCACTTTGGGAGGCCAAGCGGATGGATCACTTGAGGTCAGAAGTTCAAGACCAGCCTGGCCAACATGGTGAAACCCCATCTCTACTAAAAATACAAAAATTAGCTGGGCGTGGTGGTGTGTGCCTGTAATCCCAGCTTTTCATGAGGCTGAGGCAAGAGAATCACTTGAACCCAGGAGGCGGAGGTTGCAGTGAGCCAAGACAGTGTCATTGCACTCCAGCCTGGGAGACAGAGTGAGACTCTGGCTAAAAAAAAAAAAAAAAAAATTTAAAGAGAGGAAGTGACACATATAAGGCAGAGCAAGGCAGAGCAAGGATTGGTACCTAGGTCTCTCCTTCCCCCAGCTGGTGCCCTTTCCCTTGTATTGTTTCATGCTCCATGACCCTTCCTGACCTGAGGCACTGCCAGTTGCCCTGGGGCGAATTCAGTCAGAATGAGTTGTCCTGCTGCCCCAGGGACACAGAGGAGAGCATCAGAGCACAGCAGGTCAAGAGGACCTGAGGAAATCACCCTGCAATGGATGTTCCTCTTTCTGATCCAAGGGGCAAACTCAAGGGCACTCCAAGGAAAGAGCTGGTGGAGTTCAGTGGATGAGGAGCCCTTGGCTCCAGCCCCTACCCCAACTCACCCAAACACAGTAGGCTAATTAAAGGGGTCCCAAGTAGAGAGGCTCTCAGGAAACAGGGCCCACTTTCCCACATCTCTACTAGGGCAAGGCTTGTGTCAGACAGGCAGGGCCAGTGATGGTGAGCTCAGGGAACACCAAGTTCTCCTGCTTCTCTTATAGCTCAGTCATAGAACAGAACTGGGGACCACGCAAAAGCAACAGATGGAGTCCTCTCTATTTCAGCCAAATGCTGTGACTCATTTAAACAAATCCTACAGTTTTCAGAAATCTAATAACTACCTCCTTTTGAAAAATAAAAGAATAAATACTTCAGAAGCAAACCATGCTAGTGATACATACAAAAACTGGAAAACTGTTCTGGTGTCATTCTGAGACTGGATATAAACCAGGTTACACTCAAAATCAGCCTTCACTCTGAAAGCGACACCATGGAGCAGCTTCAGTAAGAATGACGGCCTCCAGAGAAATCAGCTCCTGGTCCTCCCACCCAAGCCTTGGGCTCTATTTGCCAGACTTGGCTTCACCCTCAACTTTTTGGCCAAGACACAGAGCCACAAGCTGGCACTGGAGGGAGGTGCTATACTCAGAAGACGAACCTCAAAGAAGCCATGCTCTTATTCAGGTCTCTCCAGTCTTCCAGGCACTGGTACACCCCATGAAACCTTGGAAAGGAAGGGAGAGCTGAGCACATGGGATGCTGTCACGCCCAGAAGTACAAGAACCTCCTTAACTCCTGCACAACCTTATAGGGGAAGGTCTCACATGTGACATCCAGGTGGCTCTAACGATTGCCACCTGCACTGCAGACCACTTACTCTGTCCCTCCAGTTTTTCTGGCCATATTTCTAAGCCACTAGCTGCCTTTCTCTGGAGCCCAGGGCACTCCCTACTTGCCTTCCTCTTGGAGAACCAGTTCTCCTGTCTGTTCCCCTAGAGGGGTTTCTCTGAGAGAGCTGATATCTACCACTGGCCACTGACCATATCGCAGGAGCTAAGGATAAAAAACTGGGGCTTCTTGCCCTGCCTTGACTAAGCCTTGGGGATGGCTCCTCACCTACTCCTTCCTCATTCCTGGGGGGCCATTCTTCTGTCTCAGTCACCTCTGTCACTGGCTCCAAGATGAGGCCTCTGGGTTATGACTACAGCCTCCACTCATTCCCAGGGCTACAGGCTCCCCTCCTCCATGCATGCCATACACAGGAGCCAGAAGAATTTCCTTAACAAACCTCAGCAATCTTCAAGGGTTCCTCTGCCACCTTTATTTACTTATTTATTTTTTAGAGATGGGGTCTTGCTCTGCCACCCAGACTGGAGTGCAGTGACATGACTGCAGCTCACTAGAGCCTCGACCTCCCTGGCTCAAGCAATCCTCCTGTCTCAGCCTACAGAGCAGCTGAGATTACAGGCACGCTTCACCACAACCGACTAATTTTTTTTATTTTTATTTTTACCTTTGTGGAGACAGGGTCTTACTGTGTTGCCTATGCTGGTCCCAAAATCCTGTGCTCCAGCCATGGAGTTTGGCTTGAGCAGAAGATCCTTCCACCTCAGTCTCCCAAAGTGTTAGGATTACAGGCATAAGCCACTGCACCTGGTCCTCTGCCACCTTTAGACTCAAGTCTAAATGCTTTAGCCTGACATTCCAAGCCCTTGGCTTCTGGTCTCACCACCCTACTCAACCTCATGTACGGAAATCCCTTAGTCCAGCCTTCCTTTCCAGCCAGGCTGGCCTCCTCACAGCCCCTGCACGCTCCACAGATAATTATCCTTTCGCTGACTTCCTCACCTGGACCCCCATTCCCTAAACACTCCCCCATTCCTCTGCCAACATCCCAGCCCCAGGCCCAGGCTCAAGGCCTGGTTCTTCAAGGCCTGGGCTCAGGCTGCCAATTCAGGATCTGCCTCTGAACTCCTCTCTCTCCTCCTCCTGAACTGACACAGCATTGTCGTGGGAATCATCGACCCACCATTTCATCCCCAATTCATACATTACACAGCAAATTACTTGATGATGAGCTGCTTGCTTGCCTCCCACTGAGGTTTCTTCTGGCTCCTTGAATACAAAGGGCCTATCCCTGTGTAGGCCCCAGAAGCAGGCCAGGGCCTAAGCACACAGCAGGACTCCCTCACTGCTTATACAGGGAAGCAAATTCAGGATGTTTTGCTTCTTTTTACTCCACTGGACAAATCCTTAACGACAGAGTCCATGTTACCCACCCAGGAAAATTCCTAGGGCTGTGCATGGAGTAAATAAGAATTGATAAGGAAGAACATTTGGCTTTATACTGAGGAGTTACAGTATATTTTAAAATAACTTAGGAAACGACTTCTAGAATGGTGGAGAGAAGGGGCTGGTGTACACTTTCTCCAATAAAACAACTTAAGTAGAGGAAATTATAATGAACAATCATTTAAAGTCTCTGGAAATTGTCCTAAGGGCATACAGCAAATGGAAAAATATTCAATCGAGAAAGTCTACTAAATCTTGGTAAGAACAGTGAGAGTCTGTGGTGTTTGGACAACAACTCATTCCCTCCCCCATCCCTAGCTCTGTCTTATGAAAATGCTATTCCAGATGCTCTACCCCCAGCAGGTATGGCCAAGAAGATGGGGTCCCCTTTCTTCCCAGTTTCCAGTTTAAGACTACAATTTCACCCCAAGAGAGGCAGACCTCCAGGTTTCTCAACATCCACCCTCGAAAAGGTTCATGTTGCTGAAGCTCTATTCCAGGGAAAAATATATCCAAGAAGATACCTCTTGGGGTCACTGTCAACCCCAGGGATTAGGAAGGCTGTGGACATGCACTAGGCCACATTCACTCATGAGCAATCAGAGCAGGATGTAAGGCAGATTTGAAAACATTCCCCAAGCAACAAACGGCTCCATCAATAAAATGAGGAAGCCTCACCAGTACGAAAGACCTCAGCACAACCTCTGGCCAAACACTGATGGAGCAATAAAGCTACTCAGACCCAGGGGCAAACAGGCTTAAAAGCAAAATTACACACATCCTTAGCTGCCTGGAAGACTCTATACATACCCAAGGCTCCAACCTCTCAGAAGCAATCAAAATCCAACCTGCTAGTTTCTGGCTGAATGTGGGGCAAAAATGTAAACTCCTTGAACTGTGATAGCAGCCTCCAAAACATGTGCATATCCAATACATTAAATATTAAAAAAAGAAAGAAAGATGTAGTTTTATTTCTTCTTTTCTAATCTATATGCCTTTTATTTCTTTTTCTTATTTTATTTGCCTTATTGCAGTGACTAGAACTTCCATTACTATGTTGAATAACAATAGTGAGAGTATATCTTTGCTTCGTACACAGTTTTATGGGGAAAGCATTCAGTTTTTCACCATTAAGTGTAATGGTGGCGGCCGGGCACGGTGGCTCATGCCTGTAATCCCAGCAGTTTGGGAGGCCGAGGTGGGTGGATCACTCCAACCTGGGCAAAATAGTGAGACCCTCTCTAGAATTTACAAAAAGGCCAGGCATGGTGCCTCACACCTGTAATCCCAGCACTTTGGGAGGCCAAGGCAGGAGGATTGCTTGAGGCCAAAAGTTCAAGGGCAAAAATCTGACTGGTCAAAGAGGCTTAAGCACAAGATTTCATCAATTGTTGACCTTTGATCTCTCACCCAGGGGTGACCCCTAGGATAAAAAATTAAAACAAGAAAAAAATCTGATATCAGAAGTTACACACTTCAGGGAAAACAGACTCCATAGAGTCAGTTTAGCTAGAGTCAGTTTAGTCACATCACTAAACAAATGACCAAGCAAACAACAGCAACAATATCAAACCCTGAAAGAGGACAGAATCAATAACAAGTTGTACAATATATTCCTTAAAATGTCCAGTTTTCAACAAAAAATTATGAGACATGCAAAGCAACAGGAAAGTGTAACCCATTCATACACAGAAAACCAAGTAAGCAATAGAAACTGTTTCTGAGTCTAGATGTTGAACTCAGCAAAGACTTCAAAGCAACAATTACAAATATGTTCAAAGAACCAAAGAAAATCACATCTAAAAAATTAAAGGAAACTATGATGACAATGTCTTATCAGATACAGATTATCAATAAAGAGAAATTATAAAAATAAACTAGAAATTCTGTTGTTGAAAAGTACAATAATGAGGCTGGGCGTGGTGGCTCACGCCTGTAATCCCAGCACTTTGGGAGGCCAAGGCAGGTGGATCACGAGGTCAGGAGATCGAGACCATCCTGGCTAACAGAGTGAAACCCCATCTCTAATAAAAAATACAAAAAATTAGCTGGGTGTGGTGGCAGATGCCTGTAATCCCAGCTACTGGGGAGGCTGAGGCAAGAGAATGGTGTGAACCCAGAAGGCGGAGTTTGCAGCGAGCCGAGATTGCGCCACTGCACTCCAGCCTGGACGACACAGTGAGACTCCGTCTCAAAGAAGAAGAAAAAAAAAGTACAATAATGAACCAAGTGCAGTGGCTCATGTCTGTAATCTCAGCACTTTGAGAGGCCAACGCAGGAGGATCACTTGAGGCCAGGAGTTCAAGAACAGCCTGGGCAACATAGTGAGACCCTGTCTCTACAAAAAAATTTAAAAATGTGCTGGGTGTGGTGGGGCACACCTGTAGTCCCAGCTACTGGCAGGTGGGGAGAGGGGGCTGATGAAGGAGAATTGCTTGAGCCTGGGAAGTCGAGGCTGTAGTAAGATGTGAACATGTCACTTCACTCTAGCCCAGGTGACAGAGCAAGACCCTGTCTCTAAAAACAGAAAAGAAAAGTACATTAATGGAAATGAAAAAAATCCTACATTTGAGCTGGTAGGAGAAAGAAACAGAGAACTCAAATATAGATCAGTAAGACTGGGCAATCTGAAGAACAGAGAGAAAAAAGAATAAAGAAAAATGAACAGGGCCTCAAAGAAATGTGGGACACCATTAAGTATATCAACATATGGGAATACAAGGAAAAGACATAAATTAGGAACATAAAAAATGTTTGAAGAAATCATGTCTGAAAAGTTCCCACATTTGATGAAAACATTAATCTAAACATTTAAGAAGCTCAACTGTCAATCAAGAGTTTAACATCCAGCAAAACTATCATTCAAAAATGAAAGCAAATGGTTTAACTTTTGAAAATCCATTATTGTAAACCACCGCATCAACGATATAAGGAAAACAATATAATAATCTTATCAACTGACACAGAAAAAGTATTTGACAAAAGCTAACACCCATTCATGATTTAAAGAAAAAAAAAAGTTTCAGCAATCCAGGTGCAATGGTGTAGGCCTGTAGTCCCAGCTACTTAGGAGGCTGAGACAGCATGATCACTTGATGTTGGGAGTTCAAAGCTGTAGTGTGCTATGATCACGTCTGTGACTAAGACTACACTCCATCCTGGGCAAAATAGTGAGACCCTCTCTAGAATTTTCAAAAAAGCCAGGCATGGTGCCTCATGCCTGTAAGTCCCAGCACTTTGGGAGGCCGAGGCAGGAGGATTGCTTGAGGCCAAAAGTTCAAGACCAGCCTAGGCAACATAGTGAGACTTCATCTCTACAAAAAATTAAAATTACAAAAACTTTTTTAATTTAAAAAAGTCTCATCAAGTAGGAATAACAGGGAATTATTGCAACTTCATAAAGAGCACATACAAAAAAACTATAGCCACCATTATACTTTTTTTGTTTTTGAGACGGAGTCTCGCTCTGTCACCCAGGCTGGAGTACAGTGGTGCAATCTCGGCTCACTGCAAGCTCCGCCTCCTAGGTTCACGCCATTCTCCTGCCTCAGCCTCCCGAGTAGCTGGGACTACAGGCACCCGCCACCACACCCGGCTAATTTTTTATATTTTTAGTAGAGACAGGGTTTCACCGTGTTAGCCAGGATGGTCCCAATCTCCTGACCTCGTGATCCACCCACCTCGGCCTCCCAAAATGCTGAGATTACAGGCATGAGCCACCACATCCAGCTGCCACCATTATACTTAATGGTGAAAAACTGAATGCTTTCCCCATAAAACTGTGTACGATGCAAAGATATACTCTCACTATTGTTATTCAACATAATAATGGAAGTTCTAGTCACCACAATAAGGCAAATAAAATAAGTAAAAGAAATAAAAGGCATATAGATTAGAAAGGAAGAAATAAAACTACATATTTCTTTTTTTTAATATTTAAACACAACCACTTGGAAAAACTATATATTTGCAGATGACATAATTGTCTATGTAGAACATCCTAAAGAACCTACCAAAAAAATGTAAAATTATTAAGTCAGTTCAGCAAGGTTGCAGGATACAAAATAAACACATAAAAGCCAATGACACATCTACATACAAACAATGAAGGTGAAGAAATCAAAATAAAAATGTAACACCACTTACAATAATTCCAAATAAAATGAAATAGGAATACACTTAAAAAACATTTACAGGGGCTGGGTGTGGTGGCTCATGCCTGTAATTTCAGCACTTTGGGAGGCCAAAGTGGGAGGATGCCTTGAGCCCAGGAGTTCAAGGCTGCGGTGAGCTATGATTATGCCACTGCACTCCAGCCTGAACAACAAAGCAAGACACTGTCTCTTTAAAAAAAAAAAATTGTGAGGCCGGGCGCAGTGGCTCACGCCTGTAATCCCAGCACTTTGGGAGGCCAAGGCGGGTGGATCACCTGAGGTCAGGAGTTCAAGACCAGCCTCAACATGCAGAAACCCTGTCTCTACTAAAAATACAAAATTAGCCAGGGGTGGTGGTGCATGCCTGTAATCCCAGCTACTCGGAAGGCTGAGGCAGGAGAATTGCTTGAACCTAGGAGGTGGAGATTGCAGTGAGCCGAGATCGTGCCATTGCACTCCAGCCTGGGCAACAAGAGCAAAACTCCATCTCAAAAAAAAAAAAAAAAATTGTGGCCAGGCGCAGTGGCTCACGCCTGTAATCCCAGCACTTTGGGAGGTCAAGGCAGGCAGATCACAAGGTCAGGAGATCGAGACCATCCTGGCCAACATGGTGAAACCCTATCTCTGCTAAAATACAAAAAATTAGCCGGGCATGATGGTGCACGCCTGTGGTCCTAGCTACTTGGGAGGCTGAGCCAGGAGAATCACTTGAACCTGGGAGGCAGAGACGGCAGTGAGCCGAGATTGTGCCACTGCACTCCAGCCTGGTGACAGAGCAAGCAAGACTTGGTCTCAAAAAAAAAAAAAAATTGTAGGATCTGTACGTTAAAAATTATAAAATGCTGATGAAAGAAATTTTAAAAAAACTAAATAAATGGGAAGATATACTATGTTCATGGACTGAACATAGTCAATGTAGAAAAGATGTTCATTCTTCCCAAATTAATCTGTAAGTTTAATTCAATTCCTATCAAAATCTCAGTAATTTTTTTACAGACATAGAAAAACTCATTCTAAAATT
The DNA here is from genome assembly GCF_000001405.40 of Homo sapiens. Taxonomy (NCBI): domain Eukaryota; kingdom Metazoa; phylum Chordata; class Mammalia; order Primates; family Hominidae; genus Homo; species Homo sapiens. The sequence continues at coordinate 49,594,678 of NC_000003.12, read as the reverse complement.
TATGTAGAAAGGCATGGACCCTGGAATACTAAAATAATCTTCTCAAAAAAGAATAAAGTGGGAGAAATTATTCTACCCAATTTAAGACTTCCTGTGTAGCTACAGTAATAAAAACAGTATACTACTGGTGGAAGGATAAACACATAAATCAATAGAGGATTTAGAATAGAGAATTCAGAAATACATCCACACAGCTATACTAAATTGATTCTTTATAAAGCTGCAAAACCAACTCAAAGGATGAAAGACAGCCTTTTCAACAAATGGTGCTAGAACAACTGGATATCCATATTTGTTTTAAAAAATAAATTTTGGCCTAAGCTTGAAACCTTATATGAGAATTAACTAACAATGGCTAATAGACTTAAATGTTAGGAAAAATTTCAGGATCTACAACTAGACAAAGAGTTCTTAGACTTGATACTAAAAGCATAAGCCATTACAGGAAAGACTGACAAATTAGATCTCATCAAATTTAAAAGGTTTTGCTTTGTTAAAGCCCATGTGAAAAGAATGAAAAGAAAAGCTACAGACTGGGAGAATGTATTTGAAACTACATATTTAATTTTTAAAAACTAGTATCTAGCGGCCGGGCGTGGTGGCTCACGCCTGTAATCCCAGCACTTTGGGAGGCCAATCGCCAGATCAGGAGATCGAGACCATCCTGGCTAACACGGTGAAACCCTGTCTCTACTAAAAATACAAAAAATTAGGAAGGCGTGGTGGCGGGTGCCTGTAGTCCCAGCTACTCAGGAGGCTGAGGCAAGAGAATGGCGTGAACCTGGGAGGCGGAGTTTGCAGTGAGCCAAGATCACGCCACCGCACTCCAGCCTGGGCGATAGAGCGAGACTCCATCTCAAAAAAAAAAAAAAACAAAAAACAAAACAAAACAAAAAAAAAACTAGTATCTAGAATATATAAAGAACCCTCAAAACTCAACAGAAGAAAAAAATTTAGAAAACAGCAAAAAACATGAACAGACACACTGAAGAGGATACACACATGGCAAAAAGTGTATGAAAAGATGTTCAACATCATTAGCCATTATGGAAATACAAATTAAAACCACAACAGGATTCACTACAGACCTATAATGATAACTAAAATGAAAAAACAACCAAATACTTACAAAGATGCAGAGAGACTGAATCACTCTTACATTGCTGGTGGAAATATAAATGGCACAATCAATCTGGAAAAGCTTGGCAATTTCTTTAAAAACTAAGCATGCAACTACCAAATGACCCAGCGATTTTATTTCTGGACATTTATACCAGAAAAATGAAGACTTGTGTTTGCACAAAAATCTGTGCATCAATGTTCATAAAAGGTTTATTTGTAATAGACCAACACTGGAGTCAGCCCAGATGACCTTCAACAGTGAATGGTTGAACAAACTGTGATACATGCATACCATGAAATACTACTCAGCAATAAAATGGAATGAACTATTGACAGATACAACAAGTGGATGAATCTCTAGGGAATTACACTGAGTGAAAAAAGCCAACCCCAAAAGGTTACACATTGTATTATTCCACTTATACTACATGTTTGAAATAACATATTTTGCTTTAATGGAGGATAGATTTGTGGTTGCCAGGGATTAGGGATGGGGTGGAAGGGTTGGGCAAAACGAGGTGAATACAGTTGTAAAAAGACAACACAAAGGATCCCTGTGCTTGGAACTGCTCAGTATCTTGACTGTGGTCATAGATACACAAACCTACACAAGTGATAAAATTGTATACAACTTAAGCACACACAAATGAGTACAAGTAAAACTAGAAAAATCTGAGAAAGATTGGTGGATTTTATGAATATTGGTTATAATATCATACTGCACCATTTTGCTAAACATTACCACTGCGAAAAATTGGGCAAAATGTAAAAGGAATCTCTCTGTATTATTTCTTTTTTTTTTTTTTGAGATGGAGTCTCGCTCTGTCACCCGGGCCAGAGTGCAGCGGCGCTATCTCGGCTCACTGCAAGCTCCGCCTCCCAGGTTCACACCATTCTCCTGCCTCAGCCTCCCGAGTAGCTGGGACTACAGGCGCCCGCCACCACGCCCGGCTAATTTTTTGTTTTTAGTAGAGACGGGGTTTCACCGTGTTAGCCAGGATAGTCTCCATCTCCTGACCTCGTGATCCGCCCGCCTCAGCCTCCCAAAGTGCTGGGATTACAGGCGTGAGCCACCGCGTCCGGCCCTCTCTGTATTATTTCTTACAGCTGCATGTGAAATTCAATTTTTAAAAAATTGAGAAATAATTGGTCGGGCACGGTGGCTCACGCCTGTAATCCCAGCACTTTGGAGGCTGAGGCGGGTGGATCACCTGAGGTCAGGAGTGCCAGACTAGCCTGGTTAACATGGCGAAACCCCGTGTCTACTAAAAATATAAAAATCAGCCAAGCATGGTGGTGCGTGCCTGTAATCCCAGGTACTCGGGAGGCTGAGGCAGGAGAATCGCTTGAACCCGGGAGGCAGAGGTTGCAGTGAGTGGAGATCATGCCACTGCACTCCAGCATGGGACAGAGTGAGACTCCATCTCAAAAAAATAAATAAATAAATAAATAAATAATTGAGAAATAATAATCACAATTTTAAAAAAATCAACTGTCTCTCTCAAATTATCCTATCCCATTGGTTTGTCAGTTTTTAAAAATTGTGAATGAGAGATGTGTTGATATTTCATCATTTTATAATATTACTCTGTCTTTGGCTCTCAACTTTATCAGAGCCAGTGATCTTTTAAATAACAAATATAAAGGCAGTTTGAAAATCTCTGGAAGAGGCTGGGGGCGGTGGTTCATGCCTGTAATCGTACCCTTTGGGAGGCCAAGGTGGGTGGATGGCTTTAGCTCAGGAGTTCCAGACCAGCCTGGGCAACATGCCAAAACCCCATCTCTACATAAAATACAAAAATTAGTTGGGCATAGTGGCACACATCTGTAGTCCCAGCTACTCAAGAGGCTGAGGTAGGGAGGATGGCTTTAGCCTGGGAGGTCGAGGCTGAGATCATGCCACTGCACTACAGCCTGGGTGACAGAGTGAGACCCTGCCTCAAAAAAAAACAAAAACAAAAACAAAAATCTGGAAGAAATAGATTAGTTTTAAATAAAGGCAAAATAAAGATATTACCAGATAAACAAAAGCAGGAAAAAAAATTGTTGGTGGCAGATTGCCTTACAAGAAATAACAAAGTTATTTAGGCAGAAAGCAAGTGACACCACACAATACCATAATTTGAATCCACACAAAAAGACAAAGAGTGCTGGTAAAGGTAATTAGGTAGGTAAGTACAAAAGAAAGCATAATTGCATATTTCATCTCTTTTACTCTCTTAACTGAATTAAAAAGCAATTCCATAAAACAATGTGTGTATGTGTCTGTATTGTTTCTATGTAACATATAGAAGTGTAATATGTTTGACAAAAAGAGCACAAAGGAGGTAAGTGGGAACAAAGCTGTATTGAAGTAAGGAAATGATCAGATAGTAACTTGAACCCACAGGAATGGTAAATAAGAGGGCCGATATACAACAAACTCTACAAATATACACTTGCTCTCCTTTTATTCCTCTCAGCTTCTTTTTTTCTTTTTTTTTTTTGAGATGGAGTCTCACTCTGCTGCCCAGACTGGAGTACAATGGTGTGATCTCAGCTCACTGCAACCTCTGCCTCCGGGGTTCAAGGGATTCTCCTGCCTCCCAGGGCTAATTTTTACTATTTTTGGTAGAGACGGGGTTTCACCATGTTAGTTAGCCAGGCTGGTCTCAAACTCCTGGTCTCAAGTGACCCACCCACCTCGGCCTCCCAAAGTGTTGGGATTACAGGCATGAGCCACTGAACCTGGCCTCTCTCACCCTCTTAAAAAGATCATATAAGGTTATATAACATTATATAATATTACATAAAGTCACAATTATAACTATATAATTATGTGTAATAATTATTATGCTTTATTGGGTTTATAACATATGTAGATATAATATATATAACAATAGCACAAAAATGGGGGAAGTAACGTAGCTGTATAGGAGTAAAGTTTCTATATTTCACTGGAATTAAGTTAGCATTAATTTGAAGTAGATTGTGATAAATTAAGATGTGTATTGTAAGCCCTAAAGCAACCACTAGGCACATAATTTTAAAATATATAATTAAAATGTTACACTAGAAAATGCCCACTTAATAAAAAAAAGTAGTAAATTACAGTGGAAGAGATAAATAAAAAAGCATGAGACAAATAGTAAAAAACCAAAATGCCAGATATAAATCCAACCATATTAATAATGTTAATTAAATGAAAATGGATTAAATAATCTAAAGGCAGAGATTATCAGATTTGTTTTTTTTAAAGAATCCAACAAAAGGCTATCTAAAGGACATATTTTAGATTCAAAGAAACAAATAGGTTGAAATTTTTTTTAATGGGCAAAGATTATCATGCAAACAGCAACCACAGACAGCTGTAATGGCTATACTAATACCAGACCAAACAGACTTTACAACACAAAACAAATGTTATTGAAAATGAAGATTTGGCGGGGCGTGGTGGTTCACACCTGTAATCCCAGCACTTTAGGAGGCCGAGGCGGGCAGATCACGAGGTTAAGAGATCAAGACCATCCTGGCCAACATGGTGAAACCCCGTCTCTACTAAAAATACAAAAATTAGCTGGGCGTGGTGGCACACGACTGTAGTCCCATCTCCTCAGGAGGCTGAGGCAGGAGAATCACTTGAACCTGGGAGGCGGAGGTTGCAGTGAGCTGAGATTGCGCCACTGCACTCCAGCCTGGCGACAGAGTGAGACTCCATCTCAAAAAAAAAAAACAAAGAAAAAGAAAGAAGGAAAAATAAAATGAAGATTGGCCAGGCATGGTGGCTCATGCCTGTAATCCCAGCACTTCAGGAGGCCAAAGGCTGTTGGATCGCCTGAGCTCAGGAGATTGAGACCACCCTGGGTAACATGGTGAAACACCGTCTCTACTAAAATACAAAAAATGAGCCGGGCGTGGTGGCATGCGCCTGTAGTCACAGCTACTTGGGAGGCTGAGGCAGGAGAATCGCTTGAACCTGGAAGGCGGAGGTTGCTGTGAGCTGAGATTGCGCAACTGCACTCCAGCCTGGGCGACAGAGTGAGACTCCATCTCAAAAAAAAAAAGAAAGAAAGAAAGAAAAAGAAAATGAAGATTGAAGATTGATAAAGAGGTCAATCCATTAGAAAGATATAACATTTGTAAACATATACACATACATAGACCTAAGAACAGAGCCCCAAAATTCATGATGCAAAACTGACGGAATTGAAGGGAGAAATAGACAATTCAACAACAGTAATTGGATACTTCAATACTTTATAATAATGGATAGAACAACTAGGCAGAAGATCAACAAGAAAATAAAAAACTTGAGCAACACTATAAACTAATTAGAACTAACGGGTATTTAAAAAACACTCCACCCGGCCGGGCGCGGTGGCTCACGCCTGTAATCCCAGCACTTTGGGAGGCCGAGGCGGGCGGATCACAAGGTCAGGAGATCGAGACCATCCTGAAACCCCGTCTCTACTAAAAAATACAAAAAAAAAAAAAATTTAGCCAGGCGTGGTGGCAGGCGCCTGTAGTCCCAGCTACTCGGGAGGCTGAGGCAGGAGAATGGCGTAAACGCGGGAGGCGGAGCTTGCAGTGCGTGGAGATCGCGCCACTGCACTCCAGCCTGGGCGACAGAGCGAGACTCTGTCTCAAAAAAAAAAAAACACTCCACCCAACAACAGCAGAATGCGCACTCTTCTCAAATGTACACGGAACACCCTCCAGATTAGGCCATAAACTAGGCCACAAAACAAACCTCAAAAAATTGAAAAGACTTGAAATCATACAATGAATGTTTTCTGAACACAATATAATTAAATTAGAAATCAATAACAGAAATAAATTTGCAGAATTCACAAATAAGTGTAAATTGAACAACACATTCCTAAATAACTCATGGGTCAGAGAAGAAATCACAAAAGAAATTTTAAAGTACTTTGAGAGGAATTAAAATGAAAACACTGCATATCAAAACATTGGATGTAGTGATAGCAGTACTCAGAGAAATTTCTAGCTGCAAATACCTATATTCAAGAAAAGAAAGATTCATTTCAATTGATGCTGAAAAAGCATTTGAAAAAATTCAACATCCCTTCATGATTTTAAAAAAAACCCTCAAAAAACTGGGGATAGAAGGAACATACCTCAAAATAATGAAAGCCATATACGACAGACCTACAGCTAGTGTCATACTGAACGGGGAAAAATCGAAAGCCTTTCCTCTAAGATCTGGAACATGACAAGGATGCCCACTGTCATCACTGCTATTCAACATAGTGAGGCAGGAGAATAGGGTCTGGAGGAAGGGAACCTAAGGTCAATTTGCACTGACTTCCTAGAACTGAATCAAAAGGAAAATCCCGGCCGGGTGCAGTGGCTCACACCTGTAATTCCAGCACTTTGGGAAGCTGAGGCAGGCAGATTACCTAAGGTCAGGAGTTTGAGACCAGCCTGGCCAACATGGTGAAACCCCATCTCTACTAAAAATACAAAAATTAGCCGGGCGTGGTAGCAGGCGCCTATAATCCCAGCTACTTGGGAGGCTGAGGCAGAAGAATCGCTTGAGCCCAGGAGGCGAAGGTTGCAGTTAGCCGAGATTGCGCCACTGCACTCCAGCCCAGGCGACAGAGCGAGACTCTTGTCTCAAAAAAAAAAAGAAAAGAAAAGAAAAGAAAAGAAAAGAAAAGAAAAGAAAAACCCCAACTTTCCCTGCCCAAGTAACAAAATGACAGAAGTTACTCCTTTTGCATGGCAGATGAGAAACAGAAAGTACCCCTGATTGGTCCTCTCCCGCAACCAATCAGACATTTGCATAGGGTGTAACTTTGTAACTTCACTTCAGCCTCTGACTGATCGCCTTCCACAACCAATCATACTGGTCACAGGCTACCACTTCATCTACACAGGGAGCAAATCAAGCAACCAATAGGAAACATCTAAAGACTATTTAAACCCCAGAAAATTGTGTAAGCAGCACTCTTGAGCTGCTTGCTCTAGCCTGCTCGCAGTCTGTGGAGTGCACTTTCATTTCAATAAATCTATGCTTTCATTGCTTCATTCTTTCGTTTGTTTTGTGCGTTTTCTCCAATTCTTTGTTCAAAATGCCAAGAACCTGGACCACTTGTAGTCAAGACCCTCCACCAGTAACAACAGTACTTAAGTCCAATCAGACAAGAGAAAGATATAAAGGGGATCCAAAGGGGAAAGGAAGAAGTCAAATTATCCCTGTTTACTGATGATATGGTCTTATATTTGTAAAAACTGGAAGATGCCACAAGAAAACTATTAGAATTGATAAATTCAGTAAAGTTGCAAGATACAAAATCAACATACAAAAATCAGTAGTATTTCTATTACTATATGCCAACAGTGAACAATGTGCAAAAGAAATATAAAAAGTAATCACATTTACAATAACCACACATAAAATTAAATACCTAGGAATTAACTTAACCAAAGAAGTAAAAGATCTCTATAAGGAAAACTATGAAACACTGAAGAATTAAATTGAAGAGGACACCAAAAAATGGAAAAATATTCCATATTCATGGATTGGAAGAATCAATATTGTTTAAATGTCCATACTACCCAAAGCAATCTACAAATTAAAAGCAATCCCTATCAAACTATCAATGACATTCTTCACAGAATAAAAAAAAATCCTAAAATTTATATGAAACCACAAAAGACCCAGAACAGCCAAAGCTATCCTAAGCAAAAAGAACAAAGCTGGAAGAATCATATTACCTGGCTTCAAATTAGACTACAGAGCTATAGTAACCAAAACAACATTGTACTGGCATTTTAAAAAGGCACATACACCAATGGAACAGAATAGAAAACCCAGAAACAAGTCCACACACCTACAGTGAACTCATTTTTGACAAAGGTGCCAAGAACACACACTGGAGAAAAGACAGTATCTTCAATAAATGGTGCTGGGGGTAGGGTATGGTGTCTCACACCAGTAATCCCAGCACTCTGGGAAGCTGAGATGGACGGATTGCTTGAGTCCAGGAGTTCAAGACCAGCCTGGGCAACATGGTGAAACCCTGTCTCTACTGAAAATACACAAAATTGGCTGGTGTGTGCCTGTAGTCCCAGCTACCCAGGAGGCTGAGGTTGAGGCTGCAGTGAGCCATGATTGTGCCATTGCACTCCAGCCTGGGCAACAGAGTGAGACCCTGTCTCAGAATAAATAAATAAGTAAATAGATAATGATAGATAGATAGATAGATAGATAGATAGATAGATAGAGCTGGGAAAACTGGATATCCATATGCTGAAGAATGAAACTAGACCCCTATCTCTCATCATATACAAAAATAAAATCAAAATGGATTAAGGACTTAAATATAAGTCCTCAAACTGTGAAACTACTATAGGAAACCATAGGGGAAAATCTCCAGGCAAAACTTTCTTGACCAATACCCAACAAGCACAGGCAACTAAAACAAAAATGGACAAATGGAATCACATCAAGTTAAAAAGCTTCTGCACAGCAAAGGATACAATCAAAAAAGTGAAGGAACAACCTACAGAATGGAATAAAATATGTACAAACTAACCATCTGACAAGTGATTAATAACCAAAATATATAAGGAGCTCAAACAACTATATAGAAAAAAATCTAATAATCCGATCAAAAATGAACAAAAGATCTGAATAGACATTTCTCAAAAGAAGACACACGAATGGCAAACAGGCATATAAAAAGGTATTCAACATCATTGATCATCAGAGAAATGCAAATCAAAACTAAATGAGGTATCATCTCACCCCAGTTAAAATGGCTTTTATCCAAAAGACAGGCAATAACAAATGCTGGCAAGGATGTAGAGAAAAGGGAACCCTTGTACACTGTTAGTGGGAATGTAAATTAGTACAACCACTATGAAGAACAGTTTGGAGGTTTCTCAAAAAACTAAAAATTGGGGTTAGACGCAGCGCCCAGGGGCGGCTGAAGAAACGTGAGGGGTGTGGACAAATCCTCCAAGATTTAACTTCCAAGGAAACCGGCGGCGGACCGGGTGGAGGAGGCAAGGATGTGTGGCCAGTGCACACGGAGTGCAAGGCCGCCTAGTTGGGAGCCGCAAGAGCCTGCCTGGTGTGGCAGGCACACGAAACCCAATCCCTGTCTGTCCGCTGCGGCCTGGGAAGGGAGCGCCGGCCTCACCAGAGGAAGAAGCACGAGGGGAGGAGTTCCGAGAGGAAATAATTAGTGAAATATGTGCAGAAGATACTGGGATGTGGATTTAATTCCGGATGGACAGTGGTGCTTCTGATTCCCTCAGTCTGTTTCCCCACCCACGATCTCCTCTTTCCTTGACCTAGACACACCAAAAATAATTCAATAAAATAAAAATTAAAATTAAAAAAAAAACAACTAAAAATTGGGCTACCATATGATCCATCAATCCCACCACTGGGTATCCACCCAAAAGAAAGGAAATCAATATATTGAAGAGATATCTGCACTCCTGAGTTTGTCGCAGCACTGTTTATAATAGCTAAGATTTCGAAGCAACCTAGGTGTCTAACAACAGCTGAATGGATAAAGAAAATGTGGCACGTATATACAGTGGAGTACTACTCAGCCATAAAAAAAGAATGAGATACAGTCATTTGCAACAATACGGCCAGAACTAGAGATCATTATGTTAAATGAAATAAGCCAGGCACAGAAAGACAAACATCGCATGTTCTCACTTATTCGTGGGATCTGAAAATCAAAACAATTGAACCCATGAACATGGAGAAGAGAAGGATAGTTACCAGAGGCTGGGAAGGGTAGTGGGAGGGTGGTGGAAGAGGTGAGGATGGTTAATGGGTACACAAAAAAATAGTTAGAAAGAATGAATAAGACCTACTATTTGATAGCACAACAAGGTGACTATAGTCAATAATAACTTAATTGTATATTTTTAAATAACTTAAAGAATGTGATTGGATTGTTTGTAACTCAAAGGATAAATGCTTGAGGGGATGGATACCCCATTCTCCATGGTGTGCTTATTTCACGATGCATGCCTGTATCAAAACATCTCAGGTACCTTATAAATATATACACCTACTAAGTGCCCAAAAAAATGAAAAATAGAAAATAAAACAAAAAAGAGAAAAGACCTCAAACCAATAACCTAAACTTCCGACTTAATACTTAGAAAAAGAAGAGCAAACTAAACACAATGTAAATATAATGAAGAAAATAATAAAGATTAGAGGTGAAATACAGAATAGAAAATAGAGAAAGACAATAAAACCAAAAGATGGTTCTTTCAAAAGATAAAAAAAAAATCAATAAGCCTTCTTTTAACAAAGAAAAAAAGATTCAAATGACTAAAATCAGAAATAAAAGAAAGGATGTTACTACCAATCTTAAATAAATTAAAAGGATTGGCCGGGCGTGGTGGCTCACGTCTGTAATCCCAGCACTTTGGGAAGCCGAGGTGGGTGGATCACGAGGTCAGGAGATCGAGACCCTCCTGGCTAACACGGTGAAACCCCGTCTCTACTAAAAATAAAAAAAATAAAAATAAAAATTAGCTGGGCATGGTGGTGGGCACCTGTAGTCCCAGCTACTCAGAAGGCTGAGGCAGGAGAATGGAGTGAACTCGGGAGGCAGAGCTTGCAGTGAGCCGAGATCGCGCCACTGCACTCCAGCCTGGGCGACAGTGCGAGACTCCATCTTGATAAATAAATAAATAAATAAATAAATCGGATTGCAAGAGAATACTATGAACAACCACACATCCTTAGGTAATTTAGATGAAATTGACAAATTCCAAGATGCAAACTATCAAAACTGACTCAGGAAGAAATGAAAAATCGGAATAGACCTATAACACATAAATAAACTGAATAAGTAATTTTAAAACTTCCCACAAAGAAAAGCTTATGCTCAGTTGTCTTCACTGGTGAATCCTACTAACCATTGAAAAAGAATTTATTTTTTAAAAATTTTATTTTATAACAGACAGGGTCTTGCTCTGTCATCCAGGCTGGAATGCAGTGACACAATCATAGCTCACTGCAGCCTCGAACTCCTGAGTTCAAGTGATCCTCCCACCTCAGCCTCCCACAGTGCTGGGATTAGAGGCATGAGCCACTGTGCCCAGCCAAAAATAAATTAATATCAACAAAGATACTACAAGAAAACTACAGATCAATTTTCCTTATGAAAAGAGATGCAAACATCCTTAAGAAAATACTAGCACACTGAATTCAGCAGCATATTAGAAGTATTGTACATCCTTCTATTGGGCTTTATTTCTGGAATGCAAGGTTGACTGAACATCCAAAAATCAATCAATGTTCCAGACACAGTGGCTCACACCTGTAATCCCAGCACTTTGGGAGGCCGAGGTGGGCAAATCACTTGAGGCCAGGAGTTTGAGACCAGCCTGGCCAATATAGTGAAACCCCATCTCTACTAAAAATACAAAAATTAGCCAGGAGTAGTTGCACGCACCTGTAATCCCAGCTACTCTGGAGGCTGAAGCAGGAGAATCTCTTGAACCTGGGAGGCAGAGGCTGCAGTGGGCCAAGATTGCACCACTGCACTCCAGCCTTGGGAACAGAGCAAGACCCTGTCTCATAAATAAATAAATAAATAAATAAATAAATAAATGTAATACACCATATTAATAGAATGAAGGGAATGAAGGGAAGAAACTATATGTTTACCTCAATTGATGCAGAAAAAGCATTTGACAAAAGTCAATACACTTTCATGATTCAAAAGACTTAAGCTAGAAATAGAAGGGAACTTTCTCAATATGATAAGGACTATTTATGAAAAGTTCACAGCTAACATAATACTCAATAGTGAAAAATTAGAAGCTTTCCCTTTACAATCAGAAACAAGACAACGATGTGCAAGGAAGTTTTACCATTTCTATCTAACATAGTACTGGAAGTCCTAGTCAGAGCTATTGGGCAAGAAAAAAAATAAATAAAGGACATCCAAATTGGAAAAGAAGAAGTAAAATTATCTCTACCTGCAGACCACATGATCTTACATGTAGATAACCCTAAACAGGCCACAAAAAAGTTAGAACTAATAAACAACTTCAGCAAAACTGAAGGATATAAAATCAACACACAAAAGGCAGTTCATTTCAGCTGGGCCTGTAGTTCCAGTTCCTCAGTAGGCTGAAGCAAGAGGGTTGCTTGAGCCCAGAAATTTGAGCCTGTAGTGTGTTATGACTGCAAATGTAAATAGCCACTGAACTCCAGCCTGGGCAACACAGCAAGACCCTGTCTTGAAAACAAAAATAGGCAAAGGACTTGAACAGACATTTCTCTAAAGATTTACAAATGGCCAATAAGCCATTGATTAGAAAAATGCAAATCAAAACTACAATAAGATACCACTTCACACTCTTTAGGCTATTACTAAAAACAAACAAAATAAACAGAAAATAACAAGTGTTGACAAGGACGTGGAAAAATTGGAACCCTCATACAATGATGGTGGAAATGTAAAACGGTACAGCTGCTACAGAAAAATTTTTGGCAGCGCCTCGAAAAGCCTAACATAAAATTACCATATGATCCAGGAATTCCACTCTTAGGTTTATATCCAGAGGAAGTAAAACCAGGGACTTGAACAGATACTTGAATGCCAATGTTTATTACACCATTATTCACAATATAGTAGCCCCCACTTATCCTCAGGGGATATGTTCCAAGACCCCCAGTAGATGCCTATATACACAAAGTTTGTTTTTTTTTGTTTTGTTTTTTGGGTTTTTTTTTGAGACAGAGTCTTGCTCTCTCTTCAGGCTAGAGTGCAGTGGCGCGATTTCGGCTCACTGCAACCTCTGCCTCCTGGGTTCAAGCAATTCTCCTGCCTCAGCCTCCCAAGTAGCTGGGACTACAGGCGCGTGCCACCATGCCCAGCTAATTTTTGTATTTTTAGTAGAGACAGGGTTTCACCATGTTGGCCAGGATGGTCTCGATCTCCTGACTTTGTGATCCGCCCACCTCGGCTTCCCCAAGTGCTGGGATTACAGGCGTAAGCCACCATGCCCAGCCTTGTTTTTTCCTACATATACAAACCTATGATGAAGTTTAATATATAAATTAGGCACAATAAGAGATTCACAATAACTAATAATAAAATAGAACAGTTATAACAATATACTGTAATAAAAGCTATATGAATGTGTTCTCTCAAAATATGATTGTACCATACCGTGGGTAACTAAAACCACAGAAAGCAAGACCGCAGATAAGGGGGGACTACTGGAGTCAAAAAGTAGAAACAACCCAAGTGCCCATCAATAAATGGATAGGCCAGGCGCAGTGGCTCATGCCTGTAATTCCAGCACTTTAGGAGGCTGAGGTGGGCAGATCACTTGAGGTCAGGAGTTCAAGACCAGCCTGGCCAACATGGCGAAACCCAGTCTTTACTACTAAAAATACAAAAATTAGCCTGGCATGGTGGCACACTTCTGTAGGCCCAGCTACCTGGGAGGCTGAAGCATGAGAATCACTTGAGCCCGGGAGGCAGAGGTTGCAGTGAGCCAAGATTACACCACTGCACTCCAGCCTGAGTGATGAGAGCAAAACCCTGTCTCAAAAAGAAAAAAAAAAAAAAGTTAACAGGCGCTGAAGAAAGGGGTCAATGGGGAGGTGCTGGTTAATGGTCAGAGTTTGGGGTGATTAAAAATTTTAGAAATAGATAGTGGTGATGGTTGCACAACATGAATCATGAATATACAGTAATTAATGCCACTAAATTGTACACTTAAAATGGTTAAAATGGCAAATTTATGATATTTATATTTTATCACCATTTTTAAAAGATTAATAATGTGACCAGGCACAGTGGCTCATGCCTGTAAATCCCAGCACTTTGGGAGGCAGAGGCAGGAGGATTGCTTGAGTACAGTAGCTCGAGACCAGTCTAGACTATATAGTAAAACCTGATATCTACAAAATATTAAAAAATTAGCCAGACATGGTGGTGCATGACTGTAGTCCCTTTGGGAGGCTGAGATGAGAGGACTGCTTGAGCCCGGGAGGCTGAGATGAGAGGACTGCTTGAGCCCAGGAGGCTGAGGCTGCAGTGCGTCATGATCGCACCACTGCACTCCAGCCTCGGTGACAGAGCAAGATCCTAAAAAAATTTATAATGTAATACGTAATAAACCACTGAATTATACTCTTTAAATGGGTAAATTTTCTGGCATATTAATTATATCTCAATAAAACTGTCTTAAGATTTCATATTAATCTTTCACAAACTCTTCCAAAAAATAGAACAGGATAAAACACTTCTCAACTCATTCCATGAGGCCACAATTACCCTGATATCAAAACCACACATAAATTGGATGTGGTGGCACATGCCTGTAGTCCCAGCTACTCAGGGGAATAAGGTGGGAGGATCACTTGAGCCCAGGAGTTTGAATCTAGCCTCAGGAACATAATGAGACCCTGTATCTAAATAAAATGAAATAAACAAAATAAAATAATCAAATTAAATTTGTAAAAAAACAGACATAAACATCACAAGAAAACTTTAGACCAATATATCTTGTTACTATAGATGCAAAAATTATAAACAACTACTAGCAAAACAAATCCGGTGACATATAGAAAGGATTTAATATAATAACCAAATGAATTTTTCTCAGACATGCAATTATGGCTTAACATCTAAAAAATCAATTAATATAGCATATTAATAGAATGATGGACAAAAACCATCTATCAAGATTACAAAAACTACATGATCATCTTGATAGATGCAGAAAGCATTTCATACCTTTTCCAATTCAATACCTTTTTATGCTTAAAAAAATTTAACAGACTAGAAATAGAAAGGAATTTCAATTTTTTAAAGCGCATCTAGCCAGGTGCGGTGGCTCACACCTGTAATCCCAGCACCTTGGGAGGCCGAGGCTGGTGGATCATGAGGTCAGGAGTTCGAGACCAGCCTGACCAACATGGTGAAACCCTGTCTCTACTAAAAATACAAAAAAAAAAGAAAGAAAGAAAAAATCAGCTGGGCGTGGTGACGGGCGCCTGTAATCTTAGCTACTTAGGAGGCTGAGGCAGGAGAATTGCTTGAACCCTGGAGTCGGAGGCTGCAGTGAGCAGAGATCCTGCCACTGCACTCCAGCCTGGGCAACAGTGCGAGACTCCGTCTCAAAAAAAAAAAAAATTGTAAAGCGCATCTATGAAAAACCCATACCTAAAATCATACTTATTGATAAATGGATAAAATGTGGTACATCCATACAATGAAATATCACTGGGCAATAAGAAGGAAAGAAGTAACTGGCTGAGTGCAGTGGCTCATGCCTGTAATCCCAGCACTTTGGGTGCCTGAGACAGGAGGATCACTTGAAGCCATGAATTTGAGACCAGCCTGGGCAACATAGGAAGATTCTGTCACTTAAAAAAAAAAAAAAAATTAGCCAGGCATGGTGGTGCATGCCTGTAGTCCTAGCTGCTTGGGAGGCTGAGGTGGGAGGATCTCTTGAGCCCAGGAGTTTGAGGTTACAGTAAGCCATGATCATACCACTGTACTCCAGCCTCCATGTCCTCTGGGTGACAGAGTAAGATTCCCTCTCTAAACAAATAAATGAATAAAGGAATGAAGTGCTGATACACACTACATCTTACATCCTGGATGAGCCTTGGAAAACACACTAAGTGAAAGAAGCCAAACCCCCAAAACACACATTGCATGATTCCATTTATATGAAATGTCCAGAATAGGCAAATCTAGAGAGGTGGATAGTAGATTAGTGGTTACCTTAGGCCTGGAGGATAGATAGAGGGGGGAAGAATGGAAAGTGACATTTTGGGTATGGGGTTTCTTCTTGTGGGTGATGAAAATGTTCTCAAATTGTAGCTTTGGGCCAGGTGCGGTGGTTCACACCTGTAATCCCAGCACTTTAGGAGGCCGACACGGGTGGATCACGAGATCAGGAGATTGAGACCACATGGCTAACACGGTGAAACCCCATCTCTACTAAAAATACAAAAAATTGGCCGGGCAAGGTGGTGGGCACCTGTAGTCCCAGCTACTCGGGAGGCTGAGGCAGGAGAATGGCGTGAACCCAGGAGGCGGAACTTGCAGTGAGCTGAGATCGCACCACTGCACTCCAGGCTGAGCGACAGAGCGAGACTCCGTCTTATAAAAAAAAAAAAACTGTAGCTTTGGTTGTAGAACTCTAAGTGCACTAAAAACCATTGGATGGCACAGTTAAAATGAGTGAATTCTATGGTAAGTGAATTATATCTCAGAAAGATATTTTTAAAAGAGTAACTAGCCAGGCACAGTGGCTTGTGCCTATAATCCCAGTTACTTGGGAGGCTGTGGCAGCATTGAGGGCAGGAGTTTGAGACCATCCTAGGTGGGCAACAAGGACGGTCCTGTCTTTAAGAAAAGGATAGCCGAGCCTACAGCCCCCAAATATGCAATATTCGTTTCTAAATTGTAAGCATGTATTAGTGTGCTAATGTATTAAGCATCCACAAAATTAGAAAATAACAAGTGATGTTTAAAATGAAAAAAGAAAACTTAGGTGTGAAACCTGTAATGATTTAAATGCCTTTCACTGCTGGGAATCAGGACAGTAACCCCGCTACCCCCAGCAGTTCTCAGCTCACTCTATGTAGCAGGCTCTTCCTTTACATAATACCTGCCTAACAACCACACAGGTGGGTATTCTTATCATTTCCATTTTTTCCAAGAAAACTAAAGATTAAAGAAACAAAGCAAGCTGACGCGTTGGCTCATGCCTGTAATTCCACCACTTTGGGAGGCCGAGGCGGGTGGATTACTTGAGGTGAGGAGTTTGAGACCAGCCTGGGCAACATGGTAAAACCCCATCTCTACTAAAAATACAAAAATTAGCCAGGCATGGTGGTGCATGCCTGTAATCCCAGCTACTTGGGAGGCCGAGGCAGGAGAATCGCTTTAACCTGGGAGGTGGAGGTTGCAGTAAGCCATGATCATGCCACTGAGCTCCAGCCTGGGCGACAGTGCGAGACTCTGTCTCACAAAAAAAAAAAAAGAAAGAAAAGAAAAGAAAAAAGAAACAAAGCAGCTGAAGGTCAACAGAAAAACAGGCAGCAAGGCTAGGACCTGGCCTGGGAACTCCTGGCCTCCAAGCCCTGCTCTCACAATCTCAACCCTCTGAAATGAAGTGCTTCCTCTGAAATGCACCAAGAAGGCCAGTTCCTAGGAAACATGTCTCCTAGCTGTTTGCCATTTCATAGAAGATAAAAAATGTTCCCAGTAGGGTAGAATTTGAGTTAAAACCCAGGAACAAACTCTTGTAATTTGATTGCCTAGAAATTCAAAATTCATATTCCTGGGGTAAATTTAGAGGCAGAAGCCTCTCACAAGCCATAGGGAAACAAGCAAGATAGCGAAGAAATTCGGGAGCAGGACATAATTAGTAGCCAACATTAAGTACTGCCTAGAACAGTGTTTGGCATGTAACAGGTGCTCAATACATATTTGTTGAATAAATGAATGACTCCAAGCACTATCGTGCCCTGGAAAGGAGGTCTGACCCAAGGTGGAGATGGACTGCACTAGAAAAAAATTTCAAATTCCAAACACCAAAACCTTTGGAGAAGAGTTCCAGAGAGATGGGAACCACCCTCCTTCCGGATTGGGGTTGAGTCTCTGAAGGGACACAGGCAGCATATACCAATGTAGGGCACCATCTGGCATCAAGAAGAAAGGCAGGATGCTGGCTGCAAATGACTACTCATGCTGCAATGGCCCTGCTCCCAGGGAACCTCTGAAAGCAGTCTTCTGCTCAGATGAGTATGAGCCTGAGCAAGGCAGACTGCCCAGATATGAGGGTATGAATAAAGAAAGTGAGGCCATGCTCAGTGGCTCACGCCTGTAATCCCAGCACTTTGGGAGGCTGAGGTGGGTGAATCACCTGAGGCCAGGAGTTCAAGACCAGCCTGGCCAACATGGTGAAACCCCATCTCTACTAAAATTTCAAAAAATTAGCCGAGCATCATGGTGGGTGCCTGTAATCCTAGCTACTTGGGAGGCTGAGGCAGAAGAATCACTTTAACCCAGGAGATGGAGGTTGCAGTGAGCTGAGATCGTGCCACTGCATTCCAGCCTGAGTGACAGAGCAAGACTCTGTCTCAAAAAAAAAAAGAAAAAAGAAAAAAGAAAAAAAAAGAAAAGTGAATTCACACCTCTTACCAAGGAAGAAACAGGGAATTTCCCAGATATTCCTGCATTCAAGAGACAGCCCTGGCCAGAAAGGGAGACAAGAGCCTGGAAGCTCCCTGGAATCCAAAGGCAGAACCTAGGTGACAAGGCCACTGTCCTCCCCAAGCAGGATGCTGCTGCAGCTCACAGTGCCCTCAGAGATGGAGCAAGTAGGAATCCAGCTAGAACAGAAGATATAGTGGTTTACTTGGAGATTCACCTGGGACACAGGAGTACCCAACAGCCCCAAAAGGCACCAGCGGTTACTCTAATTCAGTAAGAGACAACACCTTGTCTCTTACAAAAGTTATCTGGGACCAAAACAGCTAATTCTCTGAAAAGTGGGAGGGTGGGGAGAAGTATCTCCCGTATTGTTCAGTGAAAAAAGCAAGGTGCAAAGCAATGCATTTAGTATGATCTTTCTTCAAAAAAGTATGCGTGTGTATATTCACAATAGGTTCACAGATATAAATGCATATTTCTAGGATCTTCTAAAAAGATCCTATAATCTTCTAAAAAGATCCTAGAAATATGCCCAGAAAAGTAATAATGCTGGAAAAGGAAGGGGCAGTGGAAGTTGACCCAAGGTGGAGATGGACTGCACTAGAAAAAAAGGGGCAGTGGACGTTGTACTTCAATATATGACTGAATTGTTTGAATATTACTCCAAGAATGTGTCTGTGTCTTACTTGTATATATATATATATATATACACACACACACACATATATATACATATATATACTATATATATACACATATATATGTATATATATTTGACTCTGTCTCAAATATATATATACGCATATATATTTACATCTATACACACATATATTTACATATATACACACATATATTTACATATATATACACACACATATATATTTACATATATACACATATATATATTTACATATATACACACATATATATTTACATATATATACACATATATATATTTACATATATATACACACATATATATTTACATATATATACACACACATATATATATTTGAGACAGAGTCTCACTCTCTTGCCCAGGTTAGAGTGCAGTGCTGCGATCTCGGGTTACTGCAACCTCTGCCTCCCGGGTTCAAGTGATTCTCCTGCCTCAGCCTCCCTAGTAGCTGGGATCACAGGTGCCCACCACCACGCCCGGCTAATTTTTGTATTTTTAGTAGAGATGGGATTTTGCCATTTTGCCCAGGCTGATCTTCGGCAACTCAAGCCTGACCTCAAGTGATCTGCCCGCCTTGGCATCCCAAAGTGCTAGGATTACAGGCGTGAGCCATCACGCCCGGCCTTACTTGTATAATTTTTTAAAATTTTAAGCCAAAAGAAAAAATTCCAGAAGAGTCTCATCAACATAGTCAAAACTCAAAAGTACTGACATACCAGAACTCAGAAGAGTAATATAAAAAAGGGACACCAGCTGGGTGCGGTGGCTCATGCCTGTAATCCCAGCATTTTGGGAGGCCAAGGCAGGCGGATCACTTGAGGTCCGGAGTTCAAGACCAGCCTGGCCAACATGGTGAAACCCCATCTCTACTTAAAAAGAAAAAAATAAAAATTAGCTGAGCATGGTGGCACACGCCTGTAGTCCCAGCTACTCGCTGGGGCAAGAGAATCACTTGAACCCAGGAGGTGGAGGTTGCAGTGAGCCGAGATTGTGCCACTGCACTACAGCCTCGGTGACAGAGTGAGACTCTGTCTCAAAAAAAAAAAAAAAAAAAAAAAGAAACCCCACCTCTACTAAAAACACATAAATTAGCCAGGCATGGTGGCAGGCGCCTGTAATCCCAGTTACTAGGCAGGCTGAGGCAGGAGACTCGCTTGAACCCAGGAGGCAGAGGTTGCAGTGAGCCGAGACCACGCCATTGCACTCCAACTGTGGTCAGGGGTGTCATGGTCACCTGAAAAAAGCTACCATGTGCAGGCTTTCCTGCCCCCACCCCTGCAATGCACTTCCTGTGGGGAACCTGCCAGAGTATGATCCCTGGTCAGCAGTCAAACCTGACTGTACCTCTAGTCCTGATGACTCCTGGGAAAGAGATAATAATTTCACTATGCATCCAAAAACATGTTTTTAAAAGTACTATTAGCTGGTCACAGTGGCTCACGCCTATAATCCCAAAACTTTGGGAGGCTGAGGCAGGCAGATCGCTTTAGCCCAGGAGTTCAAGACCAGTCTGGGCAACATGGCGAAACCCCATCTCTACAAAAAAAAAAAAAAAATACAAAAATACAAAAATTAGCCAGATGTGGCGACGCACACCTCTAGTCCCAGCTACTTGGGAGGATGAGGTGAGAGGATTGCTTGAGCCCGGGAGGCTGAGGCTGCAATGGGCTGTGACTGCACCACTGCACTCCAGCCTGGGCAACGGAGCAAGACCCCATCTCAAAAACAGAAAGGCTGGGCGCAGTGGCTCATGCCTGTAATCCCAGCACTTTGGGAGGCCGAGGCGGGCGGATCACCTGAGGTCGGGAGTTCGAGACCAGCCTGACCAACATGGAGAAACCCCGTTTCTACTAAAAATACAAAATTATCCGGGTATGGTGGCACATGCCTGTAATCCCAGCTACTCAGGAGGCTGAGGCAGAAGAATCGCTTGAACTTAGGAGGCAGAGGTTGTGGTGAGCCAAGATTGCGCCATTGCACTCCAGCCTGGGCAACAAGAGCAAAACTCCGTCTCAAAAAAAAAAAAAAAAACCAGAGAGAAAGTACTGCTGCTACCTCTCTACCTCTCCTCATGGGGGCAACAACTATTTTGGTGCCCTCTCATAGTGGCAGGAGCAACTAGCTGGACAAACAACCCCAAAGCAGGGAGGGGCAGTGAGCTCCTGTTGGAGCCCAGAGGAAAAAGCTGGGGAGGAGTTAGAGGGGACAGGAAAGACAGAACAACCAGTCCCAGCAATCATAGCAGGAGGATGTCCTGGCTAGAAGTAGGCTGTGTGTACCATTGCCAGAACATGTCCCTTTGCTCCCCTCCATCTTTCTGGTCCATCTTCCACTGAAAAGGCATGTCCTATTTCTTTGATCATGAGCCTCAGGGCCTTTGCATGTGTGGTTCCACCTGCCTAGAAGGCTTGACCCCCCTTTCCTCCCCACCTACCTATTTCCTTGACTCCTATTCACCCCTCAGACACACATCACACATGTCTTCACCTGGCATCACTGCCTCAGGGCATTAGTTCTCATGGCTTCTGGTCCTACTCCTTCAATAGAATTTTGATTTGTATGTGATTAAAGTTAGTCTCTCCCATTAGGCCCTTATCTCCTTGAGAATAGGGCTGCACCAGCTTTGCTCACCGCTACATCCAAGACCCTGGCATTGCACCTAGGAAAGACGGAGTGGAGAAGTCTCCATGAGCCTGGGTCCCTCAGGTACTCTGAGACTTGGCCTCCCCCAGTCTCGGAGTACCTGAGAGTCATCCCCAAAAGAGGTACTTGGCAGAGGCTGCCTATTCACCGGCCTTCCTCCTTTCTTCTGCACACACAGCTGAGGGATCTGAGGAGCCCATGAAAATGCAAGGTGGCTGGGCGCGGTGGCTCATGCCTGTAATCCCAGCACCTTGGGAGGCTTAGGCGGGCGGATCACAAGGTCAGGAGATCAAGACCATCCTGGCTAACATGGTGAAACCCTGTCTCTACTAAAAATACAAAAAATTAGCCGGGCGTGGTGGCGGGTGACTGTAGTCCCAGCTACTCGTGAGGCTGAGGCAGGAGAATGGCGTGAACCCGGGAAGCGGAGCTTGCCGTGAGCCGAGATCGCGCCACTGCACTCCAGCCTGGGCGACAGAGCAAGACACCGTCTCAAAAAAAAGAAAGAAAGTAGATACAGGGGATGGTTTCCCTGATTCCTCATTCTTGTCCAAGACCTGGCTGCAAACTATCCTTGAGTTCCAAAGGATACCACTCTGATCTTATAATATCACCCACTTTCGACCTGAGGCTGTCCAAGTTGGATTGTGATATTTTCCCCTAAATGTGTTCCTTGATCCATCACCCACTCCCTACTCAGCTGCTCCCACTGACTTCAAGGCCCTAGGGAGCCCAAACCTGGGTTTGAGTAGAGGTTCCATTCCCAAACAAAAGACTTTTTAAGATCTCTTATGGACAATAAACAAAATCATTTATTTTTGTCCCAAAAAGTTTTTATGTCAGATTAATTCAATCTCCATCATGTTATAAACTAAAGTTTTCCCAAGAAAAGAGCTCCTACAAGTCCAATGGTCAACACTGTTTCAGTATTCAATGCTATATTCAGACTGTGTTGTGCTCATACAGTCTGTGGGATCCAACCTGCTGACTGTTGTGTTTCCGCTGTGAACTCAGAGCCTGCGCAGACTCTGATACACAGCAGGGGCTAAATGCTTGTTGAATGAATGGACAAAGAAACAATATTCTCAAAATGATATGTGCTCTGGGGAGCAAAGCCTTCTCTGAGGATAAAGCAGGGTCTCTGGAAAAGCTAATTTATTGGGGTATGGGGAGTTGGTGTTGCTACCTCTATCCCTTATGCCTAAACCCACCCCCACTGCATGCCATCGAATAATAATCAGTACACGTTACCAGAATCACTTACATGGTGTGGGTCTTACTCCTGATGGCTGTGTGCTCCATATGCATCTAGAACATGTCGGCTTGTTTACAGAGTTATCCCCCATGTCCATGGCAGTTGGAGGAAGAAAGGGATGAACAATCTCTGTCCTCATTCCCTACTATACCCTGAGGCCTCTGGGGCCTGGCTCAGAGTGAGTGCACTACCAAAGTGGGCTGTTCCAAGTAGTCTCACTGTGGCAGAGGCTTTGCCACCAAACTCCATCCTATGAGTCCTGGGCTCTTCTGGCCCTGGAGCCTTATACCCCAAAGCTACTTGAAGCTGCCCACCCCCGTCTCCCCAACCCCAGTCTACTCTACCCAGAGGCCTGTGCCCTGCAACAGGGGCAGGAAGTATGCCATTCTTACCCACTGGATGCCCTGACCCTTCACTGGACACATGAAAGCTTTCTTATTCCAAAGTAGCCAGGGAGATTCACCAAGCAGAGGCTGGAGCTAGGAAACCCAGGCTCCTCTTCCCTGTCCTGCCCCTGACTTGCTGTGGGATGCTTGGAAATGCCCACTACCTCTCTGGAATTAGTATTTCCATCCCACCAGTGCTCTTAACTCTCTATTGGCCAGAGCTACACAGAATTAAAAAAAAAGCACAGTGTATTTTTAAAATTCCTCAGTTACTACTAAGTACTGTTACTATCTTTTCAAAAGCAATGCCTGTCGCTATCTGAACTTCTTGTTTTTTCCTGAGCCACTAGTAGGGACTAAGGAAAAGGAAGCTGAAGGAGTGTGACTGAGGCCCACATTCCCTGCCAAACTTTGCTGGAAGGCTCAGCTCTGGTACTCCTGGGGTCACTTCCACTCCATTTCACAGGCCTGGGAGCCCCAGAGTCAGTGTTCATGTGGGACTGCAGGTAGCACAGGATGCTTTCCAAAAAGGCAAAACTTCTAGTTTCCTCTTTCTTCTTGCCTCTGAAAACAAGTTATTTGCACTACCAGGCAGGCTCAGAGGAGTGAGCCTGGAAGGGGAGGTATTGCCTTGGCATTGGAAGGGAAGGTGTTGCCCCCAAGAGTCCCCACCAGGCTCTCTGGCTAATTTGAATACAGGGAGAACATGTTTGCTTTCCTCACTCAACACTCAGGGGTGTAGAGGTTTTTCTTTGTTTCTTACTATCTAGAAAAGGAGGTGATTGTGTAGCTCTGGCGTCTGCCCCTGGAACTTTGGATGGTCTTCCCAGGGCTCCTCACCCCCAACTGGGGGCCTGAGTAGGGACAGCACAGAGGCTGGTGCCTGCTGCTCTTCAGTCTCTGTTTCCACGGCTCAAACCAAAGTAAACAACAGAATGGCCATGTAGGTGCAAAGTACCAATGACAGCATGGACCCTTGGGTGGGCTCCAACACTCACCCTAATAAAGCTGGGGAGGAAGGGGCGGAGTGGAGGCAGGCAAAGTGGCAAACCGGGTCTGTTGGGAGCACCAGATCAAGCCTCCCTGTTCTGTCTGCTCCCTTCCTCCCTTTCTTCCACTGGCTTAGCCTGCATCATAGCTCCCCAAAAGTGCCCTGGCAGGAAACCCCCTTCTGACTCTGCTCTATGGGTGGTGTATCTTAGGCTGCCAGGCAATCAGTGCTAAGTACCATCATTTGCAAAAAGTGCTTTCAGCACAGGAGGGGAGCAGAGATGAGTGCTTGGCCATTGGGAAAGTCCTATTCCAGTCTGTTGGCTTCCGAGCCAGCTTCGTGTGCTACAGCCTGCATCCTGATCCCTAAGTCCAGAGAAATATACATCCCAAAGTCAAATTATGATATCTCTGCTCAGCTGCCCAACAGCAAATCACAACCCCAGAGCAGCAGCCCCAGACCTGGAACTCCCTCCCTCCTGCCCTCTTCCCAATACTCAAAATCTGTCAAGGGGCGCCTGTCCCACACGACTGTCACTCCAGCTGAAGGCCAACACCCTCCACCTGGCTTCATGAAGTTTACTGAACAGGAGTGAGGGCTAAAGAGTCAAAGTGACACTTTTCCTATAGTGAGAGACTTTTCTCTGTGGCTCTGGTGGCCTGAGCTTCATCTCTGACTAGCTGCAGATTCTAGAGCCAATAGAATGAGCCAGGCCTTTCAAGTGAACTGCCCAGTCTGAGCCTTAAATTCTATAATCTGTTTTAGCAGCTGTCTGTGAAGATGAGGATGGACGACAGTAGGCCCCTGAGCCCTCCAAGCGTCCCCCACTGAGTCAGAGCTCCCAGAGGTCAGGAACTATACCCTCAATCAAGTTTAACTCAAACATGATCTAGGGTAATAAATAAGGGCATAATCTACCTGTTCATCTTTCTATCCTCAGCCCTGGGCATGGAACCTGACATCAACTAGTAGGCACTTAATGGCAGGCCTCATGCTGAGTGCTTTCATTTCCAATGTTTCATTTGATAAGGTAAATATTTGTTTAATTGAATGCACTTGATTCACTCTCTTGGAACCCTAGTATTGCCTCAATTTCCTCCTCTCCCTTATCTCTTTTTCAGGGTACTTGTAGGAACCAGGTGGCATTAATATTAAAGCACTTGCAGGTGAAGTGCTACTTTATTTTTCCAACCCAGACTTGAATACCCAGCTGCCTACCTAACATCTCACTTGGGTGCCTCTAAAAAACAACTTGTCCAAGAACAAACTCCTGGTCTAGGCCCATTCCTCCTCCTCCCTGTGTACACCAGATGCCCAGGCCAAAACTCAGAGCTCCTCCTGACTCCTCTCTTCAACTCTTCACAGCCAACCATTCAGCAATCCTTCTGGCTCAATTTCCAGAATATATTCAGAAGTTGAGCACTTTTCATCACTCTTACTACTCAGCCCCTTCCCACCTCCCTGTCCTGCAAAACCCCGCACCCCACCATGATCATCCTCTCATGCCTGAATATTATTGCTTCTGCCTTTGGCTCTCAGTCTTAGCAACACAGAGAAAAACAACTTATACATTTACCATTTTGCTTCAGCAATCCTACTTCTAGGAAACTATCGCACAGACACACTGGTAAAATTACAAAATGCCACATTTTCCAGATTCCTCACTGTGCTTCTTTTTGTAAGAGCAAAAGACTGGACACAGCCCAATGTCCATAGATAAACCATGGCATATCCACATGGTGAGGCACAGTGCAGATGCAAAAAGGAATCAGGAGGATTTCTATATTCTGCTACAGGGTGATCTTCAAGATTGATTACATGGAAAAAAGCAAAGTACAGAAGAGTACTTAGAGTCTGCTACCTTTTACATAAAAAAGAAAGGTAAACAAATATATTTTTCCCTTAAATTTGCAAAAAGAAACAGTGGGAAAAATCTGATAAAAACTGTTTCTTATCAGAAAGGCAAAGAGAATAAAGTAGAGGGAACAAGATGGAATTAGACTTCTCTCAATATATCTTGTTTTATTTGGAATCATAGGAAAGCTTTATATAATTTTTAAAAATTAAATTTTAAAAAAGTACGGTATATGCCATTGTTGTTTTCAATTCTTTACTTTCCATCGATTTCTGTTCTCTGCCATGTGTCTTTGCAGTTCCTCCAACTAGAGGCAGAATATATTTTTTCCAGCTGTGGCAGACTGTATTTTCCAAAAATGGTCTCAGCAAGATTTCCAGTCCCACATGTACTGACAGAGTCCACGTCCCCTCCTTTTAAACCTAGGCAGGATCTTGTGACTGTGTTAGTAAACAGAATGTGGCAGAAGTGACACTGCATGTCTCTTAAGACTAAATCATAAAAGTCAGTACGGTCTTCCACCTGTCTCCCAACCCCTACCTTGCCCTCTCCCCACCCTTGGAACTCAGCAACCATGCTATGAGGCAGCCCAAATGAGCCCACATGGAGAAATCATATGGAGAAGCCCTGGGGCTCCCAGCTAACAGCCAGCATCGACTCTCAAACATATAATTGATGAGCCTTCAGAAGATTCTAATCTCTGGCCTTCAAGTCTTCCAGCTGAAACTCCAGACATTGTGAAGTAGAAACACACTCCATTCTACTGTGCTCTGCCCAAATTCCTGACCTGCAGAATCTGTGACCAGAATAGTGGCTGTTTTCCACTACTAAGTTTTGGGTTAACATGTTACACAGCCATAGTAACTGCAATACAACTCCTTGACTTGGGCTTAACCATGAATTGCTTGACTACAGGAATGTTAGCAGATGTGTCATCAGGTCAGAGGCTTGAAATGTGCTGTGAGGTTAGGCACACCCTCTTGTGTGTCTCTCATCTCCGTAAGAAGAACATGCCCCAGCTAGACTGCTGTCCAGGGAAGATGAGAGACACACTGATCTGACCTGGACCCAACTGCAGCCTGGAGCCCGGTCTAGATCAGTGAATTCTAGCCAGCATGCAGATGCATGAGTGAGAATAAAAAATTGCTATTTGAAGCTACTGAGTTTGGGCTGGTTTATTGTGCAGAATGACGGTAACAACAGAAAACTGATCAAAAAGTAATCCTTACAAATTAAAGGCAAACTGGGAAAAAAGAGCTTAATTTTATATCCTCTTAATCAGATAACCACAGAGTAGAATCATTTCTAATAACTCTAAAACAGAGAACTATATATCCCTGAAAAGGGATAACCTAAGGGCAAAGGGAACCAGAAGGAAGTCTTAAACTACATTCATGAGTATTATCATTAATAAAAATATCTACATTATTATTTAAAAACAATCCATTGAAAGGAGCATCAAGCATGGAGATTCAACCCAGTTTGGAGGGCATCTTCAGGGTAGGACTGTGTCTTTTTCCTTCTTGTGTTCCTGCTATTGACTGCAATGTTTAATAAATGTTTGGTGCATTAAAAAAAAGGTTGACAGATAATTTTTATAGAAGAATTTCAGCTAATTTTGCAACCTGTTATGAAATAATGGATCTAGCTAAGGATCATTAGTGAATGCTAAATTCATCAGGCAAAAAAAAAACTGATAAGGACTTTATAATGGATTAATCACTGATACTACCTGAATCCCCTAATCCTTTTTTTTTTTTTTTTTTTTTTCCTGAAACACAGTCTTACTCTGTCACCCAGGCTGGAGTGCAGTGGCACGATTTCAGCTCACTGCAGTCTTGACCTCCCAGTTTCAAGTGATCTTCCCACCTCAGCCTCCCGAGTAGCTGGGACCACAGACATGTGCCATTATGCCTGGCTAATTTTTTTGTATTTTTGTAGAGATGGGGTCTCACTACGTTGTCCAGGCTAGTCTCAAACTCCTGGGCTCAAGCAATCTGCCCATCCCAGCTTCCCAAAGTGCTGAGATTACAGGGGGGAGCCACTGCACCCAGGCCTGATCCATCTTTTCATCACTAAAGTAGGTCAAGGAGACAGACATACTGCCTCCTTCTGGGATACAATAGGAAGTACACAATACCAATGAAGTGTTCTTTCCAAAAAGATTGAATCTATTCTGATCTAGATCTAACTACCAGTTTATAGGAAATAAAAGGACACTAGGAAGCAAGAAAATAACTTCAAGAGGATGTGCTTAGGCAAAACCAAAATGAGAGATAGTCTAGGATAAATGTCCTGATGTCTTCACCAAATAAATGGATTTGAAAACAAAAGGAGCAAGGAGACTGTTAGAAACTTACAGAACATATCAACCAAATGCAATATGTAGACGTTGTTTGGATACTGTTTGAACAAACTAAAATGTCATTTTTGGGGCCAGGCACAGTGGCTCATGCCTGTAATCCCAACACTTTGGGAGGCCGAGGTAGGCAGATCACCTGAGGTAAGGCGTTCAAGACCAGCCTGGCCAACATGGCAAAACCCCGTCTCTAGTAAAAAAATACAAAAA
Organism: Homo sapiens; assembly: GCF_000001405.40. Lineage (NCBI taxonomy): Eukaryota > Metazoa > Chordata > Mammalia > Primates > Hominidae > Homo > Homo sapiens. Next base: position 49,565,989 of record NC_000003.12, on the reverse strand, counting down.
TTAGTCAGGAATGGTGGTGTGCACCTGTAGTCCCAGCTACTCGAGAGGCTGAGGCAGGGAGAATTGCTTGAACCCGTGAGGTGGAGGTTACAGTGAGTCAAGATGGCGCCGCTGCACTCTAGCCTAGGCAATAGGGCGAGACTCCGTCTCAAAAAAAAATACATTAAATAAAATAAAATGTCATTTTTGGAACAATAAAGAAAAATTAAATATGGACTGGGTATTGGGTTATAGTAAGAAATTAAAGTTAACTTTGTTGGTTGTGATAAATGCCATTGAATTAAATAGTAAAGCACCCTCTAACTACTAGAGGTACATCCTAAACTATTCATGAGTGAAATGATATATTTCTATTTTGAATGAAAATCCTGGCCGGGCGCGGTAGCTCACGCCTGTAATCCCAGCACTTTGGGAGGCCGAGGCGGGTGGATCACGAGGTCAGGAGATCGGGCCCATCCTGGCTAACACGGTGAAACCCCGTCTCTATTAAACATACAAAAAATTAGCTGGGAGTAGTGGCGGGCGGCTGTAGTCCCAGCTACTCCGGAGGCTGAGGCAGGAGAATGGCGCGAACCCAGGGGGCAGAGCTTGTAGTGAGCTGAGATCGCACCACTGCACTCCAGCCTGGGCGACGACAGAGCGAGACTCTGTCTCAAAAAAAAAAAAAAAAAAAAAATTAGCTGGGCGTGGTGGGTGGGTGCCTGTAGTCCCAGCTACTCGGGAGGCTGAGGCAGGAGAATGGCATGAACCCTGGAGGCAGAGCTTGCAGTGAGCCGAGATCCCGCCACTGCACTCCAGCCTGGGTGACAGAGTGAGACTCCGTCTCAAAAAAAAAAAAAAAAAAAGAAAATCCTCTAGTCCAAAAAAAAAAAGTGGAGGAATATAGATAAAACAAGTTGGCAAAATGCTAATCATTGTTGAAGCTACGTGGTAGGTTTGCAGGAGAGACTTCAGCCTACCATCCTTTCTTCTTCTTTTCTTCTTTTTTTTTTTTACCTTTCTCCTTTTATGTGTGTTTGAAATTTTCATCTGCAGAGCACTTGCTGCTCCTAGAGATACCTACCCTACAGAGCCAAAGGCCAATGCACCCCAAAGACAGGCCAGCATAACATGGCTGACCAGGAAAGGACAAATCTGCACAAGGGTTTCCTCTGCAGAGCACAGGGGCTGCCATGGCTAGGGTGCAAGGGGTGGTTGCCTCTCCAATCCAACCGTAGCTGTCATGTCACCTGAACTATGAGTGACATAGTCTGAAGGACAAGGGGCATTCCTCTTGCAGCATGAGAACACCCTTCCTACACATTTATGAGAGTTTTCAGGCAGCTACTCCCACTACTCAGCCATCATCACTCCAAACCTGAGCTGGCAAGGCCTTGGCCTTGAGCATCCAACACTGGCCACCCCACTCCAGGTCAGATGCAGGGGTTTAGAAAGTAGGCTCACAGGGCCTAGGAAGGGGAGAAGTTCTCACAGTATGGTTCCTGAAACAAGTACATTGCCTTAGTTATTACCCCCAGTTCATGGAACACAGTCAGGTTCCAAAAGAGTCTCACTAGGTTGGAAAGGATCTCTAAGTATAACCAGAGAAAACATAGCAGAGACTCATGCAGGCCTCCACAGATTCACACTTGGGCTGTGTAAGTCCAGGATGGAAGGCCCCAGACTTCGTGTGAAGATGCCCAGCATGAGGCTGGATAAGTGTGGGAGTAGCTGCCCAAAAGCTCTCATAAAGGTGTAGGAAGGGTGTTCTCATGCTGTGAGAGGGAAGGCCCCGCATCCTTCAGACTATGTCACTCATAGTCCAAGTGACATGCTGAGCCCTGGACCCTGTTCTCTAAGGCCTCTCTGTACTTTTAGGATACTGACAGCCTTGGGCAGGGCAGTCCAGGCTGGCAAGGGTCTCAGAGTCCCATCACAGCCACAGGAGCTGGAGAAGTGAAGTCCAGAGAAGAAAATCAGGATTGAGGAAGTAAGCGCAGGGACCTCAGCCCTGGCACGTGGCAGGTACAGTGAGCGCCTGCTAAACCTGTGAGCAAAAATAAGTCAGCGGTGCTGGAGAGCAGAGCCAAGACCAGCAGATAGGAGGTGTAAGGAAACCTGATTCAGACAAACAGGAAAAAAGAACTCTCCAGCAGTAGAATCATCTGCCTGAGAAGAACCAAAGGCCACTGATCTTGGGTGTTCACACCAAGGGAGAGCTGTAGCCCCTACAGAGTATGACAGCAGACATTCTGGCATTTGTTGGGGGTTGGATACAATGCTCAAAATAAAAGGATATCAGAGCAAACATATAACCTACTGAAGCCAAACCACACTTCGGAAGGAAGCAGCCTCACATACCGGACTTTGACATTGGAGGAGATCTGGCCTGAGCCCACAGAACCCACACAGCTGCAGAAGCTGCAGAGAGAACCACATGTATCTCTTCATTCTACAAATGAAGGAGTCTGCCCAAACTGGAGTCTGAAGATCTAAAGTCTCTTTCAGGCTAGCCCTTCCCATGCCCCACCCTTCCCCATCACAAAGCGTTTGCCAACCCCAGCTCCCCTGGAAATCATGGCCCACTGGCTGCTGCCAGAGCACCTGTAGGAAGTAGGTGGAACAACACTCAGGAGATAAGCAGCCGAGCACAGCTGAGAACAGGGAGCCTGCAGCAGGCTCTGCAGGTCTGGGTAGGAGCCTTGCTGGCTGGCCAACCAACCCAGCACAAGGAGGCCATCAGTTTTCCGAGAGCCCCTGCCTACCAGAAGCAACCCAGAGGTGGGTTGCCAGCCAGCCCCGCCCCTGGCTCCAGGCTTGAATGTGCAGTCATCTTGTCCATTCTGAAAAATCTCTGCCACACAATGGAAGAGCAAGCCTCTTCATTTAGAGCTGCTACAAAGTAAACTAAAAAGTGCACAATGTACTTTTGATTTAGACCTTGTTTTCTATGCTCAATAGAGCTGAAGAAAAATGGGAAGCATCACCCTTCCTTTTTACACATTTCACAGAAATCAGCTGTCAGAGCTGGAAGGGACTGTGGAGATCATCTAGTTAAATCTCTCATTTTACAGATGAAAAAACCAAGGACATACCCAACGTGCATAGCCAAGTTTAGGCAATGCCAGGATTGATTAAAACCTGAATTTCTGACCCCCAGCCAGCATGCTTCCACTATTCTTCTTCCTCCACATCATCCTACCCTGCCCTTTGCTCAAATGTCCTACTTTCTGACCCTTTCCCACTCCTCAAAGCCTTTCCCATCATCTTGCTAAATCTCCCATCTTCACAGAGGAGGAGGCGGGGAAGTGACACAGTTCTCCACAGCATTCGGCATTTTGGTTTGCTAAAGTCTGCTAGCTGGCTGTTCTTCTACATCACTCCTCTTAGGCCTTTGGAGCTTCCCAACAGAATACGTGAATGTTATGAATGTGTTTTGTAAGCTGTAAAATACCATACAAATATATGCTCTACTATTTTAGAACATGAAATAATGCAACCCCTTTTAATCATACTCTCATTTCTCTTACCTCTGTGAGACAAAGAGAAGGCAGGAGCAAACTCTAATTTAAGGAAGAAGAAGTTGAGGCTAAAGATCTGGACAAGAGTTCTCTCTCCCCACACCATGGGCCCCTTTAGGGCAGAGCCTATTTTATGCTCCTTCTTTTATTCCTCACACTTCACCCAGGGATAGGTATCCAAAAGATGTTCAGCAGAGTTTCCTGAATACATGGATAAAATTTCACTTTAAAATTGTTCCATTTCTATGTAGAATCTAACTGTAAAAATCCCCACAAACACTCCCATACACAAAAAAGTGTAGGTGACACAGTAGGAGGTAGAAGGGAAGGTTGAGGAGATGTTTCAGTTAGATAGGAGGAATAAATTCAAGAGATCTAGGCTGGGCATGGTGGCTGGCTCACACCTGCAATCTCAGCACTTTGGGAGGCTGAGGCAGATGGATCACTTGAGGCCAGGAGTTCAAGACCAGCCTGGCTAACATGGTGAAACCCAGTCTCTACTAAAGATGCAAAAATTAGACGGGCATGGTGGCACACACTTGTAATCCCAGCTACTCGGGAGGCTGAGACATGAGAATCACTTGATCCCAAGAGGCAGAGGTTGCAGTGAGCTGAGATCACGCCACTGCACTCCAGCCTGGGCGACAGAGTGAGACTTTGTCTCAAAAAAAAAAGAAAAGAAAAAATAACAACAACAAGAGATCTACTGTACAACACGGTGACTATAGCTAACACCAATGTATTGCATTCTTGTAAATTTCTGCTAATAGATTTTAAGCATCCTCACCACAAAAATGGTAAGTATGTTAAGTCATGACTATGTTAATTCACTTGACTTAGCCATTCCATAATATGTCATAATATGTACATATTTCAAAACATCAGGTTGTATATAATAAATATATAGTGCATAATTTTTGTCAATTTAAATAATTAATTAAAAAAATTTTTTTAATGGGAGTGACCCTTGTTACCTGCCTGCAAACACAAATGTAACAGTGTAACTATTAGGAAATTTCCTCACCTACCCTTTCTCCCAAGAACCCAAATGCCTTAATGGTTCTTCCAGCATCTTTGGGAGGTTTGGCTCCCCACACAAGCCAGTGGCATTGAAGAGCTCGGGCTCCTCTGGATACAGGGGTTAGTCCCAGATAGGACTGGGTGGGGTGATCCTTGCTGCTGAGGCTCTTGGATCTCCTCAGTGTTTGGGACCAAGATCCAAAAGCCATCCCTTCTATTTCCCCTCAGGGAAAATCTCTTCTTCACCGTTGGCCCTGACAGCAGCCTCACCCACTTTAGGGGCAACCAGGCCTCTCCAGGCCATTCAAGATTTGATCTGATCCTGGGGTGATCTAGAGCTCCCTGGAGGCTTCCCATGTGCCTCCATGTGACCCTCTTGTTAGAAAGAAGTAGGGGCCCCAGGTCTCTGCTAGAGCAAAGCTCTCTTTAGAACCCTATGTGCCCGTAAAGACGAATAATAGGAAGGAGAGATCACAGCAGCCCTGTGGCCAGCCTGGGAGCCCAAGGCACAACACAGATGTGTCAGGGAGTATCCCATTCCACAGCAGAGCTGACCAGAACCTAAAATATAAGACAAATGGGCCAAGAGAATGCTAGGGGGCAACAGACCCCCACTAGAAGCCCGATCTGTACAGAAGGAACCACAGAGAGTGAGACACCAAAATTCTATCACCCCTACCACAGGCAGGAGCCCACAGGCCAGTGTCCCAATTCACTCCACAGCTTCAACCACTGTGCTAGTGAGAGGAGATGGCAGAGGTCCCTCCAGAAAAGGAGCTCGGGCAAGTGCTACAAATGCAGGATCAATACCAGCATGACATGCTCCTGGCACCAAATGAAAGGACTGAGCAGGAGTCCCCCACAGCTAGATTGTTCACCAAGTCCCAGCTTACCCAGAGGGCCTCATGTCCTAAAGTGACAGTCAGCCCTTGCTGTAGGCATGCAGGGCTTAGCCACCATTTTACCATTTAAAAAGTCAGTCCCCAGGCAGTAAGTAAAGTCAGGACAGGCAGGGCCTGCAGAAGCTGAATGGCCAAGCAGGTGGAATAAGAAATAAAACACCTAGCAGAATGTCTGTGATGAGGCAGTCATTCAGTAATGGTAGTCATAACTGCTATTACAGTGTTGCCAACCTACCTTCACAGTTAGCCCCAACTTACTGCACATGGCCCACAGGCTCCAGCAACAGGTTCCCCTCACATAGCCCACACATAGTAGGTCTGGCCTTCCACACCCCCACAACTAACAAGAGGAAAGGGCCCAATTCAGAAATGCAGGACCTGTGATAAGGGGAAAGATTTATTAAGCCCCCAAATGTGAGTAGGAGGCTTCCTACTCACATATGCAGGGAGGGCTCCCCCACACTGGGGTGAAAGGCATGACTTTTCTGGGGGAAAAAAAAAACAACTTTCCTCTGAAAGCTTTGACTTCTTAAACTCAGAACCAAACTGACTCAGAGGAAGGAGATCTTTAGAAAAGGAACAGAAAAGTGGTCCACTGCATTGTTCTTTGGCTCCCAATTAGCCCAAACCCTGGTTCTGCTTTCAGTGAACTCTCAGCCTCTCCATGTCTGAAGCCTTCAATAAACTCTTTTTTAAAAAGCTAGAATTTCTTGACCAAAAGAATAAAATTTGAATCTGATTAGCTTCTAGACAGAATTCTCAGTTTACAAGAAAAACATGGGACAGAGGAACATCTTAAATGACACCACAGGGATGCAATCAGCATAATCCTGAATATGAGAAACCACAGGACAAATGTCATAGTTCTCTAATAATAAACTGCAAGGAGCAAAAAGGAGAGAAAATACATAAAGAAACTAGACAGATGCATCAGACAAATTCAATGTGTAGACCCTGTTTAGATCACAATTCAAACCAATAATAAAAGTAAATTCATAAGACAATCAGAAAAGTAGAATCCTGACTGAATATTTGCTGAGTTTAAGAAGAGATCATTATCTTATTTAGATGTGGCTGTGGTGCTGTGGTTATGTTCATGCAAAGCCCTTATTTCTTGGAAATACAAACTGAAATACTGATGATGAAATTTTGGGATGTCTGGAATTTGCTTCTCTAGGGGGTAGGATGTGAGAGAGATAAATTAAACTCAATTGGCCATAAGTTGATGATGGCAGTGGCTAAGCAATGGGAACACAAAAGTTCATTAGACCATTTCCTCTACTTTCATGTATGTTTGAAATTTTCCATAGTAAAAAAAAAATGTTTAAGATAGCATTTCTCGGCCAGGCACAGTGGCTCATGCCTGTAATCCCAGCACTTTGGGAGGCTGAGGCGGGCAGATCACCTGAGCTCAGGAGTTTGAGACCAGCCTGGCCAACATGGTGAAACCCCGTCTCTACTAAAAATACAAAAATTAGCTGGGTCTGGTGGTGGGTGCCTGTAATACCAGCTACTCAGGAGGCTGAGGCAGGAGAATCGCTTGAACCCGGGAGGCAGAGGTTGCAGTGACCCGAGATCGCGCCACTGCACTCCAGCCTGGGCGACAGAGCAAGACTCTGTCTCAAAAAACAAAAAACAAACAAACAAAAGACAGTATTTCTCCTCCTAATGTCTCCATTACATTTTTACATTTTTTAAATCAACAGCACCTTATTAGTCTTAATGATGCTGTGAGCAACTGTATTATCAAAAGTAGCCTGCTTTCCCTGGAGAAATGCAAAAATGGTTGCCCTCTGGGTAAAATTTTGACATCGTCACCATTCAGATGTAAGGTCACTTTAATTCACACTCCATGACATACCCTCTGTGAGATCCAGCCACTGGGGACAAAGAAGATCTCTAAGTGACAAAGGAGCATTATTTCCAGACCTGGCAATTATGTCCTTTCATTTTATCTTTACAAGTTAGTGCCAGATTTTTCTAGAGGCTGAGTTGGCTGATATAATGTAACAAGTCTGACTAATCCCAGACCAGAGATACTATGCCTGACAAATCCATTTTGAAAAAGGAATTCGGGGTATGGTTCTCAGAGCAGCCTTGCCCACCTTCCAGTAAACAACCAGGTTCTCTGTGCCTAGCTGCCTTTGGCTTAGGGTGTCTGTCTCAATAACATATGGGCCAGGAGTGAAGAGAGGCGACTTTGGCATTGATTACGCATTCTGATGGGCAATGATGGAGAAGGGCCTCTGTTGGCTTTGCCCTGGCTTTCCCCCACCACCCTGCACTCAGCCTCATTCTCTGCTCACTGTCCCTGCCTGTGTAGACCACATTCTTTATGCCATTTATCTCTATCTCTACCTCTCTTAACCCAGTCATTTTTCCAGCCTTACATCTCTACCTCTCCTAAAGCTTAGCTGTGCCTCTCCACTCTTCCCAATTAACAACCCTGTAAGCACTGCTTATTTGACATTTCTCAGATACTGAGCTGCCCACAGTGTCTCTCTTAGGGTTCTTCCATGATTTGGCTCTTCAAGAGCTATCTGACCAACCAGTCTGTGAGGTGCTGAAGGACAGGGAAGCACTATATATCCTTTCCATACCATCCACAAAGCCAATAACTGTGCTTGCTCTTGACAGCTGACAAATACACCTTAGCTGATCGACTAGATATCAATTTGCAAACATCAAAACATGTGCAAGTTGGGCCGGGTGCAGTGGCTCCCGCCTGTAATCCCAGCACTTTGGGAGGCCGAGGCAGGTAGATCACAAGGTTAGGAGATCGAGACCACGGTGAAATCCCATCTCTACTAAAAGTACAAAAAATTAGCTGGGTGCGGTGGTGGGCGCCTGCAGTCCCAGCTACTCGGGAGGCTGAGGCAGGAGAATGGCGTGAACCCAGAAGGTGGAGCTTGCAGTGAGCGGAGATCGTGCCACTGCACTCCAGCCTGGGCGACAGAGCGAGACTCCAACTCAAAAAAAAAAAAAAAAAAAACTGACAGGTGCAAGTCCACAGAGCTGGTGTAAACTAGACAGGCTGCCACTGGTCTACATGGCTCCTTCGTGTAATTATTTTAAAAAGTACTTTCTGGGGTACTGATAAAGTTCTGTCTTGATCTGGTAGTGTGTCACGAGTGTATGTATAAATAAAATCCCATCAATATGTGTGTTCCACTGTACATTAGGCATATCTCCATAAATAAGTAAATGAATTAACGAGTGAATGATGCCCCTTCATCTAAGAGGATGCAGCCTACACCAGGGCACACAGCTTGGAGAGTGGAGCCTGGGTTAGAGTTCAGCTTTCTCCCAAACCAGCACTCCTTGGAAAAGGCACAGATTATATAATTGTACATGGCCACCCTGACACCAGAAGCAGAGAGCCCTTCCTTGAGGGACTCTCCAATGCCCAAAGCTCCACATCATCCCGACGGGCTAAGAGGCACCACTATGGGTGTGGCAGCACTGCTACTCATGGGATTCAAGTCAGGCTCTTCAGCAGCAAATGCTGGAGCCACCCCCTCACAGAGTCCAACTCAGCTCAGTATGAGGATGAAAAGACTAATTCAGCCTGGGATGACAAGGTAATATGGCAATAGCATTTAACTCCCCCAGAATCATCTCCCTTTTACCTGGCCTTCTACCCACCTCTATGAGGTTTCTGACTGCCCCGAAATTCAAAATCTTACTGAAAGCAAATATGTCTTTGTGCTAATGCTCTTTCCTGAATGCCCAGAAGCACATTCACAGGGCTTTTTCCCCATCAATGGGCCAATCTGTTCAGCAGCATCTTAGAACATGCTAAATTTGGCATCAGGTATCTGAGATGCTCTAGTGAGAGGAAGTAGAAGCCATTGCAATACTAAAGGAGAGATAAGCCATGGAGCTGCTGCTCAGCTGAGGTGCTATGATAAAATGAATATCAGCTGGAGGAGTAAATCCCACCTCCTAATGGTCTCTGGTTCTGAGCTTTGGGGACAAATAGCCAGCTCACCTCCTGAGTCTGATAGTCACAGGACCTCAGCACCACAGGCTCAGGTATGAGCCTTGCCCACAGCCAGGTAAGAGATTGTGTGACTACTAAATCCATCAGGAGTCCGTGGTTCGCCTCACCCACAGCAGTTCATGGGTCTGCCTGCAGCAGAATGTACAGATGAAGTACAAATGAAACACTAAAAAGGCATATGAGCAATAGACATCAGCCTCCTTCCGGTCCCTCTGAGCTGCCCAGGTCTTTCCAGAATTTCATATGATTGGCTCTGCAACATCTGATAAACTACAAGCAGAGCAGCCTGTTTGGTTATCAGAAGAGAAATGACAAATTCCCCATACAGGGAACTCTCAATAACAAGGTGTTTTTCCATTCAGCTACAGAAGCTTTCCCTTGGAAGGAGAACACTAAAGCCTGGGTGAGCCTCCCTCAAGCTAAAACCCAAACAGCAACTCAACATGCAGCAAAATGGACAGTGTTTGCAGTGCTAAGAGCTGTGTGCTATCCAACTGCATTACTATTATAGCTAGTATAAAATGGACAAATCCCACCTCTAAAAAGGATGCTCACAGGCTGACCTGTCTGCCGCAGGTTTCAAGCTACTAACAGCCTTTCATTACTGTTAGTTGTCTAAGAAATGACTTCTGAGGAAATAAACACACAAGAGGCACAGTCGGGCAGCCAAAGAATAAAAAATTATGCGTCCTCAGTTTATGTGCTTCCACACAGAAAAGCCAGGGCAACATATATCAGCAGACCCACATGGAGCTGGAAGCACCTCCCTCCCACCCCCTGGGGGTTTTGCTACTCCCCAAGCCTATTTGGTGCAAAGATAATGCCTTCCATTTTATCGTGTCATCTCTTAGTAGTTTTCCTGAGTTTTCAGTCTACTGACTTATTATATATTGGCATTCCCTTACAGCCTTCATTGCCACTTGACTGTTTTTGCAGGACCTGGGTTGGCATACATTTAAAACAAACTGGTTTCACAGTATTTAATCAGATATGTTCTGTTTAAAGCATTCTGTGTGGGTTTCAGCTTTTCCACTGGTTTGATCTAAATCATAAGGTAACGAGAACATATCTGGTGCTGGATGACTCAATAGCATTTTTGCTTCACCCCAAAATGTTTCCCTAAACCTTGGTGAAAGCACATGATCCTATTAGTATTGTTGGGCCTAAATAAGCACCTCTTGGTGTCCAGTGGGCAATTTTCCTTTCCCCCAAAGGTGATTACAGCCACTAAATGCCCAAGGAAAGCCCAAGACCAAGTTCATGGTTCAACTATTTTCATCTCTCTGTTCCTCGCAGTGACACTTATCTTCCCTGACAGCCACTCCCATTGTGCTGTTTTCTCGGCCCAGCACAATGGACACATGCAGACACCAGCAGACAGGGAGGACGTTTTCCATCCCATTGCTCTCCTGTGCGGAGGGACCAGGTTAAGGTTACATAAGCCCCTCCTGAGCAGTCAGGCCCGAGCGTTGGGGAGAAGCGAATTTGGGGTTCGTGACGGAGTCACGGTCTGCAGGCCCCGACTGACCCTGCGCTCGTCATCCTGCCACGCCAAGGCGGGGCAGCTGGAAAGGAAGGGCCGCTTCCCGCGACCACCCAGTTCACGCCAATCCGGCAGGGTTCAGAGTGCGGCCGGACGTCGAACCTCGCTGTCCACACTAGATCGCGGGATCCTGGGCCCGGGTCCCGGCCTCAGGCTGCAGCTCACCGCCCCCCGGGCGCCGAGACACGCGCTTACCTGCCCGGGCCAGGGCCGGGACCGGGGCCGGGGCCGGGGCCAGGGACCGGTGGTACCGCGGTCGACCGCGCTGCTCCCGCCGCGGGGAGCTGTCCGCCACCGGCCGGTGCTGAAGGCGGCTTTCCTGCGCCGGGGCCGGGGCCGGGGCCCGGGCCGGGGCCGGCGCCGCCGGGCGGCAGCGGCCCGTCGCCAGCGCCGCCCTCCAGGCTGACCTCGTTGCCCATGGCGGGCAGGCGGGCGGGCGGGGTCGGGGTCGCGCTGCGCCCGGGCCGGCGGCTCCCGGGCGGTGCTCACACTCTCGGCGCCGCCGCTGCCGCCGCCATCTCCCAGCTCGGCTCGCGCCGCCGCCTGCCGCTGCGCATGCGCGTCTCGCGCCCCCTTCCCTGCACACGCCCCCCTTCCCCTGTGCGCGCTCCCGCCAGCCTCGGGGTCGCTGGGAAACAGCCGCCGGCGCCCGCGCATGCGCTGTCCAGGGCCGACGCGGTTGTATCATGCTGAGAAGGAGCCGGGCGGGGGCCGGCGGGGCTGCGAGGGCCCTGTGAGGAGGGGCACCTGCCACTAGAAGCGGCCTCTGGGACGTCGCGCTGAGCCCTGCTTTGGAGTCAGAGGGGCTTTCCGCCTCGGTGAACTCGAGAGTAGCAACTCTCCTCCGGGTAACCGGAGTGCCACAGCGGGCAGGCGTCATAAGGACAGGCCTCGGAGAGGAGAGGGGCTACCCGAGAATGGCCTCAAAAGTATGCATAGGAGTTGGGAAGGCAGAGGAACAAGTGTATTCAGAGACGCAAGGTCGTAGAGGGAAGGAGAGGGAGGGTGCTGGGTGGTCGGGCCGGATTGTGAGGGTCTTTAAGGCCAGCTGGGGAGTGGAGCCTTTATCCAGATGGCGATGGGAACCATCTGGGATTCACACTGAGGAACTGGGAGTCTCAGGAAGCGCCCCGGGCACAGATGGAAGGTGTGACAGGGCTGTGTGAAGCCAGCTGGGAGGCCACCTCAGTCAGCCCTGGGAGAGTGACCTTGGGGATGGAAAAGAGGACTTGATGGTTCTCAGGCCTGGAGCTGTCTCGATGCGGGGCCGCAGGTTGCCTCTGCATTACCCTGAGAGCTTTCCAAATTACTTCCCCGCTCCCTCACATTTACAGCCGGTTTCTGCCCGCTACTCAGGATTGTCTGCCGTGGTGGCTTCTCACACAAGCCTGTACTTTCCTGTGGGAGAATATTTCCTAGGAGCCTATATTCCAGTTCATCTCTGACGTCATAAATCATGACTGTGTAGAAAGGCGTGAGTAACTTGAACCCATTTTACAAACCCATTCAATTCTCCTAATGTTGCGAAATATATCACATAGGGTGTTAGCAGTTCTAACTGAACCTAGAATAATCCAGGGATCCCAGTGAATGCTGATAGCCAGCCTGCTGGACAGACCGGTGGCTGTGTCAGTTCTTGTGAGGAGGGGCCAGGACCCTCCCTGGGCCTTCCCCTGTGCACTCCGAGCTGCTCCTCCCGACCTCTGGGATGGAGCAAGTAAGAGAAAGAGGAAATGCAGAGCCCCCACTTCCTGATATTTTCTCCTGACTTCATACCTCCCGTTTTCACGCTAAACTGCCTGGCCCCTCTGGGATGACCTAGGATGAAGAGAGCCTCTCTTCCTGCAGATGATGGTCCTTGCTGTGTTTCCTCCTGTGCTGCAGGATGTTTGATACAGCTTCGTGAGTGGTGACTACATGTGCACATTTAGGCTCCAAAAGAGTCTGCACCTCAGCCCCGATAGGACCCTTGGCAACTGACTTAGGCTCACTGAGCCTCCATTTCCTATTCTGCAAAGTTAGAATCTTAGTAGCTCCTCGAATATGGGGGATTGTAAGGGTAGAGTGGCTGATGTAGATATTTTATTTTTTATTCATTTTATTTTTTTTATTTTTATTTTTTGGAGACAGACTCTCGCTCTGTCACCCAGGCTGGAGTACAGTGGTGTGATCTCGGCTCACTGCAACCTCCACCTCCCGGATTCAAATGATTCTCCTGCCTCAGCCTCCCTAGTAGCTGGGATTACAGGTGCCCACCACCACACCTGGCTAGTTTTTGTATTTTTAGTAGAGATGGGATTTCACCATGTTGGCCAGGTTGGTCTTGAACTCCTGACCTCTGGTGATCCTCCCACCTCGGCCTCCCAAAGTGCTGGGATTACAGGCATGAGTCAATGCACCCAGCCTGATGTAGGTAAAACACCAGGACAAGTGCCTGGTATACTTATGACAACTCTGTTATTAGTTGTCTCCCTGGTGATGGTCTGGGATGTGGCGGTCTTGTGCCATATATTTCCTCCTGGGGAAGAATATGCTCACAAACACTATGGGCAGGCCAGTGGCCTGACCTTGTCCCAACCCAGGCTGTTATAGCTTCACAGACCCCAGTCAGTGTGGGTTGGGCTACTTGAAACAGGGGAAAGGATGTTTATTTTTTTGTTTTTGTAGAAACCACAGGAGCTATGGCTTTCCACAGATTTAAATCAACATGCCTCTGGTTCCTGTGTGGTTAATTAGCTCTACCCAGCCTGCAGGCTTGGGGAGTTGCCCTCCTCAGAGTGGATTCCTGGCTGTTAGCAGACCTCCAGGGTCTTTGCTGCCCTGGTGACAAAGGGCACAGCACAGTGGACCCAGGAGACCTGAAAATGTGGGTTAGAGGTGCCCCTCCTCTCCTCTCAAACTCTCCCAGTTCTGTTTCCTTTGAGGAGCATCCCCAGGAACATGCCTGCCCTGTGTTCATTCACCCTTGACATTCAGCCCAGGGACTCTTGTGGACCATGGGATGGTATTGGCCTCTGGTTATCTGGGGCTCTGATTCAATCTCCCATTTCCATTCACTGTCCCAGAGGCTGTTTACCTCCTTTTGATCTAGACTGGGGCTCCTCAACAGCAGGACCTTGTCTGACTGGTCCTATCCCCTGGGCTGGCCTTCAGCAGGCCCTCTGGGGCTCATGGTTGTGCTGGCTTCTCCATGACGCTCTGAGCATTTCCCTCACCTGCGCTTCTAAAGGGCCCACCAATCACCAGGCTTAAAAGCACTCAGAGAGATCTTTGGCTTTAGCTGCTGAGCTAATAAGTAACAGGGAGAGTGCTGGGATTGCATCTGGTTTCTCCTCATGGAGGGGTTGTTGATGAGCTCTCTTCACTCATCCAGGAAAATTCACTAGGCTTGACTATGCTTTATGACAAATGAATAAACAAATCTTTCAGTTTATGCAAGCCAGCTGTGTGGTGTGTCAAGTATCATGTCCTCCTGGGTCCAACTGCTGCCCCACCAGGGACAGGATAGACCTAGAGACCCTGCAGGAGTTTCCCAGTCCCCTAAGCTTCACTTGCTGAAATATCTTCTTCCCACTTCAGCATAACATGTGACACATGGCAGCCATTTTGGAGATGGCCAGATGAGAGGACAATCAATCCACATGCCTAAATGGAACCAACAGACATGTGCCAGCTTGCTTCTCCAGCCTATGTTCTCAGACACTTGTAGAAGACCAGAGGGAAAATGGAATCAGAAAAAACAGCAACAACAACAAAAAGCCATCCAGGGCCATGCACAGTGGCTCACTCCTGTAATCCCAACAGTTTGGGAGGCCAAGGCAGGTGGATTGCTTGAGCTCAGCAGTTTAAGACCAGCCTGGGCAACATGGCGAAACCCTTTCTCTACTAAATACAAAAACTAGCTGGGTGTGGTGGCATGCACCTGTAGTCCCAGCTACTCGGGAGGCTGAGGTGGGAGGATCACCTGAGCCTGGGAGGTTGAAGCTGCAGTGAGCTGTGATGGTGCCACTGCACTCCCACCTGGGTGACAGAGCAAGACCCTGTCTCAAAAAAACAAAACTAAACAAAAAAATCCATGTGGGAAAAGGCCCAATCAGAGCCAACTCACTGCTGGGATTAGTAGAAATGATTAGTCACCAGAAGGCAAATCGTGGAAGAATGAAGAGATGACAGGACCTCAGGAACTACACCCAGAGGTGTAGTTGTGCCGTAGGCAAAGCATCATGCCGGTCATCCCCAAGAAAGGGAGAAGGGGTAGAGCTCAGACTCTTCCCTGCTTCCCCATAAGTCCAGTTTACCCTGGGCTGATCCTTTCAGCATGGCAGCCTCCGTGGGGAGGCACGAGATCCAAAGATGAAGATGTCTATGGGGGTGAAGAAGAATGGCAAACTTTGCAGGCAAGAGTAGGCATTAGAGAGATCAGAGGAGGAAGACAATAGAGAAGGATGACACAGGACAGGCTGTATCTAGAGGATATAATGCCATGGACTTTGGACTATTCCAGAGAGGCTGAGAGACCTGTCTCCTGCCTACAAGGCTCCTTGAACTCTGCACCCTTCTTTTTGCTAAAGTGCTGCTGAGGCCTGTCTCACTTCCCAATGAAAAGCAACTCAGGAAATTGGCTTCCTGCCCCACTCCTTCTTTGGGAGAGAGAAACAGAACTGAAGAGGAAGGAAGGAAGCCCAAAGAAACAGAGGCTTTCTTTCCTGGCTGAGATTTGTTGGCACTGCCCACTAACATAGAGAATAAGGTGGTTCCCTAAGCGAGCCTTAAGCTGGCATGAGGCTACAAACAAGTGATTGTATCTTCGTTCTGCTCAGCAGCCTACCTGGGCTGGCCTGGACAACCTCAATTGTATACTGAGGTCTTAAGCTGGCCATGGCCCTTGGTAAAGCAGGAGAAAGGAATAAGGCTGGAAGGTACAGAATTTGCTTGATGCCTTGCCTACATAATTCCTTTGCTGTTGCAACTGGCAACTCTTTGCTTGCATTATATGAAAAAAAGGCGGTAAAAAATTGTCAGAAATGTTTGCCACCAGCCTAACCCCACTGCCCATGCATTGCTCCCAAGAAAGCTAATTAAGGCCCATTGCTATTAGAG
Source organism: Homo sapiens (assembly GCF_000001405.40). Classification (NCBI taxonomy): domain Eukaryota; kingdom Metazoa; phylum Chordata; class Mammalia; order Primates; family Hominidae; genus Homo; species Homo sapiens. The sequence goes on along the minus strand of NC_000003.12, from coordinate 49,549,921 downwards.
TTACATGATTCTGAAGGCTTGTTATGACAAGAAAAAATAATGAAGACATGGTTCCTCCAAGTCATAAGCATCCAAGTCAAAACATACTGCATCCCAGGCGAGTGTGGTGGCTCACGCCTGTAATCCCAGCACTTCGGGAGGCCAAGGCAGCCGGATCACGAGGTCAGGAGTTCGAGACCAGCCTTGCCAAGATGATGAAACCCCGTCTCTACTAAAAATACAAAAATTAGCCAGGCATGGTGGCGGGCGCCTGTACTCCCAGCTACTCAGGAAGCTGAGGCAGGAGAATCGCTTGAAACCGGGAGGCGGAGGTTGCAATGAGCCGAGATCACACCACTGCACTGTACCCTGGGCGTCAGAGCAAGACTCCATCTCAAAAAAAAAAGAAAAAAACATCCTGCATCCCTTGTTCCTTTGTGTTCCCCTAGACAAGCCTCTGGGCTGGCTTTGCCTATCTCATGCATGCAGGCAGTCATCCTCCTTTGGCCAGTGCATACCTGACTCCTACTCAGTGCCAGGCCTGGAGAAGACTGTGAGACCTGCCCTTGAGGAGTTCTGTTTGCAGGAAGAGAGTGATAGGCACACAAATTATTTCCAATAAACTACAGAAAATGTCACCAGAATCTCTATTGTGATCATGTCCCCCACCCATGTCTGTTTCATAGATTGGGGGAGAACAGGCCCGGGTGGAAAGTCATGCACTTATGCCCTCTCCTGACCAGCCCACATGTCCTACCCCAGCCAACAGTGGTTCAGGCATGACTCTGACTGCTCATGGGAAAGAGCAGCTTGCTCAGCCCCTCCATCAGACTCAGTTCTGCATGTCTTTAGGGAAGTCTCTCAGAGAGGTCCTTACCTCCCGACTCCTCTGTGGCTCTTCTACTGCAAACCCAAGGACACTTCTGAGAATCACCCTTTACCATCAGGAATCTCAGGCCACGGGACATAGCCACTCTCTCCACTGAGCTCTATCTCTGTCCTAATCAGAATGGATTGTAGTAGGGGCTTGTTTGTTCTATCATCTTTACCAAGTGCCCAGGGAGCTCCCAGAAGCCACTGGAAAAGCTTCTGCCTTCCAGGAAAGATAGAATGGGGTAGGGAATGAGTCCCTGATAGTGAAGCAAGAGCCTTGTGGCAAGGAGAAAGGTCCATAGTGCCAGACACGGTGGCTCATGCCTGTAATTCCAGTAATTTGGGAGGCTGAGGTGGGCAAATGGCTTGAGCCCAGGAGTTCAAGACCAGCCTAACAACATAGTGAAACCCATCTCTACAAAAAATACAAAATTAGCCAGGTGTGGTGGCATAAGCCTGTAGTCACAGCTACTCAGGAGGCTGAGGCGGGAGGATCACTTGAGACTGGCAGGCAGAGGTTGCAGCGAGCTGAGATCGTGCCACTGCACTCCAGCTTGGGCAATAGAGTGAGACTCTGTCTCACAAACAAAAAATTGGCACTTTTTGAGCTCTAGGATGAGGACAGCACTGTGCCAGGCCCACAGGATACAGCAGAAACCAAGACTGCTAAACTCTTCTGCCCTCACTGAGCTTGTGATCTCGAAGTCTGGTCTTTGCCTGTCTGCTGCTCAAACCAGGCCCTGAACCTGGAGAGCTTGACTTCTGGCCCTCAGTACAGGACCACTACCCTGCCCTATAGTGGTGGGTGTAGTCACAGCATCACCAGGCCAGGCCATGAGCACTAAAATCATACTCAGGCATCAGGGTTGTCTGAGGAGAACCCCTCTTGGCTCCTCCAGGTTCTGGGCTGGGTGGTAGCAGGTATCAGTCAGGTAGCCACATCTGGGTTACCACAGCTATGTATGTATTAAAAAACCCCTCCAGCTGGAAGGCCTGGCATGGACATCAGCTTTCTGAGAAGGCAGTCTTTCTGACAATGAGCTGACAGTACAGACTGAAAATTCCTTTTAAGGCTGGGCAAGGGACATCATCTGCTACCAAGAGAACAAGAAAGGTCACATATTCAGCTGAGATTCCAACCAGGCCCACCTTCCATCTCCAGCTCTGCTCCAGGGATCTTCTTGGGGCTCACAGGGTTGGCACATTCGTCTCCTAGCCCTGCATGATCATGAGCCTCTCTGAGGAGGATGGAGTTCCAGGAGTAAGCTCATGTGCTGCCTGAACCCAGGGCAGGGTTTGGGGCACAGTGATTGCTGAGTCAGAGCCACTGGGGTCACACTCAGTACCTTTTCAGCCTCTCATATGCATTCTAATCATTACTTTGGACACAGGAAGGCAGAGTTACCCCCTGCCCCAAGCATACCATGTGCTCCTCAAAGAAGTCCAGGAATACACATCTTCAGCATCCCCCAGGAAACTGTTAGGAAGATGCATAGGAAGAGAGCAAGAGACAGGAGGAAACTCAACAGCCAAACAGGTTTATTTACAGGAATAAGCCTGCGAGGCGTCCCAGTCAGGAGTCTGCCTGAGACCCTGATCGATTACAAGCTGAGGCTTTTATAATAAAGTTTCTACTGGGGAGGGGTTGGGGAAGTGCTGGCTGGCTGGGACTGTTGCGGACTTTTCCAGCTGGGGGTAGATGTAGTTAGGGCTGTTATGCTCTGTTGAAGCTATAGGCAGGGTTGACATTTGCTTTGTTTCTGAGAACACAGTAGCCAAGGTTGTAAAATGGCATAACTATTGTTAGTCCTCATATTCTCCCCCTCTTTGTTTTAATTATCTCTTTGGATAGGGTTTTTAGCAGAGGGGTAGCTACTCGTTCTGACTGCTTCCTGCTGGTTTAGGGGTGATGGTGTGGGGGGAGGTAGCCTTCCTCTGGTGATGAAGTCATTCACTCTTTCTGTGGCAGGAATGCCACCTTTATATGTCCCATTGTGGTGGCCTGAGCAATTGAAGTAACTCTTTCTAAAATGAACTTTTGAAAACAATTTAGTGGCCGGGCGCAGTGGCTCATGCCTGTAATCCCAGCACTTTGGGAGGCCGAGGCGGGTGGATCACGAGGTCAGGAGATCGAGACCATCCTGGCTAACACGGAGAAACCCCATCTCTACTAAAAATACAAATAACTAGCCGGGCATGGTGGCAGGTGCCTGTAGTCCCAGCTACTTGGGAGGCTGAGGCAGGAGAATGGCGTGAACCTGGGAGACAGAGCTTGCAGTGAGCCAAGATCGGGCCACTGCACTCCAGCCTGGGGGACAGAGCAAGACTCCATCTCAAAAAAAAAAACAAAAAGACAACAATTTATCAAGCAGGGTAAAAACAATGAAAGGACTGATGAAAGGGAGTACCCAAGGGAGGAAAGAACTGAAAAAGTCATTGGCGGGTTGTTTGCGTAGACGTTCTGCAATCTTTCTAAGTTTGGATATTCCTTCTTTTACCAATCTAGATTTGTTTGTAAAGAAACAGCATTCTTGGCTGGGCGCGGTGGCTCACGCCTGTAATCCCAGCATTTTGGGAGGCCGAGGCAGGCAGATCACCTGAGGTCGGGAGTTTGAGACCAGCCTGACCAACATGGAGAAACCCCATCTCTACTAAAAATACAAAATTAGCCCAGCGTGGTGGCTCATGCCTGAAATCCCAGCTACTTGGGAGGCTGAGGCAGGAGAATTGCTTGAACCCAGGAGGCAGAGGTTGCGGTGAGCTGAGATCATGCCATTGCACTCCAGCCTGGGCAACGAGCAAAACTTTGTCTCAAAAAAAAAAAAAAAAAAAGGAAAGAAAAAGCATTCTTCTTGCAGGAAGAGGCATAGACCTCCCTTTTTTGCAGTGAGGATGTCTAGTCCCCTATGGTTTTGAAGTACTACTGCTGCAAGGGAGTTTATTTGATCTTGTATGTGATCCAGTTGAGTTGCTATTTCCATTAGTCCCTCTTTTAGTTGGCTAGACAGGGAAACTGAAAAAGCTATAAAGTTGTGGAACTAAAGCCTATTGCAGAAGAGATTCCGAGAGCAGCGAGGATTGGAATTACCTGGATTGCCCTTTTTGTTTTGGGGTGTGTGTGTGTGTGTGTGTGTGTGTGTGTGTGTGTGTGTTTGTGTGTGTAGTGGCAGGAGAAATTCTTGGTCTTTTGTGGCAACAGACAAGGGAGGCATAACTAAGCTAAAGTGCAAGTTCCAGTCCAATTAACAGACAGGCAGTTGTAGAAATTATGTCCACATGAGAAGAAATAAGGGCTGGAGGGGGCTACACAGGCAGCAACATCTGCTTGAAATAATATGTGGTAGTTTGAGGCATCCCGACCTGATCCTCCTTCCCATTCAAATGACACAAAAGAGGAAGCTAGGTGGTCATCGGTTAATAGTTGGAGAAGGGGGTAATGAGTTACCAAAGGTATTTCTGAGAATAGTCTGTGTTCAGATGAATCAAGAAAGAATTGGGTTGGACCCGGAAGGGGAAGAAGTTGGCATTTGGATTTTTCATGTCTACCATAGATATTGAATAAAGGCAATGTATTAGCTGGCCCTCACCCACTGCAAAAATCTGACCCTTGAGGCTGGGTGCAGTGGCTCACGCCTGTAATCCCAGCACTTTGGGAGACCGAGGTGGGTGAATCACTTGAGGTCAGGAGTTCAAAACCAGCCTAGCCAACATGGTGAAACCCCATCTCTACTAAAAATACAAAAATTAGCCAGGAGTGGTAGTGGGTGCCTGAAATCCCAGTTACTTGGGAGTCTGAGGCAGGAGAATTGCTTGAACCTGGGAGGCAGAGGTTGCAGTGAGCCGAGATCTCACCACTGCACTCAAGTCTGGGCAGCAGAGCAAGACTCCGTGTCAAAAACAAAAAAAATCTGACTCTTGGTTACATTCATAAGCATTACTACATATAGGGAGAGAAAATCTTAAGGGGTAAGAGGGCGTGGCTTTGGCTGATGAGTTGGGTCACTGATGAGAATGGGTCACTTGCTCCTGTTGTAGAGGAATAACTACAATCTGTTGTGTGAGAGAGAGAAAGAGGCAGGTTACAGTCCGAGCATTTTAAAGACCCTTCTGGAACTCTGTTTAAGGAGCAGGTGAAACATATAGGGGCCTGAGTAGTGAGTGGAGTGGTGGTTCCTATAGGTCCTGTAACCATGAGGCTTTGGATAGGGGATAAAGTTTTTAGTTGTTTGAGAACGGCCTGATGCACCTTTTTGGCTATGGCTGTGGCAGGATCAGTACTTGGTTCCCAGAATGCAGATCCTAAGGTAGTTTTAGTAATGGTGAGGGTTGCCAAGGAATTGGTCCAGGCTTCTAAAGGTCCAGGGAGATAATGGTATATTGGGAACAAAGGGGGCATGCAGACCCAACAGAGTTCTGTGGAGCCTAAGTTGGCCTGTTTTAGTAAGTTGTAAGACAGCTGCAAGGTATGGTTTAAGTAAGGGGAAGAGTGGTACTAGAAGGAGACAAAGAACAAAAGAAAAAAAGGACATTTGAGATGGAGTGCAGTCTGCAAAAGTTTCCTGCAGCCATATCTCATAAAAGGAGGAGAAATAAATTATGGGGGGTGGGGGGAGCCTGGATACCAGGAAAGGTCTTCTACAAGGCAGCAAATAAAATTACTGAAAGAGTTGGTGGTTAAAGAATTGTGGGGAGTCAAGTGATCTTGAGTTTGGTGGGTCCTGTAAGAAAACAAGAAAATTGAGACAGGTTGGGATTAAGAGGAGGAGCCCTTTTAAGTTTTGAGAAATGTATCCAGGGAGCTATGCCCTTTAATTTTGCTGCAGTGGGGGGAATTGGTGGTTGTTAAAATGCCAGCTTTTAGTAATCTGGTGATGATGGGTTTTATTCCCTTAAGTCCAGCCTGACTGAGGGGATATTGGGGTTGTGAAACAATTTGGGAAGGGGCCTTAAGTTTTATTAGAAACAGCTGGTGGTATATGGCAACAGTGGGCTGAGAAGTGTCCCATACCATTGGGTTAACTCCTTGGATTGAAATTGTTGAGGACTGGGTTTGGGCTTCATTGTTTTCTGGCTGGCAAAGGAGCAAGTATGCAGGCACCTACGGTAAGGCATTCAATTGTAATGTGGCCCCAAATTTGTTGATTATATCTCTTCTAATAAGGAGTGTAGGACACTGTGGAATTACTACAAATGAGTGAGTAAAGGCAGTATTGAATAAGGTGCAGTATAATGGAGGTGTTTGAGAGTGAGCGGTAGGGTGGCCATCAACCCCAACAACAGAAATAGAGGAACAATTTAGGGGTCCATAATACTCTGGAAGAACTGAGAAACTTGCCCCAGTATCCAATAAGAAGGAGACTGGCTTACCAGATGCCATCCCAATTACCCCGGGTTCTGGAGACTCACATGGCATGGGTACAAGCAATCCCGGGCACCGTCAGTCTTCAGCTGCTAGTGTCAACAAAGAGGAGAGGTGTCCCTGTGGTGGGTTTGGGGACTGACTGGAGGATGCTGTTGAATGGGAAGGGCATTCTTGTTGAGAGCAGTCCATTTTCCAGTGTCCCCATTTGCCACATATAGGGCAAGGCTTTGTTGGAGGCCATGGGTTTGGGCAAGCCTTTGCCCAGTGTCCCGGATTGCCACGTCAAAAACAGGTGCCGGGGCCCTGAGAAGGTGATTTCTCCTTGGAACCTCTCTGGAGGGCAATGGCCAGCATCTGGTATTTAATCTTAGCCTGTTTCTCCTTTGGCACTTTATGTTCTTCCTCCCTGTTGTTGAAGACCTTGAAGGACAGATTTAAAAGGTCCCTTTGTGGGGTTTGGGGTCCCTCCTCTAGTTTTTGCAGCTGTTTCCTGATATCTGGTGCTGATTGTGAAATGCAATGTAAGTGAAGATAGGTTTGACCCTCTTGTGATTCAGGGTCTAGTTTTGTGTATTTGAGCATAGTCTCTAATAACCTTGATAGGAAAAGAGCTGGATTTTCATTTGGGCCTTGGGTTATTTCTCTAATTTTTTCATAATTTACTACCTTATCGGCATGGGCACATTTTTCCATGCCAGCCACGAGACAAGTGACCATATGGTTACGGCATTGGGTGCCAGGGTCCCCCTGTTGTTAAGTCCATTCGGGGTCGGCTAGGGGAACAGCAATGGCCGCAACAGGATTATGGACTGTATCCTGCTGATGAAGTGTGTCGGCATGGGCTTGAGCAGCTAGCCAAATATGCTCTTTCTCATCTAGGGTGAGAGTGGCTGACAGGATAACATAAATGTCATGCCAAGTAAGGTTATGTGACTGAGTAATATAAAGAAATTCCTTCTGGAAGTGGGATGGGCCAGTGGAAAAGGAGCCAAGGAGCCTCTCAACCTCCGACATGTCTGAGATTGAAAAGGGAACATGAACCCTGACTATGCCTTCTGCCCCAGCTACTTTGCAAAGGGGAAGGGTGGCCGGGGTCTGATTTTTTTTTTTTTTTTTTTTTTTTTTGAGATGGAGTTTCACTCTTGTTGCTCAGGCTGGAGTGCAATGGTGCAATCTCGGCTCACCGCAACCTCCGCCTCCTGGGTTCAAGAGATTCTCCTGCCTCAACCTCCCAAGTTGCTTGGATTACAGGCATGTGCCACCATGCCCAGCTAATTTTGTATTTTTAGTAGAGACGGGGTTTCTCCATGTTGGTCAGGCTGGTCTTGAACTCCTGACCTCAGGTGATCTGCCCGCCTTGGCCTCCCAAAGTGCAGGGATTATAGGCATGAGCCACCGCACCCAGCCCTGATTGTTTTTTGAATGAGTGACAGGTGGATAGGGGAATGAGAGAGATGGCAATGGTGCTGGCGGCTCTTGGGGAGCCTGGGGCTGGAGATATGGTGGACATTCCTCAGCAGGGTTGAAATTCCTTTCAGGGGCTGAAGGGGAGGGGTGAAAAGGGGACTGGGAGTTTTCGTTTAGCAATAAAACTTGATGAGGGGAGCAAGACTGATAGAGGGAAAGTTTTGAGTGTAAATACATGAAATCTTGGATATAAGGGACCTCGGACCAGTTGCCATTTTGTTGTAAGAAATTGTTAAGATTGCTCGGGCTGGGCCGAGCGCGGTGGCTCATGCCTGTAATCCCAGCACTTTGGGAGGCCGAAGTGGGCAGATCATGAAGTCAAGAGATCAAGACCATCCTGGCAAACACGGTGAATCCCCTTCTCTACTAAAAATACAAAAATTAGCTGGGCGTGGTGGCACGTGCCTGTAGCCCCAGCTACTCGGGAGGCTGAGGCAGGAGAATCGCTTGAACCTGGGAGGCAGAGGTTGCAGTGAGCCGAGATTGTGGAGTGCACTCCAGCCTGGTGACAGAGCGATACTCCATCTCAAAAAAAAAAAAAGATTGTTTGGGCTGGGCATTGTGGCTCACGCCTGTAATCTCAACACTTTGGGAGGCCAAGGCGGGCAGATCACCTGAGGTCAGGAGTTTGAGACCAGCCTGGCCAACATGGCGAAACCCCATCTCTACTAAAAATACAAAAAACTAGCTGGGTGTGGTGGTACACACCTGTAATCCCAGCTACTAGGGAGACTGAGGCAAAAGAATCTCTTGACCCTGGAAGGCAGAGGTTGCAGTGAGCTGAGATTGTACCACTGCACTCCAGCCTGGATGACAGAGCGAGACTCCGCCTCAAAAAAAAAAAAAAGAAAAAAAAAAAACGATTGCATTGAAGTTGGGGCTTGAAAGTGCCACTTTCCGGCCAGTAACTCAGTAACTGACATTATCCAGTTTGTACTGTGGCCAGGCCACGGTGCAGAAGAAAATTAACTGTTTAGGTTTTATAATGTCAGTAAGTCCCAACTGAACGTTGATTTTGTTGTTTTTGTTTTTGTTTTTGTATGACAGAGTTTCGCCCAGGCTAGAATGCAGTGGCGAGATCTCGGCTCACTGCAACCTCCACCTCCCGGGTTCAAGCGGTTCTTCTGCCCCAGCCTCTCGAGTAGCTGGGACTACAGGTGTGCACCACCACACCTGGCTAGTTTTTGCATTTTTAGTAGAGACGGGGTTTCACCATGTTGGCCAGGCTGGTCTTGAACTCCTAACCTCAGGTGATCCACCCGCCTTGGCCTCCCAAAGTGCTGGGATTACAGGCGTGAGCCGCTAGGCCCGGCCTCTCTCAAGACCTTTTGCAACGGAAGTGGGAAGTGATCCTAGACTACTGGCTCCAATTCCCTAGAAAGGGAGCTGGTCTGGCGTGAGCTCTGGACCATTTTGGCAGGCTCCAAACTTGGTTTTGCCCTCTATAGCCTAAGGATGCGACACCATGCGGACAGAAGACAACAGCACCCTCAGCCCTGGCCCTGGCCAGCTCCCAACTGGATGTCCCTGCTGTTCCAATGCATGCCTAGAGCTGTGAAGACTGCTTTGGGAAAGGTGTTTCCTGGGGTTTCAGGGTACCCCCACTCAGGGAAAGAGTAAGTCGCCAGCAGCCTCATCCCACGTCTGCTTCTAGTGCCAAGCAGGGGGACCCAATCACACAAGTGGAGGCACCTCATCTCCATCCAGTACCCTCCCAGATCTCACAGTACCCTATCAGGCTACCCCCTTTAGGCGGTGCCCTCAGGAGCTCTCTGGCTGGAGGAAGGAGAGACAGAGAGGCCCTGCAAGCGCTGAGCTCTATCTATACCGTGTGCAGGTCCCGCGCTGGCTCCGCGGGGCACGGGGCCTGGAGGCAGGCAAACGCTAAGGCGAGGGAGTACGCACAGGAGGGCTCCTTATTGGTTCCCCACCTCTGAATTAAAGGTTTGCTGACTGGGGTCTCGGTAGCGGAAGCCTGGGCCCCAGACTCGCCCCTCTTATTGCCTGCTCGCTTCCCTTGCCTAGGGAGAAGGGCACTGGCGAATCACAGGCTCCCCAGTTGCAGCTACACTCGCCCCGATGCCCTCAGGGACTGTGCGGCAGTGGTGGAGAGAAGACAAGTCTAGTTACACCACCAGCTAGCGGCCGCGCTCGGACTGGCTCCCCGCGGTTGGGCTACTCGCGGGCTTCGCCCCGCCCGCCCGCCGGCCCCACGGCCTTAGCCCTGCCCACAGCCCCGCTCGGCCCCGCGCTGCCGGAGATTTTCGTCCGCTCCCGAGCGGCCTCAGCTCGACCCACGGCCGGCCTCCGGAGGCTAGCGCTTTCCGGGAGCTGGCGGCGTTATTAGCCCCGCCCACAGCCCGACTCTTCAGCCCCGCCCACCGCTGGCGACTTAATCCTCTGGCGCCACCTCCTGGGAGGCCGCGGACACTGTCTCCCTCTTCGGCCCAGAGCTGCTCCTGGCAGTCCACTCTGCTGGGCTCACCTGGGGGGCATCTGGAGCCACTACCAAGGTTGGGAGCTCTCCCTATCCCCAGCCCGAACCTGCCCAAGGCCCTGCGTCTCGCCACACGGAGCCTTCACAGGGACATGGACAGAACAATTCGTCTGACCCGAACTGAGACTCTAGGATAATCGCCACCAAAACTGGGGGTAGTGGGGCTAACCAGGGCCCCAGCAACCCGGTCTTCATGCTGCCCATGCCCTAGGCTGTCCTTAGGAGGGCCCCTCCTGCAGGAGCACCCGAACTCCAGCTGATGGGAGCCCCCACTTTGAACCTCTTGCCGAACCTCCTCTAGATCTTCTAGGGTCCCCACAGGGAAATGGTACCCAGCATTTCTCCATAGGTGCTTCAAATAATTCTTTGCTGCTCTACAACAGGAACAGAATTTCATCATCAGAATTAAACCTGGCCGGGCACGGTAGCTCACGCCTGTAATCCCAGCACTTTGGGAGGCCGAGGTGAGTGGATCACCTGAGGTCAGGAGTTCAACACCAGCCTGGCCAACATGGTGAAACCTTGTCTCTACTAAAAATACAAAAATTAGCCGGCCGTGGTGGCGGATGCCTGTAATCCCAGCTACTCCAGAGGTTGAGGCAGGAGGATCGCTTGAATCCGGGAAGTGGAGGTTGCAGTGAGCCGAGATGGTGCCACTGCACTCCAGCCTGGCCGACAGAGCAAGACGCTGTCTCAAAATAATAATAGTAGTAGTAGTAATAATAATAATAATAATAATAATAATAATAATAATAATAATAAAACCTAAAGTGTTTGGGTCATATTTAGAACTGAACACGCCTCACACTAGCCACAAGACCCAGACCAATAACTCCCTTGCCCTCTCTGGGCCTCAGTGACTTTGCCTCAAGGTAGTTGTGAGGAAGGTGAGCAAAACAGGGAAAGAGTCACCAATGGATTTGGATTTTTAAGATATTGAAATCCCAGGCCAGGCGCGGTGGCTCACGCCTGTAATCCCAGCACTTTGGGAGGCCAAGGCAGGCGGATCACAAGGTCAGGAGATCGAGACCATCCTGGCTAAAACGGTGAAACCCCGTCTCTACTAAAAATACAAAAAAATTAGCCGGGCGTGGTGGCGGGCACCTGTAGTCCCAGCTACTCGGGAGGCTGAGACAGGAGAATGGCATGAACCCAGGAGGTGGAGCTTGCAGTGAGCTGAGATTGGGCCACTGCACCAGTCTGGGTGACAGAGCAAGACTCCATCTCAAAATAATAATAATAATAATAATAATAATAATAATACAAAAAATGAGCCAGGCGTGGTGGCACACACCTGTAGTCCCAGCTACTTGGGAGGCTGAGGCAGGTGAATCGCTTGAACCTGGGAGGCGGAGGTTGCAGTGAGCCAAGATGGCACCACTGCACTCCAGCCTGGGTGACAGAGCGAGACTCCGTCTCAAAAAAAAAAAAAAAAAGGAAATCCCAGCGCTTTGGGAGGCCAAGGCGGGAGGATCACTTACTTGAGGTCAGGAGTTCGAAACCAGCCTAGCCAAGATGGCGAAACCCCATCTCTACTAAAAAAAATACAAAAATTAGCTGGGTGTGGTAGCACGTGCCTGTAGTCCTAGCTACTTGGGAGGCTGAGACATGAGAATCGCCTTAACCCCGGAGGCAGAGGTTGCAGTGAGCCAAAATCACAACACTGCACTCTAGCCTGGGCCATAGAGCAAGACTTTCAAAAAAAAAAGAAAAAAAGAAAAAAAGAAATAGGCCGAGTGCAGTGGCTCATGCCTATAATCCTAGGACTTTGGGAGGCTGAGGTGGGTGGACTGCCTGAGCTCAGGAGTTCGAGACCAGCCTGGGTCACATGGTGAAACCCCATCTCTACTAAAATACAAAAAATTAGCCAGGCGTGGCAGCATGCACCTGTAGTCCCAGCTACTCAGGAGGCTGAGGCAGGAGAATTGCTAGAACCCAGGAGGCGGAGGTTGCAGTGAGCTGAGATTGTGCCACTGCACTCCAGCCTGGGCGACAGAGCAAGACTCAGTCTCTAAAAAAAAAAAAGAAAAGAAAAGAAATAGAGAAATGAAGCTCACTCTTGAAAGACTGATGCTTGAATTGGGCCTTCTTTGCTTTAGGGGAGCTAGGAAAGGGCCTCTCCTAGGAGCTTGTTCAACCTGTGGGCAACAAGGGGAGGCGAGGCTGTGGGCTACAATGAGGTAAGTAGTGTGGAGCCTCCAGCCCCCCCAAGACTGGTGGTATTCTTTTCTTTTTTTCTTTTTTTTTTTAGACAGAGTCTCAGCGTTTCGCTCTGTTGCCCAGGCTGGAGTGCACTGCAGTGGTGCAATCTCAGCTCACTGCAAGCTCCACCTCCGTGATTCATGCCATTCTCTTGCCTCAGCCTCCCGAGTAGCTGGGACTACAAGCGCCCACCACCACGCTCAGCTAACTTTTTTATATTTTTTAGTAGAGACGGTTTCACCATGTTGGCCAGGATGGTCTCATCTCCGGACCTCGTGATCCGCCTGCCTCGGCCTCCCAAAGTGCTTGGGATTACAGGCGTGAGCCACCGCGCCCGGTCCCAAACTGGTGGTAGTATTCTAGAGGCCAGGCTGGCCTAGACACACCACAAGATTTTCCAGCTAACAGCCCTTATCCCAAGACTAGCTCAAAGATCTAGGCCTAAGGCAGTGCCTTTATGACAAGAGAAAATGCAGATTCCTCTAGCATTTTCTAGAGACCAGCACTGTCTCCAAGCCAGGCCAGAGTCATTCCAAGTCAGAGGAATGTGGGAAGGCAGATTCCTGTAGGTCTGATGTTCCTTCTTTCCTACTCTCCTGTCTACGACCCTCTAACCCCAGCTTAAAAGACCTGAGCAGTCCTCATCCAAATCAAGGAACAGGGATCTGGCAGGAGTGCCAGGGGTCAAGGGTCTGCTGGGCTAAACAGCGGATACTACCCCATCCCCCAAAAGAGGCAGGGCAGAGCTGAGGCCAGAGGTCCTTCTGGCCTTAATGTTCTCTGCCAAGACCAAGTATTCCCTTACTTGAATTCAGAACAGTGAGTCCACTCATTACCCAGTGGCTTCAGGTTAGATGTTAAGCAAAAGTTCCTGAGGTCAAGAGAATAACGACGGGGTCATTTCCTGGGCCCCTGCTGCTAGGCCTAGGGAGTGAAGTGTGTGCTGGGGACAGCCTTTCCTGGCACTTAGCATGGTGCACATTCAGGTCCTAACTCCAAGTAGTTGTTGGACCTTCAACAACCCCCCCACCCTGGGAATCAGCTCTTATCTGCAATATCGGACCAGCCTCTGTGGGTCTTTGAGCAGAGGAGCAGGGGTCATGGTAAGGAGCCAGGGATGGCAGAGTTGAGCCCAGAAGAGGCACCAGTTGTTCTGTGACCAATCACTCGATTCTGCCCCTTTGCCCCTTGAAACACAGCTGCTGCATCTCCTGCCGCCCACACTCCGAGCAGTGTCCTAGGACAACCCATCTGCCCCTTCCTGGGCACTGAGTCATGATCAGCCTACCCAGCTGGACTGTCCATCCCAAGCCAGGGACTGAAGGTCACCCCCCAACCCCCAGAACCTACAGGCCAACCAAGGCAGAGCAGCCTGGCCAGAAACCATTGTTCCCACCCCAAGGCCAACACAAACCTGCCTTGAGACTACCTGGGAGACTAGCCAGTCCCAAGCCCACAAGATAATGCAGGCAGGAGGTGGGGTAGAGCTGCAGCCAGAGGTATCCCTAGGTCCCCATCTTCACAGAGACCTGGCCTGAAGGAACCCTACCCAGGAGGTACAGGGGCTGACACACTCTGGGGCAGAAAACCCGTGACACTTTCCCACCATCCTCCTTCCCAGCCAGTCTCACTGGTTTCTCTGCTATCCCCCACCCCTTACAGAGGAGGAACTGAGGATGTAGGAGACTTGTCTTAGCTGATTCACAGGCAGAAGAGGGGTGAAGGGGGCATTACATGTTGGCAGAGTTTCTGGAGTGCACACCCAGCCCTCCCAGCACAGAAATGGTAAGGCTTACATGGAGGCCACTGGGCCAACCCCAAGTGGACCTGGCTGAGTCTCCTCTTCCCCGTCACATGAGCCCCCAACCCCTCATGTCCAGGAACCTCTCCAGATGCCAGGGAAACAGATGCCCAGATGCAACGGCGTTGTAATAAAGACACTGCTTTTATTTAGTTTGATATGTTTCTTTACAGAATGCAGAAAACACATCTTAAAATCATATAGAAGGAAATAAAAACACATCAGTGGTTGGTGAACACTTGAATGTGAGATTGGCTCTCCATCTCACAGAGTCCAACGACCATCACCAGCCCAGCGCTCAGGGGAGCAGGCTGCCTGCAAAGGCATTGTTGCTGTTGTTATTCTGTTCACTGCCCCATCGCCTCCAGTTGCTATGGCAACAGGCCATTCTGGGCCAGCCACGTCTCTGCATGGCAGTGCCCAATGGTGGAGTTGCTAGGGGCGACGGAGCTGTTTGGAAGGCCTTTCAAAGCCCTCACCTGGAACATTGGGAATTGTTTATTTTTTGATGAGGTCATCAGAAATAATCTCACCAGGTCAGATCCCACTTGTGCTCCTGTCTCTGGGGCACCAGGGAAACTCTGACTTGGAGGCATGAGCCCAGTCACCAGTGGTCCACTGAGCCCGCATTTACAGGCTCCCCCACAGGGGCACTGCTCACTCCAGAGTACCCCCTGGGGACTGGGGCAGGGGAGAGGGGCTGGGCCCTGTGGGAGAAGGCGCAAGGGGAAATGCCCTCTGGAGAGCAGTAGGACAGAGACCTCTCCCCCCCTCCTACCAGCCCTCCCCTCCTGAGGCAGCACACACAAATCCTCTGCAAAACAGTCGATATGGCTTAGAAGTAGCTGCTCTGTGTGCAAAGGGAGCCTGGGTCCACCCACCCACCCTCAATCAGGGAATGGATACATTATTGCGAAAGGCATTCCTCCCTAAAAAGTACCCAAAATAACGCTTCAGACATCAAGAAAAGTCATGCTCAAAATGGTTTCTTCCACAGGAGGAGAATCGAAGCAGAGTGGGCGCCCCTGAGTCATGGGACAGAGATGCAGATGGACGGACGGATGTTCTGCTAAAAAAGGCAAAAGAACCCCAGTGTAATTCCAGAATTTAAACCATTAGGAAAAGTAGGGGGAAAAGAATCAAAACAAGCAAAGCCGTCAGTTCCATGGAATCAACACTTAAGAGCTCGTACAAACTGCTGTAAGCATCACCATTTTAAATCTTTTTTTTAATAAAACAATTTGAGGCTGTATAAAAACTTTAGTAAAAAATTAGCTTTGAGAGCTAACAGATTTTTATTATGAACTATTGCTGGCACTCCTCCCCAGCCGCCAGACCTTTTCCAGTAGTTCAGGCCCAAGGCCTGGGACTGGAGTGCCAGAGAAAAGGGATGGGGTGGGTCGGGGCAGGACTGTGGACTGTTAGGACAAAGCGGCCAAGGTCAAGTGAGGAAAGAGCATCACATGACATAAAAATATTGCATCTTCACCAAAATGTCCCCCACTGAGTGTTTCAAAAAACCGTGATATTCCTTTTAGGAGGAAAAAAAAAAACAATGCACAGAAAAAGGGTAAAACAAAATAGGTTGATGTGGTGGAGACCTTTGACCTCCCAGGTGCCCCCACAAGCAGCTGGCCCACCCTGGAGCACCAAAGTTGGGGGCCACAGCCACCACTGCCTCTTGGAGTCCCTTTTTCATGGAAATGAAGACCCCTTGGTCGTGGGCCACTAGTGTACATGGGCTGGAAGTGGGGATGTCCATGGCCCAAGAGACCCCTCCAGCTTCCAGCCCCTGGCAACAGCGGGAGAGCAAACCCAGCACCAGGGACTTGGCGTGAGCCAGGGCCGGGAGGCCCCCAATCAGGCTCTGGGGTATCAGAGCAACCAAGTTGACGTAGTGTGAAAAAATAGTATTCCTTTGATAAAAAATACTGTCCCTTGGTCTTCTCTAAGTTTGAAACACCCTGGGAGCTTATTTTTAGCAAAGCAATTCCCCATACCCACCCAAAAATTATACATACAAGTTTAGGTAAACAGCAGATTAAACGTAAAAACTTAACCTTAACTTCTGAAAGTCCTTTGAATTTAATCTTTAGTTACTGTTTTCCATGTTACATCCTGCAGCTAGACACACGTGAATAGAAAAAACAGTACAGTTAGTGTTAAAGGCAAAACGCAGAGAGCCAGGGGGCCGCCCGGCACTGCCTGCGAGTTCATTCATGGTTCCTCGCTCCCTCCACCTCCACTCCACATGGTGCTTTCAGAGCCAGCCATCAAAAATGAAGCGAAGAATTCTCTATGAACAAACCAAAAGCTGTTAGGCAAAAAATAAAAATAAAAAAGTCCCCAAAGTCTCTCCAGCTGCTTTGGGGTTTGGGAGGACCAGAGAGGGCGGGCTTGTCCAGGCCCCTGTGTCAGTGTGTGCTAGGTCAGGTGTCGGCTCCCGGTGGGCAATGGTCTGCAGGCCACCGGTCTCCACAGACAACACCATGTCGTCTCCAGGCCCCTGCCCTACCCTGCCTCCACCCAGGCGCTTGCGGGTTAAGGTGGGACATAGGGAGGAGGTGACCGGTATGGGGTCATGTTCTTGGGACGGGAGCCCTTGCCCTCCATGGGTGCTGTGAAGGGCGGTGGGGGCTGGTAGGGAGGCGCATTGGGATCCTCATCCCGCAGGGGCGTGTACTCTCCCATGGTGTCCTGGTTCAGAGGAGTGGTCTCGGGCACACTCTGGTTGGGGTACTCAGGAGGGGGTAGGGGAGCCTTCTCCTCCTGCAGAATGAGTGGCATGCTGGAGGAGGGTGGGGGCTTGGAGTCGTCCAGTTCGTCTGCAAAGATGATAGGCACCCCCTTCTTGATGAAGGTGGCCTGGTCCTCAAGGGTAAGCTTGCCCTTCCGCTTCTTGCGGTAGCAGATCATGGCAATGATGCCAGCAATGAGCAGGATGGCTGCGACCACCACGGCCGGAATGACTGTGTGCAGGTAGACATCATCCTCACTGCTCTTCTCAGGGTCCCTGTCAGGCACTTCTGTGGGCGGCGCCTCTGAGGGCACTCTCCTGGGTGGTACCACAGGGATAAACTGTAGGTGCCGACAACTGCCAGAGCCCGTCACAGTGATGCTTGTGGCCTTAAAGTCAGGCTCTAGGGCGTTGGAGAAGGCAGGCCGAGGTTTTCCATCATCCTCAGCGATCCGGCGGCTCAGCCCAGCGATCTGCTCCTTGGGGCAGGGCTCCAAGGGCAGTGTGTTGTTGGTCCATTCCACCACGATGGAGCCCCGGGTGATATTCTGCAGGGTGATGGTGCTACAGTTTCGGTCTCCAAAGGCGAAGGCCAGTTTCTTTACCAAGGCAATCTTCTTGTGGATGTCATTCAACACCAGTGCCGGGTCACCCACAAACTTGGCCTTGAACCTTGCAGGAGCCCTATCCCCTTGGGGGCGCCTGTGGACGTGGATCTCGAAGGCATCCACAGCCGACAGGCCCCCCTTGTCTGTGGCATGCATGAAATACTCGTGTTTGCCCACGTGGCTGCTGTCGGGAAGGCCATACATGAGCTGGCTGTTGCTGTTGAACTGTACCCAGGACTTCTCGCCCACCAGCTGCTGCTCCCGCAGTTTCAGGGTCAGCTTCAGCTTGTCAGTGGTGGTGTCCTCATGGTCATAGAAAGTGTCTGACGGGATCTTCACCTCAAAGTAGGTGCCAACCCAGGCATCTACCCTGTCAATATGGTTCTTGAGCTCTGGGCGCTGGTTGGGTTCTCCGCCACGGGGCACTCCACTGGTGGTGGTGCGAATACGAGTAGGCGGTGAGGCAGTTTCCAATCTGGTGATGGAAACTTTGGTGGTGACCCGGGGCACTGGCCGGGGTGTCCGTGGTTTCTTGGTTGGCCTGCGAGTCGTGGTGGTGGTGGAGTCAGTTGAAGGCGTTGCTGGTTTTGGTGTGGATACTCGTGGCTTCTTGGTGGTGGTTGTGGGAGGGGTAGCAACTGCAGTAGGCTCCACATAGCCAGGAATGGTCATCGTTGGGCGAATCTGGCCAGGAACTGTGGTGCCAGCTTCTGACACCCGAGTAGGCTGGATGGGGCCTAGGGTTGGGGTTTGAATAATGGCGCCTCGAGTCCGGATGGTGACCGTGGGTTTCCCAGGAACAGGATCCCTGACTGGAGGAGCCATGGTCTCTGTTGGAGGAGCAATGGCTGGAGATGTGGGGGTTGGCACGATCCTGGATGGGGGCTCCTGGATAGCCGTGGTTGGGGGCCCAATGGCAGTGACAGGTGTGGGTGTAGCATGGATCTGCCTCCGGACGCGTTTGGGAAGAGGGGGCTTCTTATTGGCGATGTGCCAACCCACCACAGGGTAGCCAAGCTGAGCAGACATTGCGCCCTCCCTGGCAGGGGCCTCTACACCATGAATGTCAGGCACACTGTTCTGGTTCAGGGAGCAGCCCAGCTTCCAGGAGAGAAGGGCCCCATTCTCCACCACCTTTTTTGCATTTCCCGGGCCAGCCATGAAGGCCGACATGTCAAATAGTCTGTTATTCACCACCGGCACTAATTTCATGTTGTGAAGCTCTACTTCTGAGAAGCTCCGCATCCTGTGCAGGAGGTCAATCCTTTGCTTTGGGGTCATCTTGGTGAGGTCGGCATCCAAAATCACCGTCAAAACAGTCACAGGTTCATCCGCAGCACAGGCAGATGATACCACCTCACCAGGGTCTGGGGAGGCTGTCCTCACCGACTGCAGCTCACTGTGGTCTTCAGGGTAGACCTCGATGGAGAACACACTGGAGGTCTGGGGGATGTGGCTCCCGTTGGCCCCCAGCCGTGTAGCGCTCACTGAAATGTAATGCACACCCTTATCAGTGTCAAGGGGGAGGCCCTCCAGGGTGTGGCTCTGTGAGTCCCAGTGCAGCCAAGATGGCAAAGCCTCCTTCCCTGCCGCTGATACCTAGAAGAGACACAAGCATAAATTAAAAATACTATTGTCACTGCATAACCTGAATATGATCACAACAGTTAACCTGAATTGTGTGACAGGTTTAAGGTATAATTCAGAATGCCTGCTGGGGAAGCTGATTCCTCCCCCCTAGAGAGACACAACTGAGTTTATTTACCTGTCACAAGACTAGGGCTATGAGATGGGCTAACTTGGGAGGCAAATATCTCACCCAAGGCCACACAGTGGGGAGACAGCAGTGCTGGCACTCAAGCACATGTCTCATTCCCAAGAACTGATGCCATGGAGCTCACGACTGTTGTGGATTTTATAACAGTGACACGCCCTGCCACCTACTTGCCCATTCTACCTGAAGAATCAAGTCACATTCCAGCCCTCAGCATTCCTTTCCACCCTTGCCTCAGACTTCTCCCCGGCCCTCTGCAGACACCACATCTTTGCTCAGGTCACATGCCTGGCCTGGAGGACCATTCCTGCCCCAAAGTGGAGATGCACACAGGTCTGGGTACAAGGGAAGGCTCAACGCTCTGAAGGACTCACATTACAACATCACGTTACATTCAAGTGTAGTGGGGCACATTTGTGTAGCAAAGAGAGTTAGTTGTATCTAATGTTTTCATTTACCCTGCTTCTCAAATCTCAAGACAAACTGTGGTACCCAGGGAGCAGAGACTAGAATCAACTATTCTAGAATAGTGCTTACTAAAGGAATCCCAAGGAGCTCTGGTCTCTCTAAAAGAGAGAGGTTCTACAGTCAATCAAGTACAGGAAATACACAGAGACCTCTTCTGCCCTTGGAGAGACCAGGCACAGAAGCAGGCCTAAGGAGCTCATCACCTTATTCCAACTCAACAGCATCTCCCAGACTTCTTTTGTTGTGGAAGTCCCTTTCCACAGAGATATAACTGGTCATACTCAGAGCACCCAAGGAAATGCCACCATAGAAACCTCCACCAACAGCTGACAAGAGGAAAATATGACTTAGCTCTTGCCCCAGCCCCATCTGTGGCTCCTTTCACTTTTGGGAAACACCTACTCCTGCCCCAATGCAAGAAAAGTGACACCCCCCATTCTCTGGTTGGCCTGAAGGCACTCTCATCTCCATTGTCCTATAACAAGTACCAGAGACAAATTGGCCAAAACACAGTACATCACACTCCCAGACTCAGCTTAGGACTGCCCTTCATGACCACTGCTTATCAATAGGGGGACCCTAAAATGCTTCCCCCTCCCTGTGGCAGGAAAGCTAAAGCCACTGACTGCTGGATTCCCCAGTGCCTCTGGTTCCCTGGGCTTCCTCCTGCCAAAAAACAAAGTACTTGAGTGATTTGGAAAGGAGACCCCAGGCTTGTACCCAGGTGTCCAGGCAGCAGCCTTATCAGAAACTAGATAATTTCCCCCCTTTAAACTAATTTAAACAGGTTTCCTACACCCAGCAAAAATGTATGAGAAAGCTGGGCATGGTAGCTCATACCTATAATCCCAGTACTTTGGGAGGCCAAGGCGGGAGGATTGCTTGAGGCCAGCAGGCATTAGAGACCACCCTGGCCAACACAGTGAGACCCCCATCTCTATTTCAAAAAAAAAATTTTTTTTAACCATGAGATTACTGACATTGTTAGGAATTATTATTATTGGGCCAGGCATGGTGGCTCACCCCTGTAATCCCAGCACTTTGGGAGGCCAAGGTGGGCAGATCACCTGAGGTCAGGAGTTCGAGACCAGCCTGGCCAACACGGCGAAACCCCATCTCTACTAAAAGTACAAAAATTAGTCGGATGTGGTGGCAGGCACCTGTAGTCCCAGCTACTCAGGAGGCTAAGGCATAAGAATTGCTTGAACCTGGGAAGCGGAGGTTGCAGTGAACTGAGATCACGCCACTGCAACCCAGCCTGGGTGACAGAGTGAGACTCCATCTCAGAAAAAAAAAAAAAAAAGGCGTTATTATTATCAGGGTTATCATTTCCTAATTGCTCTCTGAGCCACTCATTAAGGGTTAGCAAATAGTGTTTCTTTTGTGATACCACATTGCATCAACTCTAAGATGTGCCATCATCTAATTAAGAATCTCCCACCCTGTCACTCACCATCAAACATCAGAAATGTTAAAACATCTGTAAACATGGGTGTCTTCAAATTCATGAAAAATGCTAAATATATTTTTCTTTAAAAATATTTTTTAACCATAAAAATCACACTTATTGGCTGGGCGTGGTGGCTCATGCCTGTAATCCCAGCACTTTGGGAGGTTGAGGCGGGTGGATCACTTGAAGTCAGGAGTTTGAGACCAGCCTGGCCAACATGGCAAAATCCCGTCTCTACTAAAAACACAAAAATTAGCCAGGCATGGTGGTGCACACCTGTAGTCCCAGCTAGTCGGGAGGCTGATGCACAAGAATGGCTTGAACCCAGGAGACAGAGGCTGCAGTGAGCGGAGACCACACCACTGCACTCCAGCCTGAATGACAGAGTGAGACTCTGTCCCAAAAAAAAAAAAAAAAAAAAAAAAAAATCACACTATTTCAAATGTTTTGGCTGAAAAATCTAAGCTTTACATTTTTCAGTTCATTTATATTAAATAAAACTGCCACATCCGTATATAAACACATAAAATAAAGGTTGAATGCTCTTGTTTTGCAAAAACAAACAAACAAAAAACCACCATGAAGCAAATAAGTAAGGCCCATGAGATGTTTTACAGGAGTGGGATAGAAGTAGGGGTCCTGAGAGGTGGAGAGTAGGTGAATTAGGGTGTGGACCCCGGTTTTTGGTCACCTGAGGGTTATTTCCTAACTCTACTCCATCCCAATGGCCACCAGTAGGACACGAGCTCACATGGCAGAGGGAGGATGAAGAAAGGTGACAGGGAAGGCCTGGAATAGAGGTCTGGGTAAAGCCAACTAAGGAGAAGCCAACTGCAGAGGAGACTGAACAAGGTTGAGAGGGACTAGAAGAAGGGAGCCAAATGGCTGGCTAGAACCATGGGACATTCCTGAGTGGCTAGGCGCTCCATCAGTGTTGATAAGTCAGCAACCTGTTGCCTCTCCAAGTCTGTCTTCAACTATACAAGGGCACTTTTTTTTTTTAGACAGCGTCTCACTCTATCACCCAGGCTGGAGTGCAGGGGCGTGATCTCGGCTCACTGCAAGCTCCGCCTCCCGGGATCACGCCATTCTCCTGCCTCAGCCTCCCAAGTAGCTGGGACTACAGGCGCCCGCCACCACGCCTGGCTAATTTTTCGTGTTTTGTTGGTTTTTTTTTTTTTTGAGACAGAGTCTCGCTCTTTCGCCCAGGCCGGACTGCAGTGGCGCTATCTCGGCTCACTGCAAGCTCCGCCTCCCGGGTTCATGCCATTCTCCTGCCTCATTCTCCTGTAGCTGGGACTACAGGCGCCCGCCACCGTGCCCGGCTAATTTTTTGTATTTTTAGTAGAGACGGGGTTTCACCGTGTTAGCCAAGATGGTCTCGATCTCCTGAGCTCGTGATCCGCCCGCCTTGGCCTCCCAAAGTGCTGGGATTACAGGCGTGAGCCACCGCGCCCGGCAATTTTTCGTATTTTTAGTAGAGACGGGGTTTCACTGTGTTAGCCAGGATGGTCTCAATCTCCCGACCTCGTGATCTGCCCACCTCGGCCTCCCAAAGTGCTGGGATTACAGGCATGAGCCACCGCACCCGGCCACAAGGGCACTTTTTAACAGAAAATAGAGAAGGGCCCTGCCTTCTCAAGGCTTCCCAGCCTGGCTCACTTCCTATTCTGCTGACCCCAACAGCCAAAGTTCTGCTATCAGGCAGTTCCTACAGAACAAACTCAGGCCATTCTATAGGAAGGCTCCCACAGCGAAGCCATCCTTGAAAGCCATACACTTATTTTAACTATGCCAAGTAACTTAAAAACATGTTAATATTATGTAACAAACAATAAACACTAAAGAAAACGTCAGGTTTCACCAAAGCAAGTTATAATGCTCAATTTCAAATTGGGAGATGGGAGATGAGAAATGAGCTTTATTTTGACTACTGAGAACAAATTCTTTCACAATTTATTTAATTTTATTTATTTATTTATTTTTTGAGACAGAGTCTCACTCTGTCACCTGGGCTGGAGTGCAGTGGCACGATCTCAGTTCACTGTAACCTCTGCTTCCTGGGTTCAAATGTTTCTCCAGCTTCAGCCTCCTGAGTAGCTGGGACCACAGGTGACTGCCACTATGCCCGGCTAATTTTTTTTTTCTTTTTCTTTTTTTAGAGATGGGATTTCGCCATGTTGCCCAGGCTGGTCTCAAACTCCTGGCCTCCAGTGATCTGGCTGCCTCAGCCTCCCAAAGTGCTGGGATTACAGTTGTGAGCCACTGCACGTGACCAAATTCTTTTACTATTGTCTACCCATGGCTTTGCAGCCATGTAAAGTTTACCCATGTCTTTGGGGCAAGTCATGTCAGAAAAACAGAGCTTATATGGTTCACATCTGTGTCACTGCCCAAATCTCATGTCAAATTATTATCCCTAGTGTTGGAGGTGGGGTCTGGGGGAGGGGACTGGATCATGGGGGTGATTTCTCATGGATCGTTTAGTACCACCCCCCTAGTGCTGTTCTCATGACAGAGTTCTCACAAGATCTGGTTGTTTAAAAGTGTGTAGGCCGGGAGCAGAGGCTCACGCCTATAATCCTAGTACTTTGGGAGGCTGAGGTGGGTGGATCACTTGAGTTCAGGAGTTCAAGACCAGCCTGGTCAACATGGTGAAACCCTGTCTCTACTAAAAATACGAAAATTAGCTGGGCATGCTGGCAGGCGCCTATAATCCCAGCTACTCGAGAGGCTGAGGCAGGAGAGTCGCTTGAACCCAGAGGGCGGAGGTTGAAGTGAGCCGAGATTGCACCACTTCACTCCAGCCTGGGCAGAAGAGCGAAACTCCATCTCAAAAAAAAAAAGGCCGAGCGCGGTGGCTCACGCCTGTAATCCCAGCACTTTGGGAGGCTGAGGCAGGCGGATCACGAGGTCAGGAGATCAAGACCATCCTGGCTAACATGGTGAAACCCCGTCTCTACTAAAAATAAAAAAAATTAGCGGGGCGAGGTGGCGGGCGCCTGTAGTCCCAGCTACTCGGGAGGCTGAGGCAGGAGAATGGCAGTGAACCCGGGGGGCGGAGCCTGCAGTGAGCCGAGATCACGCCACGGCACTCCAGCCTGGGCGACAGAGCGAGATTCCGTCTCAAAAAAAAAAAAAAAAGTGTGTAGCACCTCCCCCAGCCTTCCTCCTGTTCCGGCCAGCCGTGTGAAGCGCCAGCTCTCCCTTTGCTTTCCACTATGATTGGAAGCTTCCTGAGGCATCCCCAGAAGCAGAAGCCACTATATTCCCTGTATAGCCTGCAGAACCATGAGCCAATTAAAACTCTTTTCTCTATAAATTACCAGTCTCAGGTATTTCTTTATAGCACCACAAGAACAGACTAATATAAGAGCCAAGTCTCTCCAACCTAGTCACCTGCTTTCCCCTCTGCAAATTTTGGCTCCCCAGGGTCCTGAAGTCCCGGCCACTACCTGGCTGCAGGACAGGTGTCTAGATCTACAGCCCTGAAGCAGGCAGTCACTCCAGGATCATGGGTACTACTCAGGAAGAAAAAGTACTAACCTGAATGTTCTAAAACCCCTGCATCTCCAGTCTTGGTACTGGTGACATCAGGCCCAAGCAGCACTTTGAGTGGTACTGGTGACATCAGGCCCAAGCAGCACTTTGAGTGGTACTGGTGACATCAGGCCCAAGCAGCACTTTGAGTGGCAATGATTCTTTATATACATATATGTATATGTATATATAAGGGTCTCACTCTGTTGCCTAGGCTGGAATTCAGTAGTGTGATCATGGCACATTGCAGCCTCAACCTCCCAGGCTCAAGCAATCCTCCCACCTCAGCCTCCCAAGTAGCTGGGACATAGGCACGTGCCCGGGTATTTTGTGTGTGTGGGTGTGTAGAGACAGGGTCTCATTATATTGCCCAGACTGGCTTTAAACTTCTGGGCTCAAGCAATCCTCCTGCCTCAGCCTCCCAAAATCCTGGGATTACAGGTGTGGGCCACCATGCCCAGCCCTTAAATATACATTTTTTTGAGCCAGGGTCTCACTCACTGTCACCAGACTGGAGTGCAGTGGTGCAATCACAGCTCACTGCAACCTCAAACTCCTGGGCTGAAGTGATCATCCCACCTCAGCCTCTTGAATAGCTGGGACTACTTGAGCCAGGTGTGTACAACCAGGCCTGGCCAATATTTACTTTTTTGTAGAGATGGGTCTTCCTATGTTGTCCAGATTGGTCTTGAACTCCTAGGCTTCAGTGATCCTCCTGCCTCAGCCTGCCAAAGTGTTGGGATTACAGGTGTGAGCCACCGTGCCCAGCCATGATTCATTTTAATAGAAGGGCTACAGGAAGCAAAACAAACCTAATTTCCACAAGGAACCTGGCCAAGTCACAGGCACACTGGCACTTCTGCATTTTCAAGGCCATTTGGGGAAAGCCCCTACCTGGAAAGTCTGAACATGCCTGAAGGTTTGGCAGTGTCCACAGTCCCCAAAGGATTCCACTAGGAGCCCCACCCTCCCAAAGGGACTCAGCTCAGGGCTTAGCTCATCCCGGAGGTGCTAGGGGATAAAGCACCTGCTCTACCCTAACAAAGCAGGAGGCCCTCAGTCCACGGGAACTCTGGATACCTCCTCAGCTTTCAAAACTTATAGGCTCTGGATCACTTCTCTTCTTCTCAGATCCTAAGGGTGAAACAGGATATGAAAGTTCCTTCTCACAGATGCAGCCCAATGACAAGCCAGGACTCATCCCCATAACAATGGGGATAACAATCCTCATTCTTCTACTCCATGAGAAGGCCCATCTTTCACTGCGAATCCCAGCTCCAGGCTGGCTGGCGCTTGACCCAACCTTGGCCCCAGTGTCATCTGTAAAATCAGGGAAACAATCCCAACCTCATATGATTATAGTGCCAGGCACATGATGGACTCTGCCAATAATGGTTCCTATGGCTCCCATGGGCTCTGAGAAGAACCAGTAAGTAATTTGAGGCTACTGCACAAAGGGGCCCAGGGCATGTCCAGGCTCCTCTCCCTAGTTCTCCTTCCCAACTGACCTTGGACCCAGTGCACAGTGGGGTCCTGTCTCCCTGTTCATACCACAAAACAGAAGCTCAAAGCATCTAAGGTAAGTGGGGAGGCAACAGGCAATGAGGGAGCCAAAATCATATAGAGAAACAAAGCTGAGGCTGGGGAAGCTCAGAGAGTTGCCTGTCAACACTTGTCTACCAGAAGTAGATGAAAACACTAAGGGGCATGGGGGAAGTGGGGGACCTGCTGCAGGTGAGAACCCAAAGACCTGCTTTCACCTCTTCAACCTAAAACAGGTGGACTAGGCCAGGCACAGTGGCTCACACCTGTAATCCCAGCACTCTAGGAGGCCAAGGCGAGAGGATTGTTTGAGGCCAGAAGTTCAAGACCAGCCTGGGCAACATAGTGAGACTTTGTCTCTATAATTAATAAAATGGGTGCACTAGATCCTGGCACATTTACACATGGGATTTTGACTATCCTTAGAGTCCTTGGTTTGCCTGGTATAAAGATTTCTGCCTACTATACCACAGCCACCCACAACTAATCCTCTAAGGGCTGCCAGGCCAGGAAGGGCAGAAAAGAGGCAGGAATTGGGGCTCTGAGGTCCTTAGCAGCAGAGGCACAGAGGCACATGAGTTTGGGGTGACAAGCTGGTCCCACCGTGGAACTCCTCCAGCATTTCAGGTCTCTCTACCAGCCAACACCAAACACCAACACTGCCTTGGAGCTGGGAGAGGCAAGGCCTGCTGACCTTACAGTTGCTGTCTTGAAAGAAGCCTTCAGACAGTTACTAGGCACATCTGCAGGAGGCAGAAACTGCCCAAGAAAGCCTGATTTAAGGAGATCACAGGCTGTAGCTCACAGGCCACCAAAAAGGCCAGAAAACTTTCTGGTTTCGGCAACCCTTAGAGACGATGTGCTTCTGAGATAGAAAGTAAGTCTAGCATTAAGGAAAAAAAGATCTTGAAAAGCCTATAACCAGCTTCTGAAATCCTGACCCACAAAGTGCATCCCAAAACATTAAGAATCAAAACCACAAAACCTGGGCAGATCCACAAAAAGTTCCAAAGACTGAGCTGGGCATGGTGGCTCACACCTATAACCCCAGCTACTCAGGAGGCTGAGGCGGGAGGATCACTTGAGGCCAGGAGTTGAGCCCAGCCTGGGCAACATACCATGATGCAGTCTTAAAAAAAAAAAAAAGGGGTGGGAGGGGGGCGGGCGTGGTGGCTCAAGCCTGCAATCGCAGCACTTCGGGAGCCGAAGCGGGTGGATCACGAGGTCAGGAGTTCAAGAGCAGCCTGGCCAACATGGTGAAAGCCCATCTCTACTAAAAATACAAAAAAAAGCCAGGCGCAGTGGCTCACGCCTGTAATCCCAGCAGTTTGGGAGGCTGAGGTGAGCGGATCACCTGAGGTCAGGAGTTCAAGACCAGCCTGGCCAACATGGTGAAACCCCATCTCTACTAAAAATACAAAAAAATTAGCTGGGTGTGGTGGCAGGCACCTGTAATCCCAGCTACTTGGGAGGCTGAGGCAGGAGAATTGCTTGAACCCGGGAGGCGGAAGTTGCAGTGAGCCGAGATCACACCATTGCACTCCAGCCTGGGGGACAAGAGTGAGACTTTGTCTCAAAAAAAAATAAAATAAAGTAAAAAGAAAATTAGCCGGGCATGTTGGTGCGCACCTGTAATCCCAGCTACTTAGGAGGCTGAAGCAGGAGAATTGCTTGAACCCGGGAGGTGGAGATTGCAGTGAGCCAAGATCGTGCCACCGCACTCCAGCCTGGGCGACAGAGCGAGACTCCATCTCAAAAAAAAAAACAAAGGTCTAAAACTGTGATGCCCACAATAAATCACCATGACCAATGACCAGGGAACTGCCAAATTTGAACATTTTGGTCACTCCTCAGTCTCTGGGACACTCCCTCCAGCTGCTTTACTGATGCCCTCTGCACACAATAGACCATCAAACACTGACTTTGATAAAGATACAGCACCTGTAGGCACTAAACACCATCAGCCTGGGCAACACGGCAAAACGTCGTCTTTACAAAAAAGAAAAATTAGCTGGGCGTGGTGGTCCCAGCTACTCAGGAGGCTGAGGTGGGAAGCCTGCTTGAGCCTGGGGAAGTCAAGGCTGCAGTGAGCTATGATTGCGCCACCGCACCTTGGCCTGGGTGACAGAGCAAGACCTGTCTCAAAAAAACAAAGACGGCCGGGCGCAGTGGCTCACGCCTGTAATCCCAGCACTTTGGGAGGCTGAGGCGGGTGGATCACGAGGTCAGGAGATCGAGACCATCCTGGCTAACACGGTGAAACCCCGTCTCTACTAAAAATACAAAAAAAATAAGCCAGGTGTGGTGGCGGGTGCCTGTAGTCCCAGCTACTTGGGAGGCTGAGGCAGGAAAATGGCGTGAACCCAGGAGGCGGAGCTTGCAGTGAGCCGAGATCGCGCCACTGCACTCCAGCCTGGGCAAAGAGCGAGACTCTGTCTCAAAAAACAACAACAACAAAAACAAACAAAAAAACAAAACAAAAAAAAACACCATGAAACTCAAGCAAAGTCTCTCACCCCAAGCCAGTACCATTCCACACCTGAAGAAAGAGCAAATGGCTGGAGGAGCTTCTATTACTTAGTTCTCATAAAAGCAGGTTTCCACCCATAGTCTGAGTCAGTTATGCATAGCTGAAAAACAAAACTGAAGAATTAGGCTCTCTCTAGGGCCAAATAATTATAATTGGCTTATGAAACCAAGAAAACACAAGCTGTATCATTCAGGGCCCACAAGATGATGTCTTATCCATGCAGGAGTTGCAGGACTTAGAAATGGCAAGCAAAGACTCTAGACAGATGTACGAGCACTTTCACAGCTGATGATGGCCAGTAAAGAGGGATCCTAAGAATAACATAATCGAGAAACTGATTTGGTGAGCATTCCTTCTCACTACAAATCTTTTGGAGGGAACTTTGGGCCTTGGTGGTGGCACCTTCCATCAATACCTCTGGACATGTCAGCCCTTAAGGTGTGGGCTGGGCCCTTCCCCGTGTCCCCCAACAGATCCATTTCAAAGTGATACAGACTGCTGCCCCGTGACATCCCAATGCTGGACCTGCAGAGGCCTGCGTTGGCAAAGTCCCTGCTTTCCTTCAGACCTGGTCATCAATTCCCGACCTTTCAGCTCCCTCATCCCTAGTCAGGCTGCAGAGCTGGGCCAACCTGCAGCCATCTATGGCTGGGTACCATAGACAACACCCTGGAGGCACTCCCACATGAGGCAGTCAAGGCCTCCTCATTGCAAGCTGACTGTGTGTCCTCTGCTCAGGGAAGCAGGAGATGGACCCTCTGATGGAGTATCAGCCTTGGTGCTGACTCACACTCAGGGTTATCCTGTGTCTGTGCCATGGACTAAGACAATGAGATAAATCTGCTCTGTGGCCTTCTGCTAATGAGGAACATGGGCAGTCACATGGCTGTGCTGCAGGGAGATGGCACAGACCAACAGGAAGAGCCTCTAGCTTAAGGTCAGAGGGCCAGGCCTTTGTCCCCACCTGAGGTAAAAAATCATGAGGGAAGTTAAGTACATGCGGCCTTAGCAGAGTCACACCCACAAGGGATCATCATTGGTCCTGCTGTTAGACATGCAAACCTCAAAGCAGAACCTGGCCCCTGCCACAAACACCAACGCCACAGGATCAATACTGAACACACTGTTCAGCCCAGTCAATGCCCTTCTGGTCTGAGCTACAAAGCATTTTATCTCATGTTCACTGTTCTCATCTAAAAGCAAAAATTAGTCTTTTTCCCCAAAAAAGTAAAGGGCAGCTTAACATAGTTAGAGCCACTAATAAAATCCTCAGAATCAGTCCTTCAATCTGGAGCCCTGACATCATCTATTTTACTTTGTCATGTTCTCTTTCAGTCTTTGTCAGTGATTTTTTTAAACATAGAAGCCTATATTTTCACTAAGTATTTGAGTTGATGAATCTGGGCAAATGCCATTCTGACAGCCCACCCCCAAGGATGCCTTCCATCGCCAACCCGCATTTCCCGGTGTGCTTTGTTCACAAGGGGTCCATTCAGAAATGCGGAACACCCACTCAAGGCAGGAAGAAACTGCAGCTCATCTCACACAGGCGGGGCTGCCACAAAGCTCTCAAGCATCCAAAGAAATGCTCCTTTCATGAACTCCCCTTCCTAGCCAAAGAGAGTGCCCATTGTTCTCAGGGGAACAATTGGGGGCCCGTGCCAGCAGCTGAGAGCACAGTCCCAGGAAGGGCTGCTCCCAGCCTGCCAACATCTTGGGCTGAGGGAAGGTCCACATTGTCTGCAGGCAAGAAGGCTAAAGGGAAGCAGGGATGAAAAGCCATCCTTGCAGGCTCTACCAAAATGAGACATCTGAGGGGCAGCCTGGGCATTTCATGAAATGTAAAGATGTCTCTCCCTGACCACCTTCGAGGAGAGGTTAGAACATCTCCTGGCATATAATCACATTTCTCAGCCAGTCCCACACTCAAGTCAGAGGAGAGGTGCCTGCAGGGATCCAGCACCAAACCCAAGGGAGACAAGGGTGGCTCATACTGTTGCCAGCCCAGGACAGGCCAGGATCCACTGAGTGAAGGCCAGGTTGGCTTCTGTGGGACCCATCCCCACAGACCCTGATAAGGAGAAAGGGTCCTCTCAGCTCCAAAAGTAGCTGTGAGAGCCAAGGACAGTCAAGAGCTGGGCTGAGCTTTGTATACAGGCATCCAGTCTGATTCAAGGGAGCAAACATCAAGACTATCTGCTTTAGGGTTTCCTAAGGCCACAAGAGAGGAGACAGGGGCCCCATGGCACAGGTCTCTCAAAAAAGCTATGCTGGCCATGAGGACCTTGAGGGAGCCCATAGCCCCTTCTCACACGTCTGGTCAAAGCAGTCCATGTGTGAGTTAAGCTGGGGTCAATAACAGAATATCAATTCTCAAGGCAGAACTGGAGAACAGCATTGGTTAAGCAACAAGTGCTGGCCAGGCTGAGACTGGACAAGAGCTGTCAGAACATGAAGGAGTGTCAGGTGTGGGGCAGAGCAGAAGAGCCAGGATCTTGGGGCTATACCCTCTGCGCAGGCAGGTCCCTTCTTTATTCTCCTGACCCTGCAGACTGACGTGTAAAGTATACACCAATATAAAATGTAGCGAAGCATTTGCTTCAGGCGCTTTGTTGGGTATATCAACAGACTGACACCAGGCAGCACAACCTCCTGAAATAAAGTAACCAGAAGCCCACACAGGTCAGGCCAGGCTTTTCAGGCAGTCAACACAGCTCACTTAGAATGAGAACTTAATTTTCTAGCCCTTCAACAGACCAGCATCTAAGTGTGCTATAAACACTGGATTATTCTACCGTCAACCCCCATGCATATCCCCTAACCAATCAGCAAGTATGACAACTATGCCATCTAATCTCACCAGGTCTTGGGACAGACCATGCAGATCACGTTCCACCTGAGTCTTCATTTGGCAACTCAGCCCTGCCCAAATAGACCAACCCTCATCTGGACATCCCACATGGGGCTTAGGAGGAAGCAGGCCAGGCTCAGTACCTCCTACCTCAGTTCTTCACCAGCTTCTTCTTCCTCTGATACTTGGGGAAGAAAGCCTTTGAAAAGCCCCTTACGGACCCACTTCTCTCTCCATTTACTTTCACTCAAATTGACAACCCTGCCACATGTGGGCACTGGCCTTTCTCTGCTGAGGAGCCCAACTCCATGTGCTCCCAACAACTTCTCAAATTCCCCACATGGAGCTCTGCAACCCACCACTGTCCCACATGTCTTACCGTTGTTGCTCCACCTCTGTTAATGCTTTATCACATAGCAAGCCTTTAATTAGGCATCTACTTCGAAACAGGTCCTATGCCAAGTATCTAGAACCCTACACAGGGAACAATGATAGCTTACCAGCCAGACATCACCTTTCACTCAGACTCTCCTTTCACTTTCATCAAGGTTGGCCCTGATCTTCCAAACCTGTGGTCCTGCAGCCTTCATTCCAAAAGCCAGAACTGTAAACCAGCCATTTACTTAGCAATCAGTTTTGGGCCCAATGATAGGTCAGCTTCTGCTCTGGCTCAAAGATGCCCACATGCATGGCAGGTTGTACAAACCCGTCTCATCACATGTGACACCATCCATGTCAAGGCATACCCAGTGTGTCTCTCTCTTCCACAGCCCTGCAGTGTCAGAGGTCAGAGGCACGGTAACAGACAACTACGAGGGAAGTCTTCTAAAACTGACTAGAACAAAGCATTAAATTATAATTCCAAAGCATGCTGACACACAAAATAAACACAGGTCAGTTACCTGAAGATAAGACCTTATATACTACAGGCTCAAGAAGCCTCTTGGGGGCTGGGTGCGGTGGCTCTCTCCTGTAATCCCAGCACTTTGGGAGGCCGAGGCGGGCGGACCACAAGGTCAGGAGATCGAGACCATCCTGGCTAACACAGTGAAACCCCGTCTCTACTAAAAATACAAAAAATTAGCCGGGCATGGTAGCAGGCACCTGTAGTCCCAGCTACTCAGGAGGCTGAGGCAGGAGAATGGCATGAACCTGGGAGACGGAGGTTGCAGTGAGCCGAGATAGCACCACTGCACTCCAGCCTGGGCGACAGAGCGAGACTCCGTCTCAATTAAAAAAAAAAAAAAAAAAAAGCCTCTTGGGTGCTCCCTACAAACTAACTCTGTCCCTACAAGCTATGTGCTCCGAGATAAGTCACTTAGCTACCACTTTGTCATCTAAAAATGGAGCCACACTATCTGCTGAACGGCTCAAAGAAGCAAGGAAATCCCAGTGGCAATGAACTCACCTAGCACCCAGATCTGAACCCCCAATAACATTCACCACAAAAAGGAATCAGGCTCCTTGAAGAAATGGCTGAGGGAGGGTGAATACAAGACAGGCCTGGAGCATCTTATCCCAGAAAGTAAGGAAGCACTTAATGATTGACAGGGGCATATCACAAGAATACAGGAACCAACTTAAAGGGGCTCCCAATGGTCAAATCTGGGACAATTTGAACACCACAATAATTAAGATGAGCAATAAACTATTGAATATTAGGAAACAGTGAGTTTGTACTAATAATGGATCAATAAACACACAGTCAAGTGTTAGAGGGACAGGGTGGGGCCACTTTCCAATGTGAAAATACAACAAGAAGTCATTTGAAAGTGTGTGTGTCACAGGGCCTGAGGCCTCAAAACACGGCAAGACCATAGTACACTGTGGGGCAGCAGGTGAACTTAGTCTCTTGCTGCCCCAGCACAGGCTAGCATTTCTCCCTGCATACAGCAAGGCAGGCTTTGACAATCCAAAACAGGTTTGCAGGTGCTAAATGAGTCCTCATTCCCTTTGCCAGCCTACAAACATTTGAGGGCCTACTATGTGATGGAAGGCAAACATGACTAACAAAAAACAAGAATTTCAAATACAGAAATCTGCTAAGAAGAAGATGACACAGAGTTTTGTGGGAAAGCTGCTTTTACCAGGGTGGAAGGAAAGGGCTCCAACAGATGATGTCCAAGTTGAGCCTGAAAGATATGGCTGTACCCATGACAAAAGAAGAAAGAATCAAAAGCTTGGGGTGGACCCTAAGCTAGGTGTGTTCACTGGGCAGAAAAGGACCAGTGTGGCTGGGACAAAGTATACAAAGAAAAAGATGTGGGAGAGGAGGTCACAGGCCAGATCATATGGGGTTCGATTCTTGGTGCAGCTCAGTAAAAAGGGATTTTGAATAGATTTAAGCTTTAGAAAGATAAAGACATCTCTTGACTCAATATGGAGAACAAATTGAGAGGTCAAGAACAAAGGCAGGGGGAGCCTAGGAAGAAGTAAGCAAGCAGTAGCTTGGATGAAGGGCAGTACCAGTGGGCCCAAGATGACTGGGGTCGCCTCAACAAGCATCCTTAGGACCAATATCTGAAATGTTCCTCACACACTCAAGAATAGTGGGCAGGCTGGGCGTGATGCTCATGTCTGTAATCCTAGCACTTTGGGAGGCTGAGGCAGTAGGATCACTTGAGCCTAGGAGTTCAAGACCGGCCTGGGCAACAAAGTGAGACCCATCTCTACAAAAAAATTTAAAAATTACCTGGGTGTGGTGGCCCACACCTATAGTCCCAGTTACTTGGAAGGCTGAGGTGAGAGGATTGCTTAAGCTAGGAGGTGGAGGCTGCAGTGAGCCATGATAGTGCCACTGCACTCCAGCCTGGGCAACAGAGCAAGACCCTGTCTCAAAAAAAAAAAAAAAACAACACAAGAATATTAGGCAGCCATTAAAAGTTACATTCCCACATAACATTTAATGACTACAGGTAAAAAAATACTCAAGCTACAGTGAATGAAAAATGTTAAAAAAAAAAAAAAAATAGGCCCGGGACAGTGGCTCATTCCTGTAATCCCAGCACGTTGGGAGGCCGAGGCAGGCAGATCACCTGAGGTCAGGAGTTTGATACCAGCCTGGCCAACATGGTGAAACCCCATCTCTACTAAAAATACAAAACGTGGGCTGGGCAAGGTGGCTCACCCCTGTAACCCCAGCACTTTGGGAGGCCAAGGTGGGCGGATCACGAGGTCAGGAGTTTGAGACCAGTCTGGCCAATATGGTGAAACCCTAGCCGGGTGTGGTGGCGCATGCCTGTAGTCCCAGCTATTCAGGAGGCTGAGGCAGAAGAATAGCCTGAACCCAGGAGGCGGAGGTTGCACTGAGCTGAGATCACGCCACTGCATTCCAGCCTGGACGAAAGAGCAAGATTCCATCTCAAAAAATATATATATATGTGTGTGTGTGTCTATGTATGTGTACACACACACACACACACACACACACACACATATGCCAGGAGTGGTGGTTCAAGCCTATAGTCCCAGCTACTCAGGAGGCTGAGGCAGGAGAATCGCTTGAACCCGGGAGGCGGAGGTTGCAGTAGGCCAAGATCACGCCATTGTACTCCATCCTGGGCGACAAGAGCGAAACTCCATCCCCCCAAAAAAACACAAAAATTAGCCAGGTGTGGTAGCGCATGCCTGTAGTCCCAGCTACTCGGGAGATGGAGGCAGGAGAATCATTTGAACCCGGGAGGTGGAGGTTGCAGTGAGCCGGGACTGTGCCACTGCACTCCAGCCTGGGCAACAAAGTGAGACTCTGTCTCAAAAAAAAAAGGTTAAAAAATATATCCACTATGATCCTAGGTCTGTCTAATATGTTAAGACGTCTGTGTGTGTATGTGGCATGACCATCTCTTGATGAGCATAGAAAACGGTAGAGGACTTCACTCTGAATGGTAGAAACCACAGATTTTTTTTCCCTTTCTATATTTTCCACAATGTACATTTATGCATCATTATTATAATAAGAAAAAAATTCCTTTAATATAAAGACTTTCTAAATCCTGCTTTACAGATGCAGAAACCAAAGCTCTAGGAACAAGATCAGGCTTTCTGACCTTCTGACTCCCCAACCCATATAATCCCGGTGGTTAAGACTGGAACGAAGAGTCACACATCTTCATCTGTTTTTCTACAAGCTCATCAGCTACTAAATGGTCTGCTTTCCACAGATAAATATGCTCAGATAAAATCCTGTTTTCTCAGTAAAATCTCTTCACCCCCTTGGTAAATAAGCCTGTTAAACATCTCTCTGCCAAATACAACAAATATCTAGTTTGCTGTATCAGTTCAAGGCACTTCTGGCCAAGATTAATCCACGTAAAACATTCCAATGGCTACTGGAACAAAGGCAACCAATGCAGGGTATGGATATTCAGGATTAAATCTGAAGCTGAGCAAGAAATGTACCTTCCAGAGCCACCACTCTGTATCTAATGGTCAGATTAGCATCTAGCTTGCTGGGATATTACAAAGATGACAAGGAAACTTTATGCAAACACTCTGCAAACTAGGAAGAGCTCTGTGAACTGCTACATGTGAGCTGCTACATGGGCCAAGATCTTCAGAAATACGGTTGCCCCAGAGACCACAAGGTCACTCTGAGAACAAGCCACGGCTTAAAAAGAAGGTGACCAACAGGGAAAAGGAGGCGAACACAAGAAGGGAGCAGGCTGAAGGGGAGGTCCACCCAGATTCAGGGAAAAGGGCACAGACTCACCTCTGCAAGGAAAGAGTGGCATAGAACTTGTGGCCATTTCTAATCTAGAAGCCTGGGGCTTACGGGTCACGGGGGCAAGCTGGTAAACACCCATCAGAGTCTATATGTGCTTTGACCAATGGAGTAAAATGGAAGTGTTGTTGGGCAAGTTCTGGGCCTTAAGAGATTGGGCAGCTTCCTTTCCTATTTCTTGAAATACCTAATCTTAAAATCCATCTATCGTGCTTTGAGGACACCTAAGCAGCCCATGGAGAGGTCTACATGAAGAGGAATCAAGGACACTGACCAACAGCCCCAGCTAAGCTCCCTGTCAACAGGCAGCATCAACTTGCCAGCCATGAATGAGCCAACTTAGAAGTGAATTCCCCAGCCCCAGGTGAGCCACTCTACCTAGTACCATGTGAAACAGAGATAAGGTTCCTTATCTCTGAATTCCTGGCCAAAAAATGTTGAGTAAAACAAGCTGGTTGAGTTAAACCACTGTTTTGGTGGTTTAAACACACCAACAGAAAGCCAGAGCACTAAATGTATGTAGAAGTCTGAATGCAGAGATCATACAGAAAATACCTAACAAAGTATAGGTCTCAGAATACTTTTAGTTCACATGTAGGCCACACCTCTAGAGAAGGAATGCTGTAGGGCAGGAACCAGAAGTTTGAGACCAGCCTGGCAGACAGAGTAAGACCCTATCTAAAAAAAATTTTTTGTAACTAATTTTTGTATTTTTTGTAGAGTTGGGGTTTCACCATGTTGCCCAGGCTGGTCTCAAACTCCTGGGCTCAAGCAATCTGCCTCCCTCAGCCTCCCAAAGTGCTAGGATTACAGGTGTAAGTCATCACGCCCAAACTAAAAAAAAATTTTTTTTTAATTAGCTGGGTGTTGCGAGGCTGAGGCAGACAGATCACCCGAGATAAGGAGTTTGAGACCAGCCTGGCCAACATGGTGAAACCCCGTCAGTACTAAAAATACAAAAATTAGCCGGGCATGGTGGTGCGCACCTGTAATCCCAGCTACTTGGGAGGCTGAGGCAGGAGAATCACTTGAATCTGGGAGATGGAGGTTGCAGTGAGCTGAGATTGTGTCATTGCATTCCAGCTTGGGTGACAGAGAGAGACTTCATCTCAAAATTAATTAATTAATTAAAATAAATTAAAATTTAAAAATTAGCTGGGCGTGGTGACGTGCGCCTGTAATCCTAGCTACTGAGGAGGCTGAGGCAGGAGAATCACTTGAACCCAGGAGGCGGAGGTTGCAGTGAGCCAAGATTGTGCCATTGCACTCCAGCCTGGGCGACAAGAGCGAAACTCTGTCTCAAAAATAAATAAATAAATAAATTAGCTGGGTGTGGTGGTGCACACCTGTAGTCCCAGCTACTTGGGAGGCTGAAGAGGGAAGAAGGCTTAAGCCTGGGAGGTTAAGGCTGCAGAGAGCCATGGCTGTACCACTGCACTCCAGCCTGAACAACAGAGCAAGACCCTGCCTCAAAAAAAAAAATTGTAAAAGAATATTTCTTTCTTGACATATGAAATTCAAAAATCTGTTTCAAGTCAGAATGGGACTATAAGTGTAAAAAATTAAAAAAGAAAAAGTATCCACCGTAAAGTTTTATTGCCCATTGATTTATATATTGTAAAGGCTACTTTAACACTACACAGGCAGAGTCGAGGAGTTCTGACAGAAACCATATGGCCTGCAAAGCCTAAAATATTTACTGCCTGGAGCTTGGTGCAGTGGTGCATGCCTGCAATCCCAGCACTTTGGGAGGCCAAGGCAGGAAGATGGCTTGAGCTCAGGAGTTCAAGACTAGCTTGAGCAACATGACAAAACCCTATCTCTACAAAAAGTACAAAAATTAGCCAGGTGTGCTGATATGTGCTTATAGTCCCAGCTACTTGGGAGGCTGAGGTGGGAGGATCACTTGAGCCTGGGAGGTCAAGGCTACAGTGAGACATGATCATGCCAGTGCACTCCAGCTTGGGTGAAGTGTGCTGACTTCTGCTCTAGAAGATGTTCATAACTTGAGGGGTACATCCCACCCACCTGTCCATGAAACAAACTCATTTAAGATCTAGGGGAAATTCCATGGTTCCACAAACTCAGACAGAGAGATGGTGCTTCATCACACAAAAGCTTCCTATTTCACCTGATTTCTATCCTGGGTCAACCAAGACACTCTTCTCTACACGGGCCTCAGATTCCATTGTTCTCTGGATGGCTTCTCCAAAGGATATGGGGCAAGGCTGAAGTTTGGGTACTAATTTTGGTTCTTAAGTGATCAATTACATTAGCCAACATACATCAGCAAATCAGAGCAGAACTCCTATATTTATTTATATCTTATTTTAAAAAGTAAGTTCAAAGCATAAAAGTCCTATTTTTTGGGGTTTAACTCTGTGTTTTATTAAAGGTAACCTTTCCCTATACACGTGACAGACCTTTCCAACAAATCCCTAAATCAGTGTTCAGTAGAACTTCCAGAGTAAAGGCTATTACATGGTGATGCCCTCAGAATAGGAACAAGAATACAGTTTAGGATGCTATTCTGAGTATATAGGGATTCTCTTATGAACATCAGTGGCTGTCCCTCTTCTAAGGGGGTACTGGAAGAACTGAGCTCAGAATTGGTGAAGCTTAGACTTGAAAAGGAAAAGCCACCAAAACTAAAATGGAAAATGAGAACTCTTCCTCATTTATGCTTTATATCCAGTCTCACCTTGATGATATCTCCACTGGAGGCAATCAAATCTGTTGGAATGGTCACTCGAAATGAGCGCCCGACGACAGCCGTGCCATCAGGAATGCCAACCACTGTGGGAACAGCCTCGTGGAGGTCTGAGAGCACTGAGTGCATGGATGCCTCAAGCTGGTTTTCCCAGTCCCTGACAGCCTCTGAGGGTTCACTGGGCCAGTGGGACTGAGCCATAACCACAGAGAGCAGGAGGAGAAAGGTCCTCCCCGAGAGGGGCAGCAGCAGCGAGAGGCCCACAGACATCCTCATCCCAGGTCCAAGTTTGCTCAAGTCGATAGTCTTGCTAAGTAAGGAAGCAAGTGACTTGGTCCCAGAGCTGGGTTCTCACCCTCTGCACACCTGCTCCATCCCGGAGCACACAGAGCCTGAAAAAAAAAGAAAAGCAGGTTTAGACTTGAGCAATTCCAGTGGTTCAGTCACATACTATCCTCCAGGAGTTACTGTCAAAAACATCTACCCCGAGTTGGATCAAGCCTCTTACCCCCATGGTCTCTTATACAGAAACCAACAGTTTCGTGCAACTCCTTAGCACTGGAAATGTAGCTGATCCATTAAATATAAAATATACACTGGATTTTGAAAACTTCATAAAAAATGAATGTAAAATGCCTCATTAATACTTTTAAAATATTGATTGCAAACTGAAATGATATGTATTAGTAATATTTTGAATACAGTCAGATACATTCAATAAAATATATTAAGTAAACAATAAGTATTAACAAAGAATAAATAATAAAGAAATGTATTAAACAAGACGGGCACCGTGGCTCACGCCTATGATCCTGGCATCTTGGGAGACTAGGGTGGGTGGATGACTTGAGGTAAGGAGTTTGAAACCAGCCTGGCCAACATGGTAAAATCCCATCTCTACTAAAAATATGAAAATTAGCCGGGCATGGTGGTGGGTGCCTGTAATCCCAGCTACTGAGGAAGCTGAGGCAAGAGAATCACTTGAACCCGGGAGGTGGAGGTTGCAGTGAGCCGAGATTGCACCACTGCACTCCAGCCTGGGTGACAGAGTGAGACTCGACCTCAAAAAAAAACAATAAAATATTAAGTAAAATATATGATTGAAATTAATTTAATCTGCTTTTCTTCATGTGGCTACCAGGAAAATTTAAGTGACATATGTGGCTCATGTTATATTTCTGTTGGGTGGCACTGCTTTAGACCTAACTTCCAATTTACAGGAAATATGGGAGCTATGCAAAGAAAATCACACAAATCTAGAATGTGGGATCTTCTGCCAAACAACTGGCCTGGTCTCTCCAAATGCTGACATCCCTAAACATAAGATGACTGTTCTCGATTTAGAGACAGCAACCAGACTTGATGTGTGTATCTTTCTAGGGGTAGGGGAGTGGGGACAGAGAAGGTTCTTGCTCTGTGGCCCAGGATAGAGTACAGTGTCATGTTCATAGCTCAATGTAACCTTGAACTCCTGGGCTCAAGTAAATAGCTGGGACTTCAGGTGCACACCACTCCACTCAGCTAGTTTTTAAAAATCTTTTGTACAGACAGTGTCCCACTATGCTGCCCAGGCTGGCCTCAAACTCTTGGCCTCAAGTGATCCTCTCACCTCAGTCTCCCAGGATTAGAAAGGTAAGCAATCTTGCCCAGACAATGTGTATCTCTTGACTGGATTCTGGATTTACTTTTTAAAAAAACCCATGAGTCCAGCTCCCAAAGGGGTAATTGAGGAATTTTGCGTGTAAACTGGAAATGGGATTTACTGTTATTTTTCTTAGGTGATATGATGGTAGTAAGACTCTATAGGGAATCATCCTCAATCTTATGAATTGTATTTTGAAGTACTTAGGGATGAAGTGTCAAACACTCTGCAACTCACTTCAAAATGATTCAAAGAAAAAAAATGTATACATGTATATATAGAGATACATTCATGTGGCAACTGTAACAATGAGGCTTAGAAAAATGCTTTGAGGCCTGGCGGGCGGGTGCAGTGGCTCATGCCTGTAATCCCAGCACTTTGGGAGGCTGAGACAGGAGGTTCACTTGAAGTCAGGAGTTCAAGACCAGCCTGGCCAGCATGGTGAAATCTTGTCTCTACTAAAAATACATGCCAGGCATGGTGGCTCACGCCTGTAACCCTAGCACTTTGGGAGGCCAAGGCAGGCAGATCACCTGACGTCAGGAGTTCAAGACCAGCCTGGCCAACATGGTGAAACCCCGTCTCTACTACAAATACAAAAAATTAGCCAGGCGTGGTGGTGCACGCCTGAAGTCGCAGCTACTTAGGAGGCTGAGGCAGGAGAATCCCTTGAACCTGGTAGGCAGAGGTTGCAGTGAGCGGAGACTGCACCACTGCACTCTAGCCTGGGTGACAGAGCAAGACCCTGTCTCAAAAACAACACATACATACATATACACAAACAAATACAAATACAAAAATTAGCCGGGTGTGGTGGCAGGCACCTGTAATCCCAGCTACTCGGGAGGCTGAAGCAGGAGAATTGCTCGAACCCAGGAGGCAGAGGCTGAAGTGAGCTGAGAATGCACCATTGCATTCCAGCTTGGGCAACAAGAGCAAAACTCCATCTCATTATTAAAAAAAAAAAAAAAAAAGCAAAATAAACCAAAAGCAAGCAGAAGGAAATAATAAAAAGCAAAAAACCCCAATGAAACTGAAAACAAAAACAGAGAAAAACCATTGAAACAAATAACTAGTTATTTGAAAAGATTAATAAAATTGATCTCAAGAATGATACAAGAAAAAAGAGAAGACAATTACTAACATCAACAATGAAGCAGGAGATATCACTAGATATTGCAGACATCAAAAGAAAAATAAGGAAACACTATAAACAACTCTACACAGACAAATATGAATCAAACTAAACGAACAGATTCCTCTCAAAAAATACAAACTACTACAACTCATCCAATATGATATAATTTCTATTAAGAAAATTATTTTACAGAGGCAGAAAGGATAAAATTTTTTTTTAAGACAGAAGTCCCAGGTACTCAGGAGGCTAAGGAAGAAGGTTGGCTTGAGCCCAGCAGTTCAAGGCTGTAATAAGCCATAATCACACCACTGCACTCTAGCCTGGATGACAGATTGAGACTGTCTCAAAAGAAAAGGAAAAGATAAAGGAAAGGAAAAGAAAAAGAAAAAGAAAAAAAAAGAAAAAAAAGAAAAGAAAAATATTAAGGAAATTGAATTTGTAATTTTTTTTTAAATTTATTTATTTATTTGAGATGGAGCCTTGCTCTGTCACCTAGACTGGAATGTAGTGCACAATCTCGGCTCACTGTAACCTCCGCCTCCCAGGTTCAAACAATTCTCCTGCCTCAGCCTCCCAAGTAGCTGGGATTACAGGCTCCCACCACTACGCCCAGCTAATTTTTGTATTTTTAATAGAGACGGGGTTTTGCCACGTTGACCAGGCTGGTCTTGAACTCCTGACCTCAGGTGATCCGCCCACCTCAGCCTCCCAAAGTGCTGGGATTACAGGTGTGAGCCACCACGCCTGACCCTGAATTTGTAATTTTAAAACTCCCACAAAAAGAAATCTACAGGCCTGAATGACATCAGCGGTAAGTTCTACCAATCTTTTCTTTTTCTTCTTTTTCTTTTTTTTGGAGAAGGAGTTGGCCAGGCTGGTCCTGAACTCCTGACCTCAAGTGATCCACCCGCCTTGGACTCCCAAAGTTCTGGAATTACAGGCATGAGCCACTGCCAGGCACAAACTCTTCCAGAAAGCAGACAAGGAGGAAACACATCCTGATTCATTTTGTTTTAATATATTGAATTTTCTTTATTTAACTTTTTACTTATTTTTCTTTTTTTTTTTTCATTTTTCTTTTTTAGAAATGGGGTCTTGCTACATTGCCCAAGCTAGATTTGAACTCCTGGGCTCAAGCAGTCCCCACCACCTCAGCCTCCTGAGTAGCTAGGACTATAGGCATTTGCCACCATACTTGGCTCCAATTCATTCTATTAAGGTAGCATTATCCTGATATCAAAATCAAACCAAGATATTACAACAAAACTATAGACCAGTATCTATCATGAAAACAGACACGAAAGTCTTTAAGAAAACATGATCAAACAGAATTCAGCAATATATTAAAAGAAATATATACCACGACCAAGTGGTACTTATTCCAGAGATGCAAGGAGAGCTCAATATTTGAAAATTAATCAGCTCAATATTTGAAAATTAACCATATTAACAGGCTACAGAAAAAAAATCACATGGTCATACCAATTGATGCAGAGAAAGTGTCTGACAAAATTCAACACTGATTCATAATAAAAAAACTCTCAGACAAATAGGAACAGAGGGGAACTTCTTCAACTTGATAAAGAGCATCTACCAAACACCCCTACAGCTAACACTGTATTTACTGGTGACAAACTGAGTGACTTATCCTTAAGAACAGAAACAAGGCAAAGAATGTCCACTATCACCATTCATATACAACATAATGCTAGAAGTTCTAGCTAGTGCAATAAAGTGAGAAAAAAAGTATAGTGGCCAGGCGCAGTGGCCCACGCCTGTAATCCCAGCACTTTGGGAGGCTGAGGCCGGTGAATCACCTGGGTCAGGAGTTCAAGACCAGCCTGACTAACATGGTGAAACCCCATCTCTACTAAATACAAAAAATTAGCCAGGCGTGGTGGCGGGCACCTGTAA
Source organism: Homo sapiens (assembly GCF_000001405.40). NCBI lineage: Eukaryota > Metazoa > Chordata > Mammalia > Primates > Hominidae > Homo > Homo sapiens. Next base: position 49,506,116 of record NC_000003.12, on the reverse strand, counting down.
TCCTAGCTACTCAGGAGGCTGAGGCAGGAGAATCGCTTGAACCCAGGAGGCGGTGGTTGTAGTGAGCCGAGATCAAGCCACTGCACTCCAGCCTGGGCAACAGGAGTGAAACTCTGACTCAAAAAAAAAAAAAAAGAAAAAAAAATAGGCCGGGCGTGGTGGCTCACGCCTGTAATTCCAGCACCTTGGGGGGCCGAGGCAGGTGGATCACCTGAGGTCGGGAGTTCGAGACCAGCCTGGCCAACATGGAGAAACCCCATCTCTACTAAAAAAAAAAAATACAAAATTAGCCGGGCATGGTGGTGCATGCCCAGCTACTCAGGAGGCTGAGGCAGGAGAATTGTTTGAACCTGGGAGGTGGAGGTTGCGGTGAGCCAAGATGGCGCCATTGCACTCCAACCTGGGCAACAAGAGCGAAACTCCGTCTCAAAAAAAAAAGTTTGGCATACAGATTGGAAAAGAAAAAATAAAATTGCCCTTATTTGCAGATGACATAATTGTCTATGTAGAAAATGCCAAAGAATCCATAAGAAAACTCCTTATAGTCCTATATCAGTTCTATAATAAGTGAGTTCAACAAGGTCACAGAACACAAAAACATTCAAAAATCAATTGTATTTCTATATACTGCAACATGTGGACACCAAAATTAAAAATACAGTATCATTTAAACTATTCAAAAAAATTACTTAGGTGCAAATCTAACAAAACATGTACACAATTTGTATGCTGAAAACTATGCATACACCTGTGATCCCAGCTACGCAAGAGGCTGACGGAGGAACCCAGGAGTTTGACACCAGCCTTGGCAACATAGTAATTAAAAAAAAATAAGGGCGGGGTGCAGTGGCTCATACCTATAATCCCAACAATCTGGGAGGCTGAGGCAGAAGCATCACTTGAGCCCAGGAGTTAGAAACCAATCTGGGCAACACAGTAAGACCTCATCTCTACAAAAATTTTAAAAATTAGCCAAGTGTGGTGGCATGCAGCTGTGGCCTCAGCTATGTGGGAGGATCGCTTGAGCCCAGCAGGTCAAGGCTCAGTGAGCCACATTCACACCACTGCACTCCAGCCTGGGCAACGGAGCAAGACCCTGTCTCAAAAATAACAATAGTAATTTTAAAATTAAAAAAAAAAAAAAAGAAGAAGACTGTAATGGTGGAGGGACAGATACATAGACCAATGGAATATAATAGGGAATACAGCTGGGCACAGTGGCTCACACCTGTAATCCCAGCACTTTGGGAGGCCGAGGCGGGTGGATCACGAGGTCAGGAGATCGAGGCCATCCTGGCTAACATGGTGAAACCCCGTCTCTACTAAAAATACAAAAAAAAAAAAAAAAAAAAAAATTAGCTGGGCGTGGTAGCGGGCGCCTGTAGTCCCAGCTACTCAGCTACTGGGGAGGCTGAGGCAGGAGAATGGCATGAACCCAGGAGGCAGAGGTTGGAGTGAGCCGAGATCGTGCCACTGCACTCCAGCCTGAGCAACAGAGTGAGACTCTGTCAAAAAAAAAAAAAAAAAAAAAAAAAAAAAAAAAAAAAAAGACTGTATTGGTGGAGGGACAGATACATAGACAAATGGAATATAATAGGGAATCCAGAAATAGACATACACAAATATACCCAAGTGATTTTTGACAACAATGCAAAAGCAATTCAACGGGGAAAAAATTGCCTTTTCAACAAATGGTACAACCCAGATGTCCTTCAATGGGTGAATGATTAAACAAACTATGGTACATGCATACCATGGAATACTAATAAACAATAAAAATGAATGAACTATGGATACGCTCAACAACTTGGATGAATTTCCAAGCAATCTTGCTAAGTGAAAAAAAAAAGCCAACCCCAAAAGGTTACATACTATACTATATAGTTTCATTTTTATAACATTCTTGAATGACAAAATTATAGAAACAGAGAACTGATTAGTGGGTGCCAGAAGTTACAGAAGGGGGTCAGACTGTGAAGGAGGTAGATGTGGCTATAAAAGGACAACATAAAATATCCTGTGGCAATGGAAATGTTCTGTACCTTGACTATACCATTTCCAATATCCTGCCTGTGATATATATTGTACTATATAGTTTTGCAAGATGTTACCATGGGGGGAACTGGGTAACTGTACATAGGATCCCTCTTCTAACAACTGTGAATTCACAATTATCTCAAAAAATCTTTTAAATCTTAAGATAAATTTGAATTTGAATTTTAAATCTGACACAGTAAGACTCTGTCTCAAAAAAAAACCTTTAAATTTCTTTTTTCTTTTTTTTTTTTTGAGACAGGGTCTCACTCTGTGGCCCAGGCTGGAGTACAATGGCACAATCACAGCTCACTGCAGCCTCGACCTCCCGGGCTCACGCGATCCTCCCACCTCAGCTTCCGAAATAGCTGGGACCACAGGCATGTGCTACCACACCTGGCTATGTTTTTGTACCTGTAGAGACAGTGTCACCATGTTGCCCAGCCTGGTCTCAAAATCCTGGGCTAAAGCAATCCACCCACCTTGGCCTCTCAAACTTCTGGGATTACAAGCATGCGCCACCAGGCCTGGCCAATAATTTTTAATGACTAAAGGACACCTTAAAGAAAGAAAAAAATGGCTAACCACAGGCTGGGAAAAAGCTTTTTCAATGCATGTGATAGGTAATGAATCCTTATCAAAAAATATCAAGCAACCTAAAACAATAAAAATGGGCTGAAGATAGGAAGAACGAACCAACAAGTAATTCACAGAGAAGAAAACCTGAATAGCAGTAAACTTACAAAAAGGATGCTCAACCTTACCAATAATCAGGGAAAAGAAAATTAAAGTAACAGCAAAAACCTTTCCACACCAATCAGATGGGCCAAAATGTTCCAATGTGACACCACTGAGGGAACAGGACCACATGGCTGTTGGTGGGAGCTGTGAGCTGCCCTAGCACCCTGGAGAAGACTCACCATGTAGCTGGGCCCTTCCACTCCTAGGCACACAGACAGGAAAGTGCAAACATATATGGAGAGATGGCATACGCATGTTCACTGCAACACTGGAAAGTTAAAAACAATCCTAATGTCCATGTACTGGAAAATATATCAATAGGCTTTCATGGAATATCATGGAACTCTGTAGGACAATTAAAAAAACTAAAACAAGTATCAACATGCGTAAATCTCAGAAAGTGCTGGCCGGGCGCGGTGACTCATGCCTGTAATCCCAGCACTTTGGGAGGCCAAGGCGGGCAGATCACAAGGTCAGAAGTTCGAGACCAGCCTGGCCAACATGGTGAAACCCCGTCTGTACTAAAAATACAAAAATTAGCCAGGTGTGGTGGCGGGCGCCTGTAGTCCCAGCTACTCGGGAGGCTGAGGCAGGAGAATGGCGTGAACCCGGGAGGCGGAGCTTGTAGTGAGCCGAGATCGCACCACTGCACTCCAGCCTAGGCGACAGAGCAAGACTCCGTCTCAAAAAAAAAAAAAAAAAAGAAAGTTAAAGATGTCTTACAATTTAGCACGATATAGTTTGATTGATTCCTGTCATCAATGTGAGATAAGTAATAGGTAAAACATTGTCCTCTTTCCTCTCTACTACCTTGTTCCACACTCCAAGGCCCATGGGACCAGGTGGCTCACAGGATTTCAGACCCATTCCTCCGCAGGAACCTTCCCTCCCTGCCATCAGTAGATGGCTGGGTCACTTTTGCCCACCACAGGCTCACCAGCAATGTTAAGTGCCACACTCAGCAAAAGGGACCAAATGACCATGTACATAGATGGAGGAGCCCTATGGGCATCAGTTCCAAGAACCATTTAACTTCCAGTGATGTCTGAGGGGTCCTCCACCAGGAACTCCTTCTCAACAACCAGCAGTCCCAGTACTCTGGTGAGGGTCTTCTCCTCAGATCTCTATAAAGTGCTCCAAGTTGAAGGTTTTTCTTCAACTCTTTTCTGTGTAGTTTTTGTTTTGGTTTTTTGGTCACCCAGGCTGGAAATGGTGTAATCACAGCTCACTGCAGCCTCAACCTCTGGGCTCAAGAAAACCTCCTATCAGCCTCTCAAGTAGCTGGAACTACAGGTGTGCGCCACCACACCAGGCTAATTTGTAAATTTTGTTGAAGAGATACAGACTATATTACCCAGGCTGGTTTCAAACTCATGGGCTCAAGCAATCCTCCTGCCTTGGCCTCCCAAAGTGTTGGGAACAGGCGTGAGCCACTGTGCTTGGCCTACAGTTTTCTTTACTGTTGCATAGTGTTTTCTTTACTGGCCTTTTCCTTTCTTATGCATTTTAATCCTTTTTTTTTTTTTTGGAGAGGGAGTCTCACTCTGTCACCCGGGCTGGAGTACAGTGGCATGATCTCGGCTCACTGCAACCTCTGCCTCCCGGGTTCAAGCAATTCTCCCTGCCTCAGCCTCCCAAGTAGCTGGGACTACAAGCACCTGCCACCACGCTTGGCTAATTTTTGTATTTTTTAGTGGAGACAGAGTTTCGCCATGTTGGCCAGGCTGGTCTTGAACTCCTGACCTCGGGTGATCTGCCCACCTCGGCCTCCCAAAGTGCTGGGATTACAGGTATGAGCCACCATGCCCAGACGCATTTTAATTCTAATTTAGTAAATGGCTCAGCTCAACCAACACCCCCACAAGACTATAAGTTGTGGGAGAGCAGGGATACATCTGTTGCAATCACTAATATGTGCCCAGCACTCATCCAGTGCCAGACATACACCATACACCTAATGAATGAATGGGGAGACACAGGACCTTTTTTTCAGGTTCTTCCCATCATCTTTAGTCTTTACTTCACTTATTAGATCCAGCTGATCTTTCACTATTCCAATCTCATTCTCAATTTTAAAATTCTCAGCTTATTTAAAAACAGTCAGTTATGAGACACACCCTGCCCTACCAGGAACTTAAGCTGTCTGCTATCTGCGGACACATGACGACATGGGGTGTCTGTTTCATGGGCATGACTAAGTGCTCTGCATTTAGCAGGCAGGCGATGTTCAGGGCACAACTCCAACTACTATGTGTTGGTTTTCCATGCTCTAAGGAGAAAAATTTTTTGCAACTTGGTAATAAAACACCCTTTTGTCTTTCTGATGCTGGCTTCCTATAAGCAAGGGTCATGTCTGCCTGTGCTAGGAATCTGATAGGCTGCATCCATATACTTGTATCAGAATGTCCCTCTGGAAGTTTTTTTTACACAGTCTCATACTCATACACTCAGTCATTCAGATAGAGACGCTACAGAGATCCTCCTCCTCGTGGTTCAGAGACCAAGGTCCAAACAGAGGTAAATACTCAGTCGTGGTCACATACAGCTTGGTGGCCAGAACTTGTGGGAGAAAAGAGTGCTTGGGAACCACAGAAAGATTCTGGCAAGATTCTGGCCACAGCCACCTAGTCTTCCTGACACAGCTACCCAATTTAACACCTCACACTCATTCACATTATATCCTCTAAAAGAGAGTAGGAAGTGCTCAAGGCAGCCCAAGAACATGTCTTAGCTGGATTCACCACTGGCTGACAGGAGCTACAGAAGCTCTTTTTCGAGTAGTGGGAATGGGAACCTTATTCCTCTGTGCCAGCACCCAGTGCAGTACCCACAACTGAGTCTAAGCTCTCAGCACTGCCCCAGACCCCAGACCCTGAGACTCACTGCAGATAAACACCCTCAGCCAGAAGAACCAGAGCTAGTTGGGGTAGGGCCAGTAAGTGGCTCGCATCTGCCAATGACCAGGCACTCCCTTCCTCCCAGTTGTGATATGTGGGACTCTCAAGTGATGGGCAGAAGTAAAATGTCAGGCCAGGTAGGTGCAGTGGCTCACGCCTGTAATACCAGCACTTTGGAGGCTGAGGCGGGCAGATCACGAGGTCAGGAGTTCAAGACCAGCCCGGCCAACATGGTGAAACCCCATCTCTACTAAAAATACAAAAATTAGTCGGGCATGGTGGCGGACACCTATAATCCCAGCTACTCGGGAGGCTGAGACAGGAAAATTGCTTGAACCCGGGAAGCGGAGGCTGAGACAGGAAAATTGCTTGAACCCGGGAAGCGGAGGCTACAGTGAGCCAAGATCACACCAGTGCACTCCAGACTGGGCGACAGAGCAAGATTCTGTCTCAAAAAAAAAAAAAAAGAAGAAGAAGTAAAATGTCAAGTTATCAATAATACCTAAAAGGTAGTGACCTTTGTAGCCAAAATATATTAAAGCTACCCTAGAGGCAGGTATATTTAAAGTTTATCAGATCAGTCATCAGGGATATAACTAGGAAATCAAAAACATTATACAGTAACTGGCAAGGACACCAGGCATCCAAGGGTAAGGTTCAGCAGGTAAGGATCCCACTGGCCCCTCCCATCACCACCACCAATACCATCCCCCAGGAAGATGCAACCAAAGGATGTTGCTTGGTGGGAGGAAAGGGGAGATGCCCATGAGGAGCCAGGCCCTTATGACCCCATTCTGTCCAGACAGCCTTATGGAACAGGCGGCTCTGTTCCACTCAGGCTGCCTCCCCAGAGCTATGAGTGCCCACGCACACAGGGAACTCAGTTAATAAATGCTTTCCACTCAACAGATGTGAAGAACAAATGCACATGGGGCACCAACTCAATTTGCCATAAACTTAATGTTTCCTCATCCATAGAAAAACTCACAGTGAATGAAACTTTCAGATATATATATTTTTAAGTACCTCTGTTTTTAGTTTTAAGACAGGGTCTCACTATGTTGCCCAGGCTAGTGTGCAGTGGCTATTCACAGAAACAATTATAGCTCACCAGCCTTGAACTCCCCAGTGATCCTCCTGCCTCGGCCTCCCAAATAGGAGACTACAGGCACAGGCCACTGTACCCGGCTCTGAAACTTTCACACATCTTAACCTAAAAACTCTGAAACAACAGCTCTCTATTAGTTTTTGCTTCCCAAGAATAAAAGAAAAGTTGGGAGACTCAACCCATTATTAACCACACAAAATTTGGCAGAGGTAGCCCATCCCACCACTCCTAGGAGCCCCTACTCCCAAATAGCTACGCTACCTAAAAATAGTAGTTAAGCTGTTAAATTGCTATCATTTGCCACAGTCATTAAAACATTTAAGGAATGGCCAGGTGCAGTGGCACACACCTAGAATCCCAGTACTCTGGGAGGCCGAGGTGGGCAGATTGCTTGAGCTGAGGACTTCAAGACCAGCCTGGGCAACGTGGCAAAACCCTGTTTCTACAAAAAAGTACAAAGTTCAGCCAGGCATGGTGGCGCATGCCTGTAATCACAGCTACTTGGGAGGCTGAGGTGAATGAACTGCTTGAACCCAGGATGGTGAGATTGCAGTGAGATTACAACACTGCACTCCAGCCTGGGTGACACAGCAAGAACCTATCTCAAAAAAAAAAAATTAATTAATAATAATAATAATAAAGAAAATGGGATATTCATTTTGAAACCAGATTAAAATAATAAAATACCATGTTCCTATTTTAAATGGTTTTGGAAAACATAAAAAGCAGAAATATTAACCACTTCAGGTTCAATCTAGCAAAAATCACTTTGACAAGTTAAATATTAACTGTCAGTCCAACATTAATATAAAGTTTCTGAAAGGTTAACCAGTTTAAAACTGCTCAATATCATGGCCAACAGGATGTACTCAACACAGTGGAAAACAGTGGTGTGAAGTCATTGTTTATTTGAGCTCCAAATATTAAAAAAAAAAATGGCAAATGTCTCTGCTTCTAGTTAAAAACAGGCCTTTTTGACTCCTTGGCGTCAGATGAGAAAGGTCTGAAGTCAAGTGACTGGTGAAGATTCAAGGTATCACCCTAAAATTAAAAGTGCTCAGTTCAGGGGACAGATAGGGTTTCCCTGACATGGGACAGGTTCCTACCTAAACTGCAGGCAATGTGGAAATACCACCAGTGATATGGAGGGAGCCCCAGGACCATCAGGGAGCTGGAGGACCAACCAAAGGGAGCCAGGGTCACATATACAGCAAGAGATTTAAAGGTAAAAATACGTGGGAGAAAAAATACCACCCCTGAGAGGCAAGCACTACACATTCTATCAAACATAAAAGCTACTTTGAACACTTCTCTCACTTGGAAAATTCTTACAAATTCTCACTTATCACAGATAAACAAAGGGCAGTGGCTTCTGCTGGCGGTGGTTTGGTTTTTTCCAACAAAGACAGAAGCAAAGGTTTAAAACCTAGGTATAAATCCACCCAGGTGCAGACATGTTCTAGGGAAAGGGAAGAAAAGCAAGGTTCAAAACCCAGAACAGTCATTCTCCACTGAACCATGGCTTTTAATCTGAGTAGATTTTAACATGGTACGTAATGGGGCTCACTGAAAGAATTCCTTCTACATTCCACTGAAGTCCATACACTGCGTTAAACATTATTTATTACCGAACAGTATACTTGACTTTGAAGATGGTTAAGTTTTATATTGTGTTTTTCACAATTTAAAAAGGTGGGTTTGGGGTTATTTTTATTTTTTTTTTGAGAGACAGTCTCTCAATCTATCCCCCAGGGTGGAGTACAGTGGTACAGTAATAGCTCACTGTAACCTCAAACTCCTGGGCTCAAGTGATCCTTCTGCCTCAGCCTCCCACAACTGGGACTACTGGTTCACAGCACCATGCCTGGCTCATTTTTTAATTTTTTTTTTTTTTTTTTTTGAGACGGAGTCTTGCTCTGTCACCCAGGCTGGAGTGCATCAGCACAATCTCGGCTCACTGCAACCTCCGCCTCCTGGGTTCAAGAGCTTCTCTCGCCTCAACCTCTCCAGTAGCTGGGATTATAGGTGCCCACTATGACGTCCAGCTAATTTTTGTATTTTTAGTAGGGATGGGATTTCACCATGTTAGCCAGGCTGGTCTTGAACTCCTGATCTCAGGTGATCTACCCACCTCGGCCTCCCAAAGTGCTGGGATTATAGGTGTGAACCATCATGCTCGGCCATTTTTTAGTTTTTATTTTGTAGAGACAGGGTCTCACTATGTTGCCCAGGCTGGTCTCAAACTCCTGGTTCAAACAATCCTCCTGCCTCAGCCTCCTCTAGCACTGGGACTATAGGGACAAGCCACTACAGCCAGCCCCTAAAAAAAACATTTTTAATGGTTAAGATGGTATATTAAAATATAAGCCTGGACAACATAGTGAGACCCCCATCTCTACAAAAAAAAATTTAGGCCAGGCATAGTGGCTCACACCTATAATCCCAACACTTTGGGAGGCCGAGGTGGGTGGATCACGAGATCAAGAGATGGAGACCATCCTGGCCAACATGGTGAAACCCCATCTCTACTAAAAATACAAAAATTAGCTGGGTGTTGTGGTGCATGCCTGTAGTCCCAGCTACTCAGGAGGCTGACACAGGAGAACTGCTTGAACTTGGGAGGTAGAGGTTGCAGTGAGCCGAGATTGTGCCAAAAAAAAAAAGAAAAAAAAATTTAGGCCGGGCACAGTGGCTCATGCCTGTAATCCCAGCACTCTGGGAGGCCAAGGCAGGCGGATCACAAGGTCAGGAGTTCAAGACCAGCCTGGCCAATATGGTGAAACCCTGTCTCTACTAAAAATACAAAAAAAAATTAGCCAGGCGCAGTGGCACACGCCTGTAATCCCAGCTACTCAGGAGGCTAAGGCAGCAGAATTGCTTGAACCTGGGAGGTGGAGGTTGTGGTGAGCCGAGATCGCGCCACTGCACTCCAGTCTGGGCGACAGAGTGAGACTCCATCTCAAAAAAAAAAAAAAAAAAAAAAGTTAAAAATTTAAAAAATTGGCCAAGTACGTAGGCATGGACCTGTAGTCCCAGCTACTTGGCCTGAGGTGGGAGGACTGCTTGAGCCTGGGAGGTTGAGGCTGCCATGAGCCATGACTCCACCACTGTGCTCCAGCCTGGGTGACAAAGCAAAATAAATAAATAAATACACCATCTTTATGTTATGTATATTTTGCCACAATATTTTAGAAAACATTACTTAGTTACACCAATTAGACTTCAGAAGAAAATACTTTAGGAGGCTTTTAGGGGCATATCCCCGTGATGACATGGTCCAGTACTTTAATCACCAGTGCCCAGGTAAGACACTGAAGACAGAAAAGGATAAACTGAGGCCAAAGATAAGGACCAGGCCAAACCATCCATTTGGGGTTTTTTTTTTTCTGTTTTTTTGTTTTTGTTTTTGTTTTTTTGAGACGGAGTCTCGCTCTGTCGCCCAGGCTGGAGTGCAAGTGGCACGATCTCGGCTCACTGCAAACTCTGCCTTCCGGGTTCAAGCAATTCTCCTGCCTCAGCCTCCTGAGTAGCTGGGGTTACAGGTGCCTGCCACCACGCCCAGCTAATTTTTGTATTTGTAGTACAGACAGGGTTTCACCGTATTGGCCAGGCTGGTCTCGAACTCCTGACATTGTGATCCGCTCGCCTCAGCCTCCCAAAGTGCTGGGATTACAGGCATGAGCCACTGTGCCCGGCCCTAACTGTCCATTTGGCTGCAGCAGCTAGAGTAGGAGGTGGAGAGGTGGTGGGGGAATAAGTCTGAGAGGTGGGTGGCCAGCCTCAGCAGAATCCAAGTGGGAATGAATTACCACACCCTTGCACCCGCGTTGCATCAAAAAATGCAATTAAAGCAAACTACAATTCTCTGAAGACAGCCCAACAATTAACACTTCAGCACATGTTTACCAACTACCTACCCTGTGCTAGGTGTGAGGCTTTATTTGCTATAGATGCAGTCTTTCCAAGTTTCACACAAAAATATTCAATTAAGATTTATATACATTACTAAATCAGGAAACACAAGTGGTAACAAACCAAGTATTTATACTAATACATTATAAACAGACATTTTCCAAGTGCTTACTCTAATAGAAACTGAAAGTTGCCTTCTGACTTCCCCAAACTCCCCCTGGCTATCCCATCCCCTCACCAACTCAGTACAAAGGTACAGTGGGGCTACCCTGTGGGGGCTGGATGATCAGTGTCTACTGGGGGTCAAGGCTGGATGCCAATGGTTCCCTTGAGAGAAAAGGGGGAGAAGAGGTCCACTGCAGGGGTCTTGACAGCATTGACTCTGCTGCTTTCTCTCCCAGTAGATGCCTGGCACCAAGCAGGTACTCAGCAGATGCCCACAGAGTACAGGAAAGGAAATTCCACTAAATCCCCTAAATAATTCCCCAAGCAGCCAAGCGCCGGTGGCTCACACCTGTAATCCCAGCACTTTGGGAGGCTGAGGCGGGTGGATCACAAGGTCAAGAGATCGAGACCATCCTGGCTAACATGGTGAAACCCCGTCTCTACTAAAAATACAAAAATTAGCTGGGCGTGGTGGCAGGCACCTGTAGTCCCAGCTACTCGGGAAGCTGAGGCAGGAGAATCGTTTGAACCTGTGAGGCGGAGGTTGCAGTGAGCCAAGATCACGCCACTGCACTCCAGCCTGGATGACAGTGCAAGACTCTGTCTCCAAAAAAAAAAAAATAATAATAATAATTCACCAAGCATAAAGGCAATGATCACTTGATTTCACACTTTGAAGTTCAATGCTGAGCTTTCTGGTATTTTTTCCATTACACTACGAAAGATTAAAAATAAGTGCCATAGCTCAAAATTAATATGCTAATCTAGCAATGATGAATTAAATTTAGAAAAAGTGTGCTGGCTGGTGGCCTTTCTGACCTAATTGGCCAATTAGACTCCAAAACAGAGGAGTGAGGCGAAATGTCAGGGAAGCTCCAGGCAACCCAGCCCTTGACCCTGCCAGCAGCCCCTGTAATAAAGGCCTGGGACCCTAAGCACAATGCCTCAGGAGCCAAACAGGTATGTGGGAATTCTGGCATATTCACTGCAGAATATTTATCTAGGCAAATGCTTCAATCTTCAGTGTTTAAAGTGGTGACTTGCTTTTAGCCACATTCTTGTTTTTGGCTACATTCTTAATGCTCAACCATCAAAAATATTTCACCCATGCCAGGAACTGCCATATCAACACACTGTGTTTATAAAAGAACAAGACAAAACTACCACCCACTCCCTTTGCTCAGGTTTTCCTTCCTGCTAACAGAATTCCTTCCCTCCCACAGATGGTTCTAATTGGCCCTTTTACCTGCTTCAGCCTTGCCACAGCTACAAATTCTAAAAAATCACAAACTTCTCTGACGTACTTCCAAAAGCTAGAGCAGAAGAGCCAAAAGACATTCTTCCATTCTCGCAATCCCTGCTCTGCAAAGCTACAGCCATTCTATGACCAGTGAAATGGTGGGCCAGGCCAACACTATGGACAGGGATGCCCACCACATCTGACTTCAGAATCAGGCTTGCATAGAGGTGCATCAGAAAGCACCAGTTCCCAGTGACCTGGTGAACGCAAGGCTCCTGGGCTAGGCCCCACTAGCTCCCACATTGCTGGCCTTCCCCAGCAAAGGATGTTGGGCTGCTTGTTAAAGACCACAGCACATACCTGGAGATATGTCCAGTTCAGGCTCTTCTATACAAAGTAAAATCAAGTAAATCCATTACTCTCAAGCGCTTTCCTCCTCCTCAAAACTTCAAGGGATCCTCAGAGGCTGTCAGCCACACAGAATTTACACCCAGATTAACAAGACTGAAGAAATCCTTAAAGATGCCCTTGCTCTCAGCTTCTTCTGTCTCCATCTCTTTTCTGTGATCTTTGATCATTCTCTCAGCACACAGGAAAAAGTGGGATTCCATTCCATACTAATTATTTGGAAATTAATTCTTGCATTTTAGAACCCAAGGATTAAAAATGAAAAGCAGGCAAGGCACAGTGGTTCATGCCTGTAATCCTAGCACTTTGGTAGGCTAAGGTTGATGGATTGCTTGAGCCCAGGAGTTTGAAATCAGCCTGGGCAACACAGGGAGACTCTGTCTCTACAAAATATGAAAAAATTGGCTGAGTGTGGTGACGCATGCCTATAATCTGAGCTACTCAGCTACTGAGGTGGGAGGATCGCTTGAGCCTGGGAGGTTGAGGTTGCAGTGAGCCATGATCATGCCACTGCACTCCCGCCTGGGTGACTGAGCAAGACCCTGTCGTCTCAAAAAAAAAAAAAAAAAAAAAAAGAATAAAAATAATGATTTGCACAAAGATGGGAAAGAAATTCTGCAGGGCATTTATGTGCTCACATTAGAAGCCAACTGAAGATACATGAGAAATGAAGATAAAGCATCTGAAGAATTAAGCTGTGGGTTGGTGGGATCTCCATCCGCCTGAACTGTAGGAGTCAATCCATGCCTGAGTAGCCCAACCTGGAAATTCAGGAGATCCCAGGGCTATCTGGAAGAAGAACACACCTTCCATGCATCAGCAGATTAAGGCCACCACTGAAAAGTACCTTGGAGCTGCTACTCCACCTCCCCATCCAGTACTTAAAAATATATAAATTATAACAGCACCCTTTTGATAAGATGGAAGATCTCCTGCATTTATCTCTTTTTAAATTTTCCTTTAAAGATGCAGGGTCTCACTCTGTTACCTGGGCTGGAGTGCAATGACACGATGATGGCTCACTGCAGCCTCACCCTCCCAGGCTCAATTGATCCTCCTACCTCAGCCTCCCAAATAGCTGGGATTACAAACATGGCACCACCACACTTGGCTAATTTTTTATCTTTTGTAGAGATGGGGCCTTACCACGTTGCCCAGGCTGGTCTCAAATTCCTAGGCTCAAGCAATTCTCCCACCTCAGCCTCCTAAAATGCTGGGATTACAGGCATAAACCACCACATCCAGTCCAAATCATTATTTCAACTGGCAGCTAACTACTTAAAGGTCTTATTTTGTAAATAAAACATTTATTTTATGTATTGTTATGTATCTGTCCAGTGAATCTTAAATCAAAAGTTCTGTGGTCTTAAGAATAGACTTGGAGCCAGGCGGGGTACGGTGGCTCACGCCTGTAATCCCAGCACTTTAGGAGGCCAAGGCAGGCAGATCACAAGGCCAGGAGTTCGAGAACAGCCTGACCAACATGGTGAAACCCTGTCTCTACTAAAAATACAAAAATTAGCTGGGCTTGGTGGCCCATGCCTATAATCCCAGTTATTCAGGAGGCTGAGGCAGAAGAATTGCTTGAACCCGGGAGGCAGAGGTCGCAGGGAGCCGAGATCTCACCACTGCACTCCAGCCTGGGCAACAAAGTGAGACTCCGTCTCAAAAAAAAAAAAAAGAATAGACTTGGGGCCAGGCGAGGCAGCTCACGCCTGTAATCCCAGTACTCTGGGAGGCCAAGGCGGGAGGATCACTTGAGGTCAGGAGTTTGAGACCAGACTGGCCAATGTGGCGAAACCCCGTCTCTACTAAAAATACAAAAATAGCAGGACAGGCCGGGCGCGGTGGCTCACGCCTGTAATCCTAGCACTTTGGGAGGCCGACGCGGGCGGATCACGAGGTCAGGAGATCGAGACCATCCTGACTAACACAGTGAAACCACATCTCTACTAAAAATACAAAAAATTAGCCAGGCGTGTTGGCGGACGCCTGCAGTCCCAGCTACTTGGGAGGCTGAGGCAGGAGAATGGCGTGAACCCGGGAGGCAGAGCTTGCAGTGAGCAAGATCGCGCCACTGCACTCCAGCCTGGGCAACATAGCAAGACTCCGTCTCAAAAAAAAGAAAAAAAAAATAGCAGGACATAGTGGCAGGTGCCTATGATCCCTGCTACTTGGGAGGCTGAGGCAGGAGAACTGCTTGACCCAGGAGGCAGAGGCTGCAGTGAGCCAAAAACACGCCACTGCATTCCAACCTGGGCGAAAGAATGAGACTCTGTCTCAAAAAAAAAAAAAACAACTTGGCTGGGAGCGGTGGCTCATACCTGTAATCCCAGCATTTCGGGAGGCTGAGGCAGGAGGATCACTTAAACCCAGGAGTTTGAGACCAGCCCCGGCAACATAGTGGGACCCCATCTCTATTAAAAATAGAAAAAAATGCCAGGCGTGGTGGCTCACGCCTGTACTTTGGAAGGCTGAGGCAGGCGGACCACCTGGGTCAGGAGTTCGAGACCAGCCTGGCCAACATGGCGAAACCTGTCTCTACTAAAGTACAAAAATTAGCCAGGCGTAGTAGTGCGCGCCTGTAGTCCCAGCTACTCAGGGAGATTGTGGCAGGAAAATCGCTTGAACCTGGGAGGCAGAAGTTGCAGTGAGCCAAGATCGTGCCACTGCACTCCAACCAAGACAACAGAGTGAGACTCCGTCTCAAAAAAAAAAAAAAAAAAAAAAAGAATTTAGGAGTAGGCCAGGTTGTGGCTCATGTCTGTAATCCCAGCACTTTGGGAGGCTGAGAAGGGCAGATAGCTTGCACTGATGAGTTTGAGACCAGCCTGGGCAACATGGTGAAACCCCATCTCTACAAAAAAATACAAAATTAGGCCAGCATGGTAGCCTGCACCTGCAGTCTCAGCTACTCGGGAGGCTAAGGCAGGAAGATCGCTCAAGCTTGGGAGGCGGAGGTGGCAATAAGCCAAGATCTCATCACTGCACTCCAACCTAGGTGACAGAGCAAGACCCTGTCCCAAAAAAAAAAAATAAAAGAATAAAAAAATTAGGAATAAAGAGGCATGATTTCTGTCAATTACTCATAGATGGTTCAGAAAAAAAGGTATAGATAGAAAAGAGAATGACAGAGCAAACACAGCAAAATGCAAACAAATGGTGACTCTAGATGGAGTATTTGGGAGTTTCTTGAATTATTCTTGCAATTTTTCTGTAAATTTAAAGTTATATAAAAAAAAAAAACTTTTTTTTTTTTGAGACAGAGTCTCACTCTGTCGCCCAGGCTAGAGGGCAGTGGCGCGATCTCGGCTCACTGCAAGCTCCACCTCCCGGGTCCACATCATTCTCCTGCCTCAGCCGCCCAAGTAGCTGGGACTACAGGTACCTGCCACCACACCTCAGTAATTTTTTCTATTTTTAGTAGAGACGGGGTTTCACCGTGTTAGCCAGGATAGTCTCGATCTCCTGACCTCGTGATCCGTCTGCCTCGGCCTCCCAAAGTGCTGGGATTACAGGCGTAAGCCACCGCGCCCAGCCAAAATGGAAAAAAACAAGTGGTAAGAGAAAGGAACACGGGTCATGGTCCAAGCCCCCTCTCAGGACGTCCATGCCAAAGCAGGTGTATGTACCAACAATTGTGAAGCAGTCAGCAGGTAAGCTCTGTAATCTGTGACAGCTATATAACCCTCCCCCTACCCCACCCCACTTACCTCAAACCCCAGCGCTTTGTCCAGTAGGAATCTGGATTCCAGGCACTAATCCCCCAGACAGCATGATTCAAAACACATACCCCACCAGGTCCCAAGCCCTCCCAAGTTTACGAAGGGAAGTGAGGATACTTTAAAAGCATTTTCCTCTAGAAACATTACAAACACAAAATATACAAAAAAAGGATTTTGTTTTAAAAGTGACTTGGGTTATAATGGAAGAAAATGTCACACTAGGGCCCAAAATTACTACATTGAGCTATGTTTTCTTAAGATTAAAAATAGATTCTATCTTCCCTTCCCAGGAACCTTCCCTCCTAGAGGAAAAAAAACCCAAATCAGATCATTACCAAGTTAAGAGGTCCCAGAGCTAAGGGCAAAATGTGGGCACGCTGCATCCAGTGTTTCCCAGTATCCGATTCCCTACTATTGGTTCCCAGTCTATCTCACAATGATGTCATCAACTATCTGGTCCTCCCCTTTGACTTAATGCAATAAAAGTAATTCAAGGGCCAGGCACGGTGGCTCACACCTGTAATCCCAGCACTACTGGAGGCAGAGGTGGGCAGATCACCTGAGGTCGGGAGTTCGAGACCAGCCCGACCAACATGGAGAAACCCCTTTTCTACTGAAAATACAAAATTAGCCAGGCGTGGTGGCACATGCCTGTAATCCCAGCTATTCGGGAGGCTGAGGCAGAATCGCTTGAATCCGGGAGGCAGAGGTTGCGGTGAGCCAAGATCACGCCATTGCACTCCAGCCTGGGCAACAAGAGCAAAACTGTGTCTCAAAAAAAAAAAAAAGGTAATTCACATGGAGGTAAAATAAATTCCAACACCACACTAGGACACAAATGAAAAGCAGGTCTCCTTCCCAGGTCCTCAGGTGAGCAGACTGAGTTTCTTCAGTAGCTCTCCACAAATGACACATTGAATGTATATCTCTAAACACATAAACAAGCACATCTCTTTTAATTTCATTCTTAAAGTTCAAATGAAATCAAATTCTTCAAAACTGTTCCTTTTTTGCCGGGCGCAGTGGCTCACACCTGGCAAGCAGATCATAAGGTCAGGAGTTCAAGGCCAGCCTGGCCAACATGGTGAAACCCCGTCTCTATTAAAAATATAAAAAATTAGATGGTCATAGTGGCACGCACCTGTAATCCCAGCTACTCAGGAAGCTGAGGCAGGGGAATCGCTTGACCCTGGGAAGCAAAGGTTTCAGTGAGCCAAGACCGCGCCACTGCACTCCAGCATGGGAGACAGAATGAGAATCCCTATCAAAAAAAAATAAATAAATAACCGTTCCTTTTTCTAATTTAGCAGAACTGAGAGACCTCAGCCCCAGTGGGTAGATCCTTCTTCTCATTCACCCCTATTGTGTGTGGCACATCTAAATGTCTAAGTATCTTGCATATCTTGCTCTCCAGGGTGTTCTCACACTCATCCTTGCATTCTTCTTAGAACATATCTAAGGATATAATCCTAGATGTGGAATTGCTGGGTCAAAGGATATGTACATTGGAATTGTTAGATTTGGCAAAATGTCCTTCAATTTACACCCTCACCTAAAGATACAAACGACTTTTCTCTTATTTTCACTAACATTTAAGTATTGTCAAACTCTTTCATTAATAACATAAGATGGAAGAGGAAGGAGGTGGGGCAGTTTGAAACAACATGAGACAGCAGTTTGCCCTGCCCTTATTGTTTGATTAATGGGCATGGTGGGCAGCAGGTGTCATAAATTCAATCTGGGAGTAATGGTACTTAATAGTTAGCCAGAATGATAATACAGGAGGGTGAGCATCTAGACAACTAATGAATCAAAACATGATGCTATGTTTTTCTAGTAAAACTTGAGTACCTCAGGAAAATTGCTATCAAGAATTTATGGGGCTGGCCGGGCGTGGTGGCTCACGTCTGAATTCCCAGCACTTTGGGAAGCCGAGGCGGGCAGATCACGAGGTCAGGAGATCGAGACCATCCTGGCTAACATGGTGAAACCCCGTCTCTATGAAAAACACAAAAAATTAGCCGTGTATGGTGGCGGGAGCCTGTTGTAGTCCCAGCTAATGGGGAGGCCGAGGCAGGAGAATCGCTTGAACCCGGGAGGCGGAGGTTGCAGTGAGCCGAGATCACGCCACTGCACTCCAGCCTGGGTGACAGAGCACGATCCCATCTCAAACAAAAAAAAAAAAAAAAAAAAAGAATGTATGGGGCTAATTACTCCAAATAATAACAAATATGTAGTACTGTTGTTGATTCCATGTGGTTTCCTCCCAGGTATCTCTCTGAACCAAGGCACCTCCTGGGCCAACCCCAGAAGAACTCAGGGCTCAGGGGTAGTGAGAACACAGATACAAGTGCTGAGCACATGAAGGGCAGAAGAGGGAAGCTAGAGAGTAACTTTGGTTCTCAAGTCTAACCTTTATATTGTAGTTTCACTGTTCTGGAAAACATTAACATTTTCTAAATTCATATTACCAAATTTAAGTTTGTTGCCTGTTGTCCTACTGAAGACAGGGTCTGGGAGGAATGCAGGAGCCCAGCTGTTCTGTAGCTTGCACCCTCCAGGGTCTTGACGTACTGGGGGAAGAACCGTCTGTCCTAGGCCAGTGCAGCCATCTGGGATAGACAGTCGTGTGCCTAGGCAAAGAGGAAGAACCCCATCTCTACAAAAAATACAAAATTCTCAATAATTAAAACATCAGGCCGGGCACGGTGGCTCATACCTGTAATCCCAGCACTTTGGGAGGCCAAGGCAGGTGGATTGCTTGAGCAATCCAGGAGTTCGAGATCAGTCTGGGCAACACAGAGAAACCCCATTACTACTAAAAATACAAAAATTAGCCAGGCATGGCACACGCCTGTAATCCCAGCTACTGGTTAGGCTGAGACAGGAAAATCACTTCAACCTGGGAGGCAGAGGATCCAGTGAGCCAAGATCACACCACTGCACTCCAGCCTGGGCAACAGAGCGAGACTGAATCTCAAAAACAAAGCAAAACAAAACAAACAAAAAAAATCAAATACTATATATCTAACAGTTCACTCTTAGGTATATACCCAGAAGACACCGTCAAGAATATTCATATCAGGCTGAGCGCAGTGTCTCACGCCTGTAATCCCAACACTTTGGGAGGCTGAGGTGGGCAGATCACCCGAGGTCAGGAGTTCGAGACCAGCCTGGCCAACAGGGTGAAACCCTGTCTCTACTAAAAATATAAAAATTAGCCAGGCGTGGTGATGCACACCTGTAATCCCAGCTACTTGGGAGGCTGAGTTAGGAGAATCACTTGAACCCACGAGGTGGAGCTTGCAGTGAGCCGAGATCATGCCACTACACTCCAGAGTGAGACTCTGTCTCAAAAAAAAGAAAAAGGGCCGGGCGCGGTGGCTCACGCCTGTAATCCCAGCACTTCAGGATACTGAGGCAGGAGGATCACAAGGTCAGGAGATCGAGACCATCCTGGCTAACACGGTGAAACCCTGTCTCTACTAAAAATACAAAAAATTAGCCGGGCGTGGTGGCATGCGCCTATAGTCCCAGCTACCAGGGAGGCTGAGGCAGGAGAATGGCGTGAACCTGGGAGGCGGAGCTTGCAGTGAGCCGAGATAGTACCACTGCACTCCAGTCTGGGCGACAGAGCAAGACTCCGTCTCAAAAAATAAATAAATAAATAAATAAATAAATAAATAAATAAATAAATAAAAGAAAAAGAAAATAGTGGTATAAATCTCTCTTGCAGAACATTCAGCCCTCCCCTCACCACCCTGGCTTCTGCTGGCAGTCTGACACCACTCCTACAGGCAGTTCCAGAGCAGTGCCTCCCCAGGCCTCTCCCAGAGCACAGCCCATGCCTCCCTGACTCTGGAATTCCTTACATTCTCCTCCTAAAGGACAACCCTCAGAAAGCTTGGATTCAAAACAAGAAAACAGGCTGGGCATGGTGGTTCACACCTGTAATCCCACCACTTTGGAAGGTTGAGATGAGAGGATCACCTGAGGCTAGGAGTTTGAGACTAGCCTGGGCAACATAACAAGACCATGTATCTACAAAAGGAAAAAAAAATAGGCTGGCATGGTGGCACATGCCTGTAGTTCCAGCTTTGCAGAAGGCTGAGGCAGGAGGATTGCTTAAGCCCAGGAATTCAGACTGCAGTGAGCCATGATCATGCCACTGCACTCTAGCTTGGGTGACAGAGTGAGACCTTGTCTCAAAAAAAAAAAAAAAAAAAAAAGAAAGAAAACAAAAACAAAACCTGATCTACCACATTAGGTCTAAGCAACCTAAGTAGACATAAAGATGAAAAATCTGAATTTGGCTTCAAAATTATTTATTTACAAAAATGAAATTAAATGTGAAATAATAGCAAAACAAACAAAAGTACCACAGGCACATGTTAAGTGTCCCAGTACTAGAGAAAGGCTTGATAAATTCTGGTATATTACATGACATTTCTAGGGCAACTTCCACCTCAAAGACTCAGGCCACGGTTTCAGGGTCATTACAACAAAGATAAAGGCCAGACACAACAAAGGCCTTTTGTCTCCAAAAGGTTGCAGTGAGCCAAGATCGCACCACTGCACTCCAGCCTGGGCGACAGAACAACACTCCGTCCTTGGCCGGGTGCGGTGGCTCACGCCTGTAATCCCAGCACTTTGGGAGCCTGAGGCGGGCAGATCACGAGGTCAGGAGATCAAGACCACGGTGAAACCCCATCTCTACTAAAAATACAAAAAAATTAGCCAGGCGTGGTGGCAGATGCCTGTAGTCCCAGCTACTCCGGAGGCTGAGGCAGGAGAATGGCATGAACCCGGGAGGCGGAGCTTGCAGTGAGCCGAGATTAAGCTACTGCACTCCAGCCTGGGCGACAGAGCGAGACTCCGTCTCAAATAAAATAAAATAAAATAATAACAATAAAAATACAAAAATTAGCCCAATGTGGTGGCGCGCATCTGTAATCCCAGCTACTCGGGAGGCTGAGGCAGGAGAATTGCTTGAACCTGGGAGGCGGAGGTTGCAGTGAGCAGAGATCGTGCCATTGCACTCCAGGCTGGGTGACAAGAGCAAGACTCCGTCTCAAAAAAAAAAAAAAAAGCAGCAATGGCTTCCTGAGCTCCCAACCCCTTGGCACCCAGTGACCACAGCAAACTGGGCACAGAGACCACAGTAAGCCTGACACTGAGGCAGAGGACTGTGCCTTTGGGTACAGCCCACAATGGACCCCATTCTTCCTGGAAGCCCATAGCAGGATGGAAGTGAGGAGGCCAGGACATTCCTCCACCCCCTCACACAGATGTAAAGGGCACAGGCAGCTCAGGGCAGCAGAGCCCTCCACAGGAAGAAAGCATACGGAGCCATTTTTATCTTCAGCTATTAGAATCAAAAGGAGACTCTCTTCTCCAAAATAACAGAGGTACCATCTGATTAAATCAGGTAATCAGGTGGCCTACATAGGATATCCCTCTCTAGTCAGCAAAGTCCAACTAGAAGGGAAAAAGGCTCAGGGCTCTGAAGAGACAGGGGTCCCCACAGGACCTGTCAGGTTAGGGCTGGCACTACAAGCAGAAGAACCAACGTCTCCTGCTAAGATTTCTCCCCTACATGAAAGAATCTGGTCACTTTCTAACTACTTTTAAAATTGGAAAAAGCACATCCTCAGACTTGCAAACACAATGTTTTAGGACCATACTGTTGACCCTTCTGACAAAATATTATTCTATTTTCTAGGTAAGCAAACGCAACAGCTGGTAGCACAAACCCAAAGCAGAAGAGAGTCAGACAGGAATCCTACTGTTATCTATTTGTGACTTTAATGAATTCTATTTTTAGGTCTTTAATAAAGAGCCTCTCTTCTACTCTCTTCCTACCAAATTTCTCCACTCAGGCAATTCAATCGTTCCAACACTGCTCAAAAGTCTAAAAATATAAGACACTTCTGGGCCGGGTGTGGTGGCTCACGCCTGTAATCCCAACACTTTGGGAGGCTGAGGCAGGAGGATCCAGCCTGGGCAACATAGCCAAGACCACATCGCTACAAAAAAATTTAAAAATTAGCTGGGCATAGTGGCACGTGCTAGTAGTCCCAGCTACTCAGGAGGCTGAGGTGGGAGGATTGCTTGACCCTAGGAGGTCAAGACTGAAGTGAGCTATGATTATGCCACCACACTCCAGGTAGGCAACAGGGCAAGACCCTGCCTCTCAAAAAACAAAGAAAACACAATTTCTTCAATCATACCTCACATAAGAGGTAGAACTTACTCATTTTCTCCAAGACTTAGAATCCAGTCCCTGCTCAAGGGCTACTCATCAGACTGGTCTCCAATATAAAAAATCCTAGACGGCAACGTATCCCTGACCTCTGGCAGATTGGACACAGAGGTGACCTACAGTCCAGGCATGGTGGCTCACGCCTGTAATCCCAGCACTTTAGAAGGCCGAGGCAGGCAGATCATCTGAGGTCGCAGTTTGAGACCAGCCTGACCAACATGAAGAATCCCCATCTCTACTAAAAATACAAAAATTAGCCAGGTGTGGTGGCGCATGGTGTATCATTCCAGCTACTTGGGAGGCTGTGGCAGGAGAATCACTTGAATCTGGGAGGCAGAGGTTGCAGTGAGCTGAGATCACGCCACTGCACTCCAGCCTGGGCAACAAGACTAAAACTGTCTCAAAAGAAAAAAAAAAAAAAAAAGATGACCTACCAGCCCAAGCAGGAGTGTTTACAGGACATTTACAGTAATCACATGCATGTTTTATGGAAATATTCCATAGTAAAATCAGGGCCCAGAAAATGGATGTTATCCCAGGTTCTGATTAATAGCCAAATAAAAAGGAAATCTTATTTGGAATTCCATTATTGACTGGATCATTTTTCTTGGCAAAAGCTAGCTAGAGAATCAATCTATCCCTGGAGAACAACTGAGCTAATTAACAGAGGTGTTTATGACAACCAAGGCAGAACTGGTTCACTTCTGCCCTAGACAGCCTTGGGAATCTTAAGTAAATCTCCCATCAACCCCTAGGATGCCTGGGGGGGAAATCTTCACAGCACAGTGAAAAGGCTAAACACAGATACCTACAAAATCAAAAGAATTTGATTCCAATTCCACTACTTTGTTTTAATACATTTACAAACTCTTCCCTCGGTATCCATGAGGGATTGGTTCCAGGATATCAAAATCCACAAGTGCTCAAGTCCCTTATATAAAATGGTGTAATATTTGCATCATAATAAGGACAAAAACATGTAAGCAATAGAATCTACGTCATAATTAAGTTTAAGGGAAGGTACTGTGACTGGATGGACGTACACATAAGCCAGATTTATGTTTCTCTCCACCCAAACATCTCAGTGGAGTAAAGAATAACAAGGCAGCATTGCTGCAAACATGTCTCGCCTCCCCCCATAGGGCAGTTTTTCTCCTATCTCAGAATTGAACAAATGTACAATCAGGTTTTACACGGAGACATTCAGTTCCCAAGGGCAGGCAGGAGACAGTGGCCTTCCTCTATCTCAACTGCAAGCGGCTTTCCTCTTTTACTAATCCACCTCAGCATAGACCCTTTACAGGTGTCGGGCTGGGGGAAGGTCAGGTCTTTCTCATTCCACGAGGCTATATTTCAGACTATCACATGGGGAGAAACCTTGGACAATACCCCGCTTTCAAGAGCAGAGGTCCCTGTGGTTTTCCGCAATGCACTGTGTCCCCAGTTTATTGAGACTAGAGAATAGCGATGACTTTTACCAAGTATACTGCTTGTAAACATTTTGTTAACAAGGCACGTCCTGCACAGCCCTGGATCCCTTAAACATCTTCCTGTATACTTTAAACATCCCTGGATTACTTATAACACATAATACAATGTAAATGGTATGAAAATAGTTGTTCTAACATTTAGGAAATGATGACGATGATAAAAGTTTATTCATGTTTCATACGGACGCAACCATCCTTTTTTCCCAAATATTTTCAATCCATAGTTGGAGGAATCCACAGATGTGGAACCTATAGATACAGAAAACTGTGTACCGATTAGGAGAAAGAACTCTATAAGAGGTGCTTGTTTGTAGATTCTCATACCTCATATACAAAAACAACATCTATAGAAATGAAGAGTAAATGCCAAAACAGGGAATCAAGCTGGGCACTGGCTACTGTTTCCCTGAATACGACATATCCTTCCAAGTGCTTCATTCATCCTTGAGCTCCCCACAACTGGCACACTCCCCTATACTTAGGGTATCCAAGGGCCATGACTGCCTCAGCAAGAATGAATCTGTGGCTCCTCATGTCCCCAAGGGCAGGGAACACTGAGACTAGGTCTCCACATGGCTATAAAAATCACAAATCCATGCAAGTCACAGAAAAGGGACTACAGAAAACGTGCACAATACTTAAAAATAAAAATCAGTACAAATCTGCCTTACTTGACATTGATAAATGTGCTTCTACAAAACTGTAAATCACAATTCACTTTTTTTTTTTTTTTTTTTTGAGGCAGAGTCTCACTCTGTCGCCCAGGCTGGAGTGCAATGGCACTATCTCAGCTCACTGCAAGCTCTGCCTTCCAGGTTCACGCCATTCTCCTGCCTCGGCCTCCAGAGTAGCTGGGACTACAGGCGCCTAACACTACGCCCGGCTAATTTTTTTTTTTTTTGTATTTTTAGTAGAGACGGGGTTTCACCATGTTAGCCAGGACGGTCTCCATCTCCTGACCTTGTGATCCGCCCGCCTCAGCCTCCCAAAGTGCTGGGATTACAGGCGTAAGCCACTGCGCCCGGCCACAATTCACTTCTTATGATACAAAAAACTTTTAAAAAACTTTATGCAGGCCGGGCGTGGTGGCTCACGCCTGTAATCCCAGCACTTTGGGAGGCCGAAGCGGGCGGATCACGAGGTCAGGAGATCGAGACCGTCCTGGCTAACAGGGTGAAACCCCCTCTCTACTAAAAATACAAAAAATTATCCAGGTGTGGCTACAGGCAACTGTAGTCCCAGCTACTCGGGAGGCTGAGGCAGAAGAATGGCGTGAACCCGGGAGGCGGAGCTTGCAGTGAGCCGAGATCGTGCCACTGCACTCCAGCCTGGGTGACAGAGCGAGACTCCGTCTCAAAAAAAAAAAAAAAAAAAAAACTTTATGCAGAGATGTTAATTGCAACATTATCTATTACAACCAAAGTAAGAAATAACCTCCTTCCTGTAGGAAATAGCTAAAACAAATAATAAGAAGAAAAACAAAAAAAAAGAACCAAACTGTCTAAGAATTAGGGACAGATTAACCATTAGAAATGTTATATGCGCCGGACGCAGTGGCTCACGCCTGTAATCCCAGCTCTTTGGGAGGCCAAGGCGGGCGGATCACGAGGTCAGGAGATCGAGACCTTTCTGGCTAACAGGTCTCCTGGCTAACACAGTGAAACCCCGTCTCTACTAAAAAAATACAAAAAATTAGCCGGGCGTGGTGGCAGGCACCTGTAGTCCCAGCTACTCGGGAGGCTGAGGCAGGAGAATGGTGTGAACCCAGGAGACGGAACTTGCAGTGAGCCGAGATCGCGCCACTGCACTCCAGCCTGGGCGATAGAGCGAGACTCCGTCCGTCTCCCAAAAAAAAAAAAAAAAAAAAGAAATGTTATATTCATGACCAGGCACAGTGGCTCACGCCTGTAATCCCAGCACTTTGGGGGGCCAAGGCAGGTGGATTACGAGGTCAGGAGTTCGAGACCAGCCTGACCAACATACTGAAACCCAGCCTCTACTAAAAAAAAAAAAAAAAAATAGCCGGGTGTGGTGGTGCGCACCTGTAATCCCAGCTACTCAGGATGCTGAGGCGGGAGAATCGATTGAACCCGGGAGGCAGAGGTTGCAGTGAGCAGAGATCGAGCCACTGCACTCCAGCCTGGGTGACAGAGCGAGACTCAGTCTCAAAAAAAAAAAAAAAGAATGTTATATTCAGGCTGGCGCGGGGGCTCACGCCTGTAATCCCAGCACTCTGGGGGGCCGAGGCAGGTGGATCACGAGGTCAGGAGTTCGAGACCAGCCTGACCAACACACTGAAACCCCGTCTCTACTAAAAATACAAAAAAAAATTAGCCGGGTGTGGTGGTGCGCGCCTGTAATGCCAGCTACTCAGGATGCTGAGGCAGGAGAATCAATTGAACCCAGGAGGCGGAGGTTGCAGTGAGCAGAGATCGAGCCACTGCACTCCAGCCCAGGTGACAGAGGGAGACTCGGTCTCAAAAAAAAAAAAAAAAAAAAAAAAAAAGAAATGTTATATTCAGGCCGGCGCAGGGGCCTGAATCCCACGCCTGTAATCCCAGCACTTTGGGAGATCAAGACGGACGGGATCACCTGAGTTCAGTTCGAGACCAGCTTGGCCAACATGGTGAAACCCAGTCTCTACTGAATATATAAAAATTAGCTGGGTGTGGTGGCACGCACTTGTCGTCTCAGCTACTCAGGAGGCTGAGATAGGAGAATCACTTGAATCCAGGAGGTGGAGGTTGCAGTGAGCAGAGATCGAGCCACTGCACTCCAGCCTGGGCAACAGAGAGAGACTCTGTCTCAAAAAAAAAAAAAAATCTATACTCAAACTTGGTAAGAACACTGCCAAGGGCCATCTCTGGAGGAGACCCCAGGAATCAGGGGGGATCACAACTGTCTCTGGAAAGGTGAACAACAGGCTGAGGGGATAGATGGAAGGAAGGTTTCTTTCCCTCCTTTGTATAACCCTTTTGAACTTTTAATCAAGTTAGTACCATGTGTTGTATTCCCTATTTACAGAAAAAATAAAATGGGATGCCTCACGCCTGTAATCCCAGCACTTTGGGAGGCTGAGGTGGGAGGATCACAAGGTCAGGAGACCAGCCTGGCTAACATAGTAAAACCTCGTCTCTACTGAAAATACAAAAACTTAGCTCGGCGTGATGGTGGGCACCTGTAATCCCAGCTACTCAAGAGGCTGAGGCAGGAGAATCGCTTGAACCCGGGAGGCAGAGGTTGCAATGAGCCGAGATTACGCCATTGCACTCCAGCCCAGGCAACAGTGCAAGATTCTGTATCCAAAAAAAAAAAAAAAAAAAAAAAAAAAAGGGAGGGGACGACAAGAGACTTTTCATTTTTTTATTTTTTGAGCCAGGGTCTCACTTTGTCACCCAGTCTGGAGTGCAGTGGTGTGATTTGCTGTGATGAAAGCTCACTGCAGCCTCAACTCCTAGGCTAAGGCCCAGTGGCTCACATCTGTAATCCAGCAGTTTGTGAGGCTCAGGCAGATGAATCGCTTAAGCTCAGCAGTTCAAGGCCAGCGTGGGCAACATGGCAAAACCCTCTCTACAAAAAATTTAAAAAAAAAAAAAAAAAAAAAAAACTCTTGGGCTCAAAAGATGCCCCCACCTCAGCTTCCCGAGTACCTAGGGAACGTGCCACCACACTCAACTAATTTTTTTTTTTTTTTTTATTTTTTGTAGAGACAGGGTCTCTCTTTGTTGCCCAAGCTGGTCTCAAACTCCTGGCTTCAAGTAATCCTCCCACCTTAGCCTCCCAAAATGCTGGGATTACAGGCATGAGATCGGGCTCCTTTTCTCTTTTCTTTCCACTTTTTTTTCTTTTTTTTTTTTTTTTGAGACAGAGTCTCACTCCATCGCCCAGGATGGAGTGCAACAGCACGATCTCGGCTCACTGCAACCTCTGCCTCCCAGATTCAAGATTCAAACAATTCTCCTGCCTCAGCCTCCCAGGTAGCTGGGATTACAGGCGCACACCACCACGCCTGGCTAATTTTTGTATTTTTACTAGAGACAGGGTTTTACCATGTCGACCAGGCTGGTCTTGGACTCCTGACCTAAAATGATGTACCCGCCTCGGCCTCCCAAAGTGCTGGGATTACAGGTGTGAGCCACCACGCCCAGTCCTTTTCTTTCCACTTTTTTTTTGAGATGCAGTTTCACTCTTGTTGCCCAGGCTGGAGTGTGATGGCAGGATCTCAGCTCACTGCAACCTCCACCTCCCATGTTCAAGTGATTCTCTTTTCTCAGCCTCCCAAGTAGCTGGGATTACAGGCACCTGCCACCACGCCCAGCTAATTTTTGTATTTTTATCAGAGACAGGGTTTCGCCATGTTGGCCAGGCTGGTCTCAGACTCCTGACCTCAGTTGATCTGTGCACATCGGCCTCCCAAAGTGCTGGGATTATAGGTGTGAGCCACCGCACCCAGCCTCTTTCCACTTTTATCTTCCACACTACTTAAATGTATGTATTATCCAATAGAGCTTTTCCTCCACTATTAATGTTTTAAAATTCTAAGTCAGGTGCGGAGGCTCATGTCTATTAATCACAGCACTTTGAGAGGCTGAGGCGGGAGGATCGTTTGAGCCCAGGGGTTTGAGATCAGCCCAGACAACATAGTGAGTTCCCATCTCCACAAAAAGTTACAAAAATTAGCCGGGCATGGTGACATGCCCCTGTAGTCCCAGCTACATGGGAGGCCAAGGTGGGAGGATGGCTTGAGCCTAGGAGGTCAAGGTCTGCAGTGAGCTGTAATCATGCCACTGCACTCCAGCATGGGTGACAGACAGAGATCCTGTCTCAAAAACGAATAAGCTGGGCAGCGGTGGCTCACCCCTGTAATCCCAGCACTTTGGGAGGCCGAGGCGGGCAGATCACCTGACGTCGGGAGTTCGAGACCAGCCCGACCAACATGGAGAAACCCCGTCTCTACTAAAAATACAAAATTAGCTGGGCGCGGGGGCACATGCCTGTAATCCCAGCTACTTGGGAGGCTGAGGCAGGAGAATTGCTTGAACCCGGGAGGCAAAGGTTGCAGTGAGCCAAGATCACACCATTGCACTCCAGCCTGGGTGACAGAGCAAGACTTTGTCTCAAAAAAATAAATAAAAATAAATAAATATAATTCTGTGGTTATCATTTTGGCCAGTATGTGATTATTCCTCAACTTTCTTTTGCAGAAATGTCTCTTTTCAAGTACCTTACCTCACCTTCTAGTGCTAGGCTGCTTTAAAAGCCTTATCTTCCTGGAGAGCAGTGGCCCTGCAGGAAAAGGAGGAAACAATATTGGTGAATGCCCACAACTGAAATAGAATTATACCACACTGACCAACTCCAGAGGAAGTGGGGAATGCCACTGAGTCTCCTGCCCACACCACAAATTACTCACCCTTCTTTGTCAAAGGTCACAGTAAGAAAATGAAACATTTTCTGTACAGTCAATCCAGAACCAAAAATTATAAATAGTAAAATTAATTTCAGTGTATTTTAGACAGTGGTATTTTTTAAAACGATTAGCTCAAAAAGGTATAACTGAGAAGAAAAACCTCAACACTGCAAAACCTCAAACTTGGCTCACTGCAACCTCCACCTCCCAGGTTCAGGCAATTTTCCTGCCTCAGCCTACCAAGCAGCTTGGATTACAGGTGTGCGCCACCACGCCCAGCTAATTTTTGTATTTTTTAGTAAAGAAGGGGTTTCACCATGTTGGACGGGCTGGTCTCGAACTCCTGAGCTCAGGTGATCCACACGGCTCGGCCTCCCAAAGTACTGGGATTACAGGTGTGAGCCACTGCGCCCAGCCCAAAACCTCAACACCATTAAATGTATCTCATGACAAGCAAGATAAAAGACATTTGGTCATAAAAGTAATTTTTTAAATATGCAGCTGATTGTTCCAGTAGAATCCTGCTTTTAAAACATAAATATAAATTAAGTCAACATACTGCTAAAGTTCGTTCAGATTTAACCACTTCAACACAGAACACAGACCAGCTTCACCAACTTTGACACCCTCAGTTTATGATCTTCTACTAATGCATCTCATCCATCTTTCTACCCTGGACCCTGAGTAAAACTAAGAAAATGCTTAGCTATGGCCGGGTGCAGTGGCTCATGCCTGTAATCCCAGCACCTTGGGAGGCCAAGGTGGGCAGATCATGAGGTCAGGAGATCAAGACCATCCTAACACAGTGAAACCCCGTCTCTACTAAAAATACAAAAAATATATATATACATATATTAGCCAGGTGTGGTGGCGGGCACCTGTAGTCCCAGCTACTCGGGAGGCCGAGGCAGGAGAATGTCATGAACCCAGGAGGCGGAGCTTACAGTGAGCCAGGATCGCACCACTGCACTCCACACTCCAGCCTGGGTGACAGAGCAGACTCCGTCTCAAAAAAAAAAAAAAGAAAAAGAAAATGCTTAGCTATCAAACCTAAGAAATTGGAAAACAGAGAACCCTATTCCTTAAGGCTAAATTAAGTCTTCTGGCTGGTGTAATTTTGTAAGCTACTCTAAATTCCTATTTATAGAAATTGCTGGCTGGGCACGGTGGCTCATACCTGTAATCCCAGCTACTTGGGAGGCTGAAGCAGGAGAATCACATGAACCCAGGAGGTGGAGGTTGCAGGAGCCAAGATCGCGCCATGCACTCCAGCCTGGGCAACAGAGTGAGACTCCATCTCAAAAAAAAAAAAAAAAAAGCTGGCCAGGTGAGGTGGCTCACGCCTGTAATCCCAGCACTTTGGAAGGCCGAAGCAGGCGGATCACTTGAGGTCGGGAGTTTGATACCAGCCTGACCAACATGGAGAAAACCTGTCTCTACTAAAAATACAAAATTAGCCAGGCATGCTGACGCATGCCTGTAATCCCAGCTACTCGGGAGGCTGAGGCAGGAGAATCACTTGAACCCAGGAGGTGGAGGTTGCAGTGAACCAATATCGCACCATTGCACTCGAATCTGGGTAACAAAAGCGAAACTCCATCTTAAAAAAAAAAAACCGGGCACGGTGGCTCACGTCTGTAATCCCAGCACTTCGGGAGGCCGAGGCAGGCAGATCAAGAGGTCAGTAGATCGAGACCATCCTGGTTAACACAGTGAAACCCCGTCTCTACTAAAAATACAAAAAAATTAGCTGGGCGCGGTGGCGGGCGCCTGTAGTCCCAGCTACTCGGGAGGCTGAGACAGGAGAATGGCATGAACCTGGGAGGCGGAGCTTGCAGTGAGGCGAGATCATGCCACTGCACTCCATGCAGCCTGGGTGACAGAGCGAGACTCCGTCTCAAAAAAAAAAAAAAACTAATTAATTAATTAATTTTAAAAAAAAGGCCAGGCATGGTGGCTCAGGCTTGTAATCCCAGCACTTTCGGAGGCTGAGGAAGGCAGATTGCTTGAGCTCAAAAGTTCGAGACCAGCCTGGGAAACATGGAGAAACCCCACCTCTACAAAAAATACAAAAATCAGGGCGGTGCGCAGTGGCTCGTGCCTGTAATCCTAGCATTTTGGGAGGCCAAGGAGAGTGGATCACCTGAGGTCAGGAGTTCGAGATCAGCCTGGGCAACATGGCAAAACCCCATCTCTACTAAAAATACAAAAATTAGCCAGGTGTGGTGGTGCATGCCTGTAATCCCAGCCACTTGGGAGGCTGAGGCAGGAGAATCACTTGAACCCAAGGGGCAGAGGTTGCAGTGAGCCAAGATCGCACCACTTCACTCCACACTGGGCAAAGGAGCGAAACTCCACCTCAAAAAAAATTAGCCGGGTGCGGTGGCTCACGCCTGTAATCCCAGCACTTTGGGAGGCCGAGGCGGGCAGACCACAAGGTCAGGAGATGGAGACCACCCTGGCTAACATGGTGAAACCCCATCTCGACTAAAAATAAAAAAAATCAGCCGGGTGTGGTGGCATGCGCCTGTAGTCCCAGCTACTCGGGAGGGCAAGACAGGAGAATCACTTGAACCCAGGAGGCGGAGGTTGCAGTGAGCCGAGATCATACCACTGCACTCCAGCTTCGGCAACAGAGCAAGACTCGGTCTCAAAAAATATATACATATATTAGCCAGGAGTGATGGCGTGCGCCTGTGGTCCTAGCTACTCAGGATGCTGAGGTGGGAGGATTGCTTGAGCCAGGGAGGCTGGTCGAGGCTGCAGTGAGCCAAGATCCCACCACTGCACTCCAGCCTGGATAACAGAGTGAGACTCTGTCTCAGAAGAAAAAAAAAAAAAGGCCAGGCGCAGTGGCTCACGCCTGTAATCTCAACACTTTGGGAGGCTGACGCGGGCGGATCACCTGAGATCAAGAGTTCAAGATTAGGCTGGCCAACATGGTGAAACCCCATCTCTACTAAAAATGCAAAAAATTAGCCTGGCGTGGTGGCAAGTGCCTGTGATCCCAGCTACTCGGGAGGCTGAGGCAGGAGAATTGCTTGAACCTGGGAGGCGGAGGTTGCAGTGAGCCAAGATCACGCCACTTTATTCCAGCCTAGGTGATGTGACAGAGCAAGACTCCGTCTCAAAAAAAAAAAAGGAAGAAAAGAAATGAAATATGCTCTCAACTGCCTCCACAAGGATGAACACACATTGTCTCTCACGGGTTAAGATGCCTGCTGTGCGCAAGAGGAAATGCAGTACCCCAGGTTCAAGTAGGAGATAAAGTTTTGTGTTTTTTTTGTGTTTTTTTTTTGTTTTGAGACGGAGTCTCGCTCTGTCGCCCAGGCCGGACTGCAGTGGCGCTATCTCAGCTCACTGCAAGCTCCGCCTCCCGGGTTCACGCCATTCTCCTGCCTCAGCCTCCAGGAGAATGAGTAGCTGGGACTACAGGCGCCCGCCACCCCACCTGGCTAATTTTTTGTATTTTTAGTAGAGACAGGGTTTCACCGTGTTAGCCAGGATGGTCTTGATCTCCTGACCTCGTGATCCACCCGCCTCAGCCTCCCAAAGTGCTGGGATTACGGGCGTGAGCCACCGCGCCTGGCCAGTTGTTTTGTTTTATTTTTTATTTTTTTTGAGACCGAGTTTTGCTCTTGTCACCCAGGCTTTCAGCTCACTGCAACCTCCGCCTCCCGGGTTCAAGCGATTCTCCTGTCTCAGCCTCCCGAGTAGCTGCGATTAAAGGCGCCCGCCACCATGCCTGGCTAATTTTTGTATTTTTTAGTAGAGACGGGGTTTCACCATGTCGGCCAGGCTGGTCCTGAACTCCTGACCTCAGGTAATCCACCTGCCTCAGAATCCCAAAGTGCTGGGATTACAGGCGTGAGCCACCACGCCCTGCCTGGAGATAAAGTTGTTTTTTGTTTTGTTTTTGAGACGGAGTCTCGATCTGTGGCCCAGGCTGGAGTGCAGTGGCTCTATCTCAACTCACTGCAAGCTCCGCCTCCCGGGTTCACGCCATTCTCCTGCCTCAGCCTCCTGAGTAGCTGGGACTACAGGTGCCCACCACCACGCCCGGCTAATTTTTTGTATTTTTAGTAGAGAGGGGGTTTCACCGTGTTAGCCAGGATGATCTCGATCTCCTGACCTCGTGATCCGCCCGCCTCGGCCTCCCAAACTGCTGGGATTACAGGTGGGAGCCACCATGCCCGGCGATAAAGTTTTTAATAATCAAATGCCAGGCCTCCTTTCCTATGCATCGACGGCAGTCTAAGTGGTCCCTAAGTGGTCCCTCCAAATCCCACCATCCTCAACACTAACCAGACACAAGCAACTCTGTAGGTCACTATACCAGGTAGTCAACAAGGAATTTAAATCCTTGGTTATGCTTGGTCTTCTGGCCCATGCATTCCAGAATGTAGCTCCTCCCCCATCATGGCAGGACATCCCCTCTGTACTACCTTTTCAGTCTCTCTTTTCTGATGGCTCCTTCTCCCTCCCCACCTCTCCTCTGTTAGCTGACTTAACTGCCAGAGGTCCTGACCCCCTCCCTCTTCCTGCCACTCCACCAGCAATATCTTTCTAAACACAGGTCTG
Source organism: Homo sapiens (assembly GCF_000001405.40). Classification (NCBI taxonomy): domain Eukaryota; kingdom Metazoa; phylum Chordata; class Mammalia; order Primates; family Hominidae; genus Homo; species Homo sapiens. The sequence goes on along the minus strand of NC_000003.12, from coordinate 49,472,143 downwards.
GGTCACACCACTCTACTGATTAAAAGGCTCCCCAGACTCCTGCACCCCGCATACAAAGTTGGAACTCCTGAGCACAAGGCAGGCCCAGAGCTCGCACCTGCCAAGCTGGAGGACTCCCAAGCACTATTTTAGGTGCTCATGTACATGTGGTTCCCTGTGTCCAGGCCTTGATGTCCCCCACTAATTCCTGCTGGCCCTGAAAACCACAGCTCAGGAATTCCCTCTCTCCTCAGGCTACTATGTGAGCACGCTTAGCGGGCAGACACTATTAATCATGGGTTCCCTGGTCCCCACTGCCCCCTAAACTGAATTCCTTAAGGGCAGAAGCAGACTCTTTTACATGGGTCCCTAGGATCTACCACAGAATTTGGCAGGTAGTGAATCAAAATATTTGTTCAAATGAATAAATGCATTTTGCAAAATCAATTTTTAAGAACAGTGAGGATTTGCACTGTGCCTCTTTTAACAAAAGCACATGTCAGCACAAGCTTTTATATCCCATAGGGTCTTCACATGATGGATCCAACTCCCTACTGAAATCTGATTTCTCCAAAATACAGGACACAGGCCATGAGCTCTTCTTCCTTAGTTCACAGCAAAAAAAACCCACAAAAGTTCAACTAAACTTCTCCATACTCAAACTATGGATTTTTATGCCTCCAAAATGTAGTACGGTTGAATTCTTTTTTAGAACAGGAACATTCCAAAATAATGTCTCTGAACTTAACTAAGCATAGAACCTGATAAAACTGCAATACCCCATCTACACCAGACTTTGCAAAACACCTGAAAGCACATCCAGCTCTTTATCTGGAATTATGTCCTATAAACACCACCTTCCCTTCACGGAGTCTGGCTTCTATGCCAGGAGTCACTTCTACTCGCTTATTTAGGGAAGCAGCAGGCTAGAATCTTAAGTTAGACTCTGCGCTATGAAGGTGCTGTCCCAGGCTCTTGCCTCAACCAGTCAAAACTTCATCGTCACCATTAAAACTAATTCTGAAGCAACTCGATTTACAAAAATAAGAACTTTTCAAGTTATAGAGATTAAAGGATGCATTTTAAGTTACCAGTTGAGTTTGTAGGAAACTAACTTAGAATTTATGGCAAAAAGATTCCAAGCCGAGACGACATTTTCTGTGGAGACACTATCCAAATACACTCGCAGGTGAACCAGGTCTGCCAAATACAAAGTGAAAAGGTAGTAAGTAAACAAGCTTCCAAAGGAGCTCAAGTAAGGATGACGGAACCCACCAAGGCTCTGAGCAGCTCTGACAGAGCAGTGGCGGCAGCGGTGCCCTTCCCTGCCTCTAGCGGGGCTCGACTCCCCACAGTCGGAATCCGGCCCAACTGGGCCACAACCCCTATTGGAAGCCAGGGAGGCGGCCCGCAGGCGGCTCACGACCGCGGCCAAGGCGCAGGCTCCACGTTCCCGGGAGCGCGGGCCGAGCTAAGGCCTGGCCCATCGCCGCGGCGCGCGGCCCGGGCCTTGCAGCCGAACGCTCCGAGCCTTTGCCTGCGGGACCCAGAGCAAAGGGGCGGCTCCGCCCGGGCGGCACCGCCTCCTCACCCACAAGGACGTCCGCGGCCGTGTCCCCGCCCCGGGCCGAACAGCGAGCAGCAGCAGGTGTTCCGCGGAAGGCTCAGCCGGCAGCAGGGATGGGGGCCCAAGCAGCCAGGCACAGCGGATAGGGCGGGCGGTGCACTCACCCAGCGCCGGCGGGAGGACCGCGGCAGGTGTTCGCTCCTCCTGGCCCCAGGACGCCGCCACCGCCGCTCCCCGGGGATTCGGCGCGAAGCTGCCGCCGCCGCCACCGCCAAGCCTAAGAGGCGCGAGCGCCGCGCCGCAGCCTTCGCGCGAGCACGTACCGGGCGGTGAGAGGGCGCTGAGCGCAAGGGCGGGGCGCGCGGCCGGAGCCTAGCAACCGCCTGACACGCGAGTGTTGCAGCCAATCCAGCGGCCAGCTCCGCGCGGCGCCGACTGGCTGTCCGCGCGCCGCCGGCTTCTGCCTGCGTCGGCCGCTCCGCAGCGCGCCGCACCCGCGCGCAAGCCCCGCCCCGGCCAGCACCTCTCTGCTCATTGGCTAGCCACTCCCCCGCCCTAAAAGTCACGCCCCATTATGGAAGCCTCGCCCCCACGGCCAGGGAAGTCCGTCCCGGGACACACCCCGGCGGTCGGTCCCGGTCACTCGGAGCCTTCAGAACCAGTAGTGTGGGGGAGGGGCTCCCCGCCCAACTTCAGGCCTTTGGGCCTCTAAGACTAATCAAGGGACAGTCAGGACTGCGAACTGGCCCAGCAACTGGCCACCCGTCGACTGCGTTCAGCCCTCCTTATTTCCTTCGAATGCAAATCAAGGGGTATTTCTAAGCCATGAGAACAATCAGGAAGCGTTCTCTCAATTGCAAAGGATGAAAGCCTTGCTGCCCGGCCCTTACACGGATGGGAGACTGAGGCCAGGGACAGGAGGAGCGGGAAGCTAGCTCATCTCCTAGAGCCTCGCCCACAGCAGGCTGGGGAGTCGGAAAGCGCCTCAGGCCTAACCCTCGTCCCCTCCCCCTGCCTGGAACACTGGAATCCGACGCCTGCTCTCCTGCCCAAAATAGCTCTAACTCGCAGGCGCTGGTCACTCACTCCTAGTGGCCTGCATTCTTTTGGTGGGGGAAGAAATAAGAGAGGGGGGTTGCTGCCTGGAACATTCAAGGGGAGGGTCCTAAGGTAGCTCTAGCTCTCCCCAGGACTTAACCTGCAGCCCCCCACCCCAAAAGCCCCAGACTTCACAGTTACTGAAACTGACAGTTACCGGATGGGTCTGGGAATGAGACCCGTGGTGGGCTCTGCTTCTCATCCCCACACCATGCGCAGGATGGGTCCATTCCCTCCTTGGCCTGTGGCCAGGCTGGAATTCCAGGCCTGCACTCTTGACAGCAAGCACATTCTGAACACAGAACTGGCTGCCACCAGCCATGGTTTCCTCCCTGGATCCCGGAGAGCTCTGGGGCTCCCTGGCTTTCCCTCCCTCCTCAGGAGCGTCTGGGAGATGCAAGTTGCAGAGATAAGAAAGGAATGCCCCATCTCCCAAAAACATACCTTTTTGCAATTATCTATACTTCAGTGTCTCGGCTCCAAACCTCATTCACAGAGACAAGAAAAGGAAGGGGCTAGGTGCTGTGCTCCCGCCTGTAGTCCCAGCACTATGGGAGGCCGAGGCAGGTGGATGGATAGCTTGAGCTCAGGAGTTCAAGACCAGCCTGGGCAACGTGTCGAAACCCCGCCTCTGCAAAAAAAGTACCAAAAAAAAAAAATTTTGACCAGCCGCGGTGGCTCACACCTGTAATCCCAGCACTTTGGGAGGCCAAGGCGGGTGGATCACCTGAGGTCAGGAGTTTGAGACCAGCCTGACCAACAACGTGAAACCCCGTCTCTACTAAAAATACAAAAAATAGCCGGGCATGGTGGCAGACGCCTGTAGTCCCAGCTACTCGGGAGGCGGAGACAGGAGAATCACGTGAACCCAGGAGGCAGACGTTGCAGTGAGCCGAGATCATGCCACTGAACTCCACCTGGGCAACAGAACAAGACTCTGTCTCAAAAAATAAAAATTAAAAATAAAATTGGCCAAGCGGGGTGGCACATGACCTGTGCTCCCAGCTACCTGGGAGGCTGAGGTGGGAGGATTGCTTGAGACCAGGAGGTTGAGACTGCAGTGAGCGGGTGTTCACACCACTGCACTCCAGCCTATGCAATAGAGGGAGACCCTGTCTCCAAAAAAAAAAAAGGGGGGGCTAACCATGCAGAAAATTATTTATTTGGGTTTCTAAGCAAAATATATTCTATTCTCTCATTCACTCCTTTGGCTCTGAGAGTGCACCACCTACCCCACCACCGTGCACTGCTTTGCAGCCATACGTTCTGCTGCATATTTTAGTGTCTGACTATATAGTTTTACATCTCAGGTCTGTAATTCCAGCACTTTGGGAGGCCAAGGAGGGTGGATCTCTTGAGCCCATGATTCAAGACCAGTCTGGACTATATAGTGAGACAGCATCTCTACAAAAAAATTTTTTAAATTAGCCAGGTGCTTGAGCTTTGGAGATTAAAACTGCAGTGAGCCATGATCACACCACTGCACTCCAGCCTGGGCAACAGAATGAGACCCTGTCTCAAAAAAAAAGAAAGAGGCCAGGCGTGGTGGCTCACGCCTGTAATCCCAGCACTTCGGGAGGCCAAGGCGGGTGGATCACGAGGTCAGAAGATCGAGACAATCCTGGCTAACACGGTGAAACCCCGTCTCTACTAAAAATACAAAAAAAATTAGCCGGGCGTTGTGGCATATGCCTGTAATCCTAGCTACTCGGGAGGCTGAGACAGGAGAATTGCTTGAACCAGGGAGGCGGAGGTTGCAGTGAGCCGAGTTCACACCACTGCACTCCAGCCTGGGCAACAAGAGGGAAACTCTGTCCCCCCTCAAAAAAAAAAACGGCAGGAGGCTTGGCTGACCAGACCTGAACAAGCCACTTAGGAGGCCTAACCACCTCCCACCAGAACCCAACCAGCCCCCACTGGAGTCCATACCAAAGATGACACAGAAATAGCTGTCTTCATGGTCCCCTAGACTGGCTAGGGGCTGTAAAGTTAAGGCCTTGTTACTCTCTTTAGTTCTAAGAGTCAAAGCCTTTACCCTCAGTGGGAACTGCACAGCCTACTCTAGAGTTCAGCACAAGGTCCCCAGTAACTCACCTTCCAAACCCCAGCAGAGCCTAGGCCACTCCAGGCCAGGTTTGGTGCTCACAACCAGTTGGAGGGCAGAACCAAAAATGAGGTCTGGGCCAGGCTCAGTGGCTCATACCTGTAATCCCAGCACTTTGGGAAACTAAGGCAGCTGGATCGTTTGAGCTCAGAAGTTCAAGAGCTGTCCATGGCCATACCACCCTGAATGCACCCAAGCTCGTCTGATCTCAGAAGCTAAGCAGGGTTGGGCCTGGTTAGTACTTGGATGGGAGAAGTTTGAGACCAGACTGCGCAACATGTTAGCAAGACCCCCATCTCTACAAAAAATTAAAAAATTAGCAAGGCATATGGCACCCACCTGTGGTCCCAGATACTCAGGAGGCTGAGGTGGATCACTTGAGCCTGGGAGGTGGAGGTTGCAGTGAGCTGCAGTCATGCCACTGCACTCCAGCCAGGTGACAGAGTAAGATCCTGACTCAAGAAAAAATAAAAAGGCTGGGCGCGGTGGCTCATGCCTGTAATCCCAACACTTTGGGAGGCTGAGGTGGGTGGATCACGAGGTCAGGAGTTCCAGACCAGCCTGACCAATATGGTGAAATCCCTTCTCTACTAAAAATATGAAAATTAGCCAGGCGTGGTGGTACACACCTGTAATCCCAGCTACTCAGGAGGCTGAAGCAGGAGAATCACTTGAACCCAGGAGGCAGAGGTTGCAGTGAGCTAAGATTGCACCACTTCGCTCCAGCCTGGGCAACAGAGTGAGACTCCGTCTCAAAAAAAAAAAAAGAAAGAAAGAAAGAAAAAAAAAAATGAGGCCTGGGTTACTCCCAGGAGCAGCTACTCAAAGGACCCATGTGGTATGGAATGGGGAGGACTGATCAAGAGGCAAAGAATGAGGATCTTCGGGCCTGTCAGTCCCCAACTCTCTTGGGCCTTCAGCCCCCAGTGTTTCATCCACATAGACCCTCAACCTGAGGATTCAGGAAGATTATCTGATTAAGGTTTGTCTCCTCCACTGAAGTATGAGCCCTTGATGCTAGAGACCAACTTGCTTGGCCCCACATAGCAACCACCACCTAACAGCAAGTGGCAGATAGCAGAGGCTCAATTTTGGTTTTGGAAGGAAGGAAGCAAGTTGCTACTCCAAAGGTCCATGCCCTGTGCAAAGCCCAAGGCAAATGTCCTAGTGTTTGCTTGGGGCTCATGTGACTTAAACTAAGACCTTGATTTTAGTTAGAACAAATCCAAGGGACATTACGTGGACCAAACTTTCTGATGGTCCTAGGATTCCAGGGCTTTTTACCCTGGCGTGTTTCTGAGAAGCTGAGGGTCAAGGACCAGTGCTCATCCTCAGATTCTTCCCAGGGGAGGGAGGCCTCTGCTGCTGATTCCTCTCCAGGCCTGACAGAGAGGGGCAGGGGCTGGTGCTGGTCAAGGGTGGAGGCTCCTGACCCAAATGCCAGGCCCACAGGCCTGCCTGAGGCAGAGGGCTAGCAAGCAGGGCCAGCCAAGTCACGGCAAGGGAGGAGTCCCTTTTGTCTGGATTTAACAGAAGGCTGATTGTTTGGCAGCTCTGGCAGAAAGAAAGGACTGATAAGTTCATCCGAGATAAACTGCCAGTAGGCGTGTTTGTGGGTCACCACCAGCCTTCCCAGAAGCCAGTTCCTCCCCTTGCAGGGCCCTCCACTCCAGCACTTCCACCAGACCCCTCCATACATGGCTGGCAAAGAGCATTCCTCCAGTCAACTGGGCCACAGCTTCCACACCTGTCCCTCTAGGAACAGAGAGTCCTATGGGGCAGGAACCCCATAGCAAGGGGGACTGTTGGTTGAATAAATAAAAGACACCTTTCTTTTTTTGAGATGGAGTTTCGCTGTTGTTGCGAACTCCCAACCTCAGGTGATCCGCCTGCCTCAGCCTCCCAAAGTGCTGGGATTGCAGGCGTGAGTCACCGCACCCGGCCTATTCTTTTTTTTTTTTTTTGTGACAAAGTTTCGCTCTTGTTCCCCAGGCTGGAGTGCGATGGCGCAATCTCGGCTCACTGCAACCTTCGCCTCCCGAGTTCAAGCGATTCTCCTGCCTCCACCCCCAGAGTAGCTGGGATTACAGGCGCCTGCCATCACGCCCAGCTAATTTTTGTATTTTTAGTTGAGACGGGGTTTCACCATGTTAGCCAGCCAGGCTGGTCTCAAACTCCTGACCTCAGGTGATCCATCCGCCTTGGCCTCCCAAAGTGCTGGGATTATAGGCGTGAGCCACCGCGACTGGCCTTCTTTATTTTTATTTTATTTATTTATTTTTTTTAAACATTCTCCCTCTGTCACCCAGGCTGGAATGTAGTGGCGCAATCTTGACTCACTGCAACTTCTGCCTCCTGGGCTCAAGTGATTCTCCTGCCTCAGCCTCCTGAGTAGCTGGGAATACAGGCGCAGGGCCTGCCACCATGCCTGGCAATTTATTTATTTATTTATTTAATCTTTTTTTTTTTTTTTGAGACCGAGTCTTGCTCTGTCGCCCAGGCTGGAGTGCAGTGGTGCGATCTCGGCTCACCGCAAGCTCCGCCTCCCGGGTTCACGCCATTATCCTGCTTCATCCTCCCGAGTAGCTGAGATTACAGGCGCCCACCACCACGCCCAGCTAATTTTTTGTATTTTTAGTGGAGACAGGGTTTCACCGTGTTAGCCAGGATGGTCTCGATATCCTGACCTCGTGATCCACCCTCCTCTGCCTCTCAAAGTGCTGGGATTACAGGCGTGAGCCACCGCGCCGGGCCAATATTTATTTATTTATTTATTTATTTATTTATTTATTTATTTATTTATTTATTTGAGACGAAATCTCACTCTGTGGCCCAGGCTGGAGTTCAGTGGCTCCATCTCTGTTCACTGTAACCTCCGCCTCCCGGGCCCAAGCGATTCTCCTGCCTCAGCCCCCTGAGTAGCTGGGATTACAGGCGCCCGCCACCACGCCCGGCTAATGTTTTTTTTTTTTGAGGCGGAGTCTTGCTCAGTCACCCAGGCTGGAGGGCAGTGGCGCGATCTCGGCTCACTGCAACCTCTGCCTCCCAGGTTCACGCCATTCTCCTGCCTCAGCCTCCTGAGTAGCTGGGACTACAGGCACCCGCCACTATGCCCAGCTAATTTTTTTTGTTTTTTTGTATTTTTAGTAGAGACGGGATTTCACCGTGTTAGCCAGGATGGTCTCCATCTCCTGACCTTGTGATCAGCCCATCTTGGCCTCCCAAAGTGCTGGGATTACAGGCGTAAACCACCACGCCCGGCTTCTAATTTTTGTATTTTTACTAGAGACGGAGTTTCACCATGTTAGCCAGGCTGGTCTTGAACTCCTGACCTCAAGTGATCCGCCCACCTTGGCCTCCCAAAGTGCGGGGATTACAGGCATGAGCCACTGCACCTGGCCTCAGCAGGGGCTTATTCTTTACATGTACACACTGGAGAACGTGACTGATTAGCTAACATTCACCTTTTATTCCTTTATTAGTTCACCTCAAGATGGCCGGAGGACTGCTCTCATTCATCCCAGAAATGTCGAGGATTCCCTACACTAGAGATAGGGCTCTCAGAGGCCCTTCCTGTCTCTGTCAGCACTCAGCCTAGAGGCAAAAGCTATATTTTCACCTGGATCCAACACTTTCCAGTGTTTCAGGGGCATACTCATCAGCCATGACAGCAGGGTCAGAGTCAGTGTTTGCTTGGTGGCCCATCAATGTCTCTGACTAAAGGGCCACTGAGGGGTGCCCAGGCCAATGAGAAGGACAGGCCCAAATAAGATCTAGCCAGCTCTGAAAGAGGTGTTTCTGCCCTAGAAAAGCCCCTGATTGACCCCTGAGCCAGATTTGGACTGACATGTGATGGAGAAGAGAACAATTCTGCTAAACTGGACGAATATGGGTGGTGTCCCCCACGACTTTGGGTTTAGGGGCTAGCTGGTCAGTAACTGAAGAGAATGAACAAACAGACCCCCTACCTTTGCTTGCTTCCACTGACTGCCTGGCTAGACTAAACCTAATCTAGTGTTTAGTCCAGCGCTCAAGGCCACAGACACAGTGTTTTGGGAATAGCCATGCAAAGTCAGTCTTGGGGGACTATCTTATCCCAGAGCCAGCAGGGAGCTGAATGTAGCTAAGGGAGGGGGCATTGGACATGTATGTCCACCCACGGGGAAAGGTGTTTTTTGGCCAGGTGTGGTGGCTCATGCCTGTAATCCCAGCACTTTGGGAGGCCGAGGCGGGCGGATCACCTGAGGTCAGGAGTTCGAGACCAGCCTGACCAACATGGAGAAACCCTGTCTCTACTAAAAATACAAAATTAGCCGGGCGTGGTGGCCTATCCCTGTAGTCCCAGCTACTTGGGCAGCTGAGGCAGGAGAATCGCTTGAACCCAGGAGGCAGAGGTTGCAGTGAGCCGAGACCACGCCACTGCACTCTAGCCTGGGCACTGGGCAACAAGAGCGAAACTCCATCTCAAAAAAAAAAAAAAGAATAAAGAATAAGCCCCTGCTGGCTAGGCACGGTGGCTCACGCCTGTAATCCCAGCACTTTGGGAGGCAGAGGAGGGTGGATCACGAGGTCAGGAGATCGAGACCATCCTGGCTAACACGGAACACGGTGAAACCCCGTCTCTACTGAAAATACAAAACATTAGCCGGGCGTGGTGGCGGGCGCCTGTAGTCCCAGCTACTCAGGAGGCTGAGGCAGGAGAATGGCGTGAACCCGGAAGGCAGAGCTTGCAGTGAGCCGAGATCATGCCACTGCACTCCAGCCTGGCGACAGAGTGAGACTCCGTCTCAAAAAAAAAAAAAAAGAATAAGCCCCTGCTGAGACTCAGAGCCGAGTTCACTGTATGACTTTGCAAAGCTGCTTGCCCTCTCTAAGCCCCTTGGTCACCTCATCATCAAGTGACCTCATATGTGGGCTGTGGCCCTGTCTGCTCACTAAAAATGACAGAAGACCAGATTATGTGACTGAGTCACGGCCAGGGTGAAACATCCATCCATGCCTTGTTGAATCCACAGATATTTACTGAGTCTATTGTATGCTAGGAACACAGGAAGAAATAAAAGGGACAAGCCCTTCCCTTGTGGAGCCCAAATTCCAGACAAATAAGACAGTAAATAAAATAAGTAAATACAAATGTAATAATCAGGTAGTTACAAAGGGGATGAGAGGGAAGGGGGGAACCAGGGTGTACTGTGTGGTGCAGAACATTTGAGAAATCCACTCTTTGAAGGCAGAGCCTATAGGAGGTGAACACGGAGGAAACCCTGGGGTTTTCTGGAGAGTGAATGGAATAAGCCTAGAGAAAGGCCACAGTGAAGGCTTAGGAGAAAGTGGGCAGGGCAGGCCTGAAAGATCTTGGAAATCCCCAAGGCCTGAGCAGTGAATGGAGTGGTGATAAAGGAGAGAAAGCAACAGATGGGAGAGCAGGCACCAGCACTATATTTAACCAGGCTGGGCTTTGCCAGAAAGGTAGGATCCCAGGAGCAAGGGGCATGGTAGCTGAAAGATGGGAGCAAGGAGGAGGAGGAGGAGGAGAAGGAGGGTGGGAGGGCCAGGGCAGGCAGTGCCCTCAGGCCTCCAGGAAGGAATGCAGTTGGGTGAGGGGTGAGGGGACAGCAGCTGAGCTCCAGGCTTGCAGCCCTTCTTTCCCCTGTAGGTGGGAAAAGAAAGGTGGGAGCACAGAGGAGGGGTTGGGGAGGAGAGAGCAGGCAGAGTGGAGGCAGAGATGGGGGTCATGTGGAGGAGGGGCAACAGGCATCAGGGAAGTCAAGTCAGAACAAGCATTTAGAGAGAAAATTTCTCACTTGTCCTTCCTCCACCTTCCCTGGAATGCAGAGAGGCCACTCCCCTCCTTCCAGCCCCAGGAGAGAAAGGTCAAAGGGGAAGGGACATGGTGGAGGAAGGGCTCCCTTGGGCCTGGATATACTCCTGGTATACTCAGTATGTAAGGACTTCAGGGGAGACCCAGCATGGCCCATCAGAGAGGGCCCAGCGTCAACTGCCTGGGGAAAGGAAACCCATGGACTGGGCCAATGGCAGAGGTGGGAGAAAGGAGAGAGTGGAGAGGAGAGGGTAGCTGGGGAGCAGGGAGCAGTTGGGGAAGGTCCTGCCTTAAGATGGATTCCAGGGCAAACCCCCACCTACCTCCCCCAGAGCTACTGCTTGACACAAGCATGCTGGAGGCCTTCAGGACAGGTGTAGGGTCACCTGGTAGGCACAAAGCCCAGGCCAGCTGTCCCATCCATCTCTGGGATGCTCTGGGCCGGTGACCCTCAAACGTCCCTCCCAGCAGCTGTCACTTAACCAAGCTGGACAGAATTTCTGGCTGGGGTCGCCCACGAATATGTGTGACCCTCAGGAAAAGGTCTATGTCCATCAGATGAGTTAACTATGCTGGACCTGGCAGGGGACCCCAGGGACTAGGAAGGCCTGGAGTGGGAAGTATTAGGGGCTGAGCTCAGAACTGGCGTTTAAGGTAAGAAAGAGAGAGACCCCAGCTTGAAGCCCAGGTTGTGGGCCTTCAGGGGTGGGCATGACTGGCTATAGCATGGTAGTGGCTCTCTGCAGAGGCACTCACATGTCCCCAGTGCCATACAAAAACCCATTCATGGTGTGTGGAGGGTTTTTCTAGAAAAGGTTAAAAGAAATATTTCATCATCTCCATGCCCTGGGATACTTAAAAGAATGTAGCAGCTGATATAAAGGTGAGGACATGTAGGTGTGAGGAAGGCTGCTCCAGGGCCCAGCAGCTGCTCCTCCTACCTTGGGGAAATCCCAGGGAGAAAGCCTGGTCTCAGCTGACCCCCTATTCTTCCTCTGCCCAAAACCCCCCTATACTCACTCTGCTGCCTGGGGCTCTCAGCAATTTGTTCAAGGTCAGCAGCACTGAGGCCCTGGCCGGCAGAGAAGTGGGAAATCTCAGGCCTCCTCAGGACACCTACAACCACTGGGAACAGACTTGTTTCTAGTAAGCCCCACTGAGCTCACAGGAGGCAGAGCTCAGGGATGCCCAGGCCCACTTGCTGTCACAGTCAAGGTCTTACCCAGGGTCAAGGCCCCAAGGGCTGGGTGTGCACAAGCAGGTGCGCTGGTGCCTGCCTCTGACTGACTGGGGCCTTGGGCAAAGACTTCTCTCTGTATCCTTTCCCCCTCTGACTCCTGTGGACCAGAGCTTTCCAAAGGGCCCTTAGGAATCCTAGGTTCTGTTTGTTTGGTTTTTTTTAGAGGGTGTCTCACTCTGTCGCCCAGGCGGGAGTGCAGGCACAATCTCGGCTCACTGCAACCTCCACCTCCTGGGTTCAAGCAATTCTCCTGCTTCAGCCTCCCGAGCATCTGGGATTACAGGTGTGTACCACCACACCCAGCTAATTTTTGTATTTTTAGTAGAGACGGGGGTTTTGCCATGTTGGACAGGATGGTCTCAATCTCCTGACCTCAGGTGATCTGCGTACCTTGGCCTCCCAAAGTGCTGGGATTACAGGGGTGAGCCACTGTGTCTGGCCTTCTGTTTGCTTTTCTTCCTAGGAATAGGATCAAGCCACAGGAGTGAATAAGGAAAGAGGAGGGTGGGGAAAGAGAAAATTCAACCCAGGAATGAGGAGTCGGGGGGAGTCCTGAGGTGGGGCCGAGCAGCCTAGGAGGATAGCCTTTGGGGGAACCTCTGGAAGGAAGAGGAGAGCACTTGGTTCCCTCCCTACTCCCAATCCCCCAACCCCACACATTCTTTCCCTGAAGAATTCCAGCTGCATTTGCATGCATGAGAACCAGGCAGTCCCTTTGGCATGGACATGCTTCCGTCCCCGTTTCCTGGGTACCCTCCCTCAATTCCCTCCCACCCGCACCAGCTCTCCTTTCCCATGCTTAGGCAACTAGAGAGCTTCCTCACCTGCTGCTGCCAGGCCTCCTCCCTCCCTCTTCCTGCAGCTGTTCCCAGACAGCTGGATGAGGGTGGGACACTGTCCCTGGCTGACCTGCCACAACCTCCCCCTCCCCTGTCTTGATGGCTTTGCTGCCCACCCTTGCAGATGTCCTTGGCCTCAAATTCTGGAGACCCTCCCCCACTGGCCACCACAGACGTGGGCTGCCTACCCGCTTGCCTTGCCAGCAGCAACAGCTGCTGCTGTTCCCAGGCTCCTCTAGGGCCAAGGTCCCCCTGCCTCCTATCGGCCTGAGGTGCCAGCCTCTACCCTGCACCCCCCGTGTCTTCTTGGGCCTTGGTCGTCTGAATACCTTCTCCCTCCTAAGAACAATGGTCTGCAGAAGGAGGGGCTACAGGGCCCTGTCCTCAGCTGGAGACTCTGCGTGCAGCACACTGCTAATCCAGTCCACTGTGGCACCAGCCAGAGCTAACTTCCAAACCCAAATCTACCTATGATCCTGCTCTGCTCAGCATTCTTCCTGTCTTCCAGCTGCTGGAGGACAAGGATCCCTCACGTGCCCCCTGACCAGCCTCCTGGTCCTATCCCCTCCACTTTACCTCACCTCTTCCTGCTTCTTCACCCTCCACTTCTCCCCATGCCTCTCCACTTCCACATCTTTCTTTTTTGAAACGGAGTCTCGTTCTGTCGCCCAGGCTGGAGTGCAGTGGCATGATCTCGGCTCACTGCATCCGCCTCCTGGGTTCAAGCAGTTCTTCGCCTCAGTTTCCCAAGTAGCTGGGACTATAGGCACCCGCTACCATGCCCAGCTAATGTTTGTGTTTTTAGTAGAGACGGGGTTTCATCATATTGGCCAGGCTAGTCTCGAACTCCTGACCTTGTGATCCGCCCACCGGCCAAAGTTTTGGGATTACAGGTGTGAGCCATTGCGCCCGGCCATGAATGAAATTTTGATTGAAAATTAGGCCTCTAGCCAGTCGCGGTGGCTCACACCTGTAATCCCAGCACTTTGGGAGGCCCAGGTGGATGGATCGCCTGAGGTCAGGAGTTTGAGACCAGCCTGACCAACAAGATGAAACCCCATCTCTACTAAAAATGCAAAAATTAGCTGGGCGTGGTGACCGGCACCTGTAGTCCCAGCTACTCAGGAGGCTGAGGCAGGAGAATCGCTTGAACCTGGGAGGTGGATGTTGCAGTGAGCTGAGATCGCACCACTGCACTCCAGCCTAGGTGACAAAGCGAGGGTCTGCCTCAAAAAAAAAAAAAAAGAAAAGGAAAAAAGAAAATTAGGCCTATTGCCGGGCATGGTGGCTCGTGCCTGTAACCCCAACACTTTGGGAGGCTGAGGCGGGTGGATCACCTGAGGTCAGGAGTTCGAGACCAGCCTGGCCAACGTGGTGAAGCCCCATATCTACTAAAAATACAAAAAATTGGCCAGGTGCGGTGGCTCACACCTGTAATCCCAGCACTTTGGGAGGCCAAGGCTGGTGGATCACCTGAGGTTGGGAGTTCGAGACCAGCATGACCAACATGGAGAAACCTTATCTCTACTGAAAAATACAAAATTAGCCAGGCGTGGTGGCACATGTCTGTAATCCCAGCTACTCTGGAGGCTGAGGTGGAAGAATCGCTTGAACCCAGGAGGCAGAGGTTGCGGTGAGCCAAGATCTCTCCATTTGCACTTCAGCCTGGGCAACAAGAGCGAAACTGTGTCTCAAAAAAAAATTAATTAATTAAAAATACAAAAAATTAGCTGGGCATGGTGGCATGTGCCTGTAATCCCAGCTACTCCGTAGGCTGAGGGAGGATTGCTTGACCCCGGGGGGCGGAGGTTGCAGTGAGCCTAGATTGTGCCATTGCACTCCAGGCTAGGCAACAAGAGTGAAACTCTGTCTCAAAAAAAAAAAAAAAAGAAGAAAAATAGGCCTCTTGGATATTTTAGTCTGTGCTGGAGACCTGTAGCTTTCTGGAAAGACCTTCCACAGAGTCCCATTGGCAATTTTGAGCCCAAATTCCACAAGCCCACACACTTTCAAGGACATGCAAGGATGTCCAGCCTCCTGCAGGATAAATTAAGCCCCACCCTCACCCTACCCTAAGCAACAGGGACCTCCATGTGAGAAGGCCACATGGAGGAGGAGTTGGTCAAGACTTACCAGTCTCCTCCTCTCTCCTCGACCCCCATAGATACTCTCACTTGTGAAGGTTCCTCTTCCACCTACCCAAGTTTTGCCCACCCCACTCAAGAACAACACCCCCAAGCCTTCCTGACATCTGACTCCTCATTGTCTAGGAAACCTCAAGCTTCTAGAGGGCAATGATTGCCCTTGATAATAAGTTACCATCGGGCCGGGCGCGGTGGCTCACGCCTGTAATCCCAGCACTTTGGGAGGCCGAGGCGGGCGGATCACGAGGTCAGGAGATCGAGACCATCCCGGCTAAAACGGTGAAACCCCGTCTCTACTAAAAATACAAAAAATTAGCCGGGCGTAGTGGCGGGCGCCTGTAGTCCCAGCTACTTGGGAGGCTGAGGCAGGAGAATGGCATGAACCCGGGAGGCGGAGCTTGCAGTGAGCCGAGATCCCGCCACTGCACTCCAGCCTGGGCGACAGAGCGAGACTCCGTCTCGAAAAAAAAAAAAAAAAAAAAAAAAAAAAAAAAAAAAAGTTACCATCACTGAGCGCTGTCCTATATCTTTGGCACACGATATCTCACCATGCCTTCCAGCAACCCTCTGTCACAGTTATTATTGGCCCCACGTTACAGATGAGAAAACTGAGGCCCAAAGGTTAAGTCACTTACTAAAAGTCCCATAGCCAGTAAGTGGCCAAGCTATGGATCTGTGCTTATCTTTGTAACCTTTACTGGGCCTGGCCCAGAATAAGAATTCCACTAATGCTTGCTGAATGAGTCAATGAATGGATACAATTCCATCAAAACTATAGCTACCAGGACCTATCCAACCCTAGGGCCCAGGACACAGAGGCCTTGGAGCCATGTAAGGGGCTTCCAGACCAGTCCAGGAAGAACAAGGCTAGGTTTCTGTCCCTCTCCCACCTTGGGCATGTGGCCAGCAGCTACTTTGAACTTACCTTGGTGGAGTCTTGACACTGTTGAATTATGGGAGTAGTTAGGATCCAGAGACAGAGAGAAGAGGTTGCAGGGCAACATCAGTAAGGAAGAAAAGGCAGAGGCCTCCAGGTTGGCTCACCCCCTTAAAAAAGCAGCAAAAAGGCTGGGTGCAGTGGCTCAAGCCTGTAATCCCAGCACTTTGGGAGGCCAAGGCAGGTGGATCACCTGAGGTCGGGAGTTCAAGGCCAGCCTGAGCAACATGGTGAAACCCCGTCTCTACTAAAAATACAAAAATTAGCCGGGTGTGGTGGCGTGCACCTGTGATCCCGGCTACTTGGGAGGGTGAGACAAGAGAATCGCTTGAACCCGGGAGGTGGAGGTTGCAGTGAGCCAAAATAACACCACTGCACTCCAGCCTGGGCAACAAACAGAGCGAGACTTCCTCTCAAAAAAAAAAAAAAAAAAAAAAAGCAGCAAAAAGGCCTAGGGCCCATTGGATGAACAAAGATATTCTCAGGGTGGCCTGATTATAGGGTCTTCTGCAGTTCTGGGGTTTAGTCTAAGCCCACTTCAGTCGTTATTTGTACTCAGGGTAAGGAATTGGGAGGAGGGCAGGGAAGTAGCCAAATCAAATCATAAAGCCCTTTATTGAGCACCTACTCCATTCCTAGACATTCAAGAAGGCAAAAAGCTGAGAAATAGAAGTCATAGGCAGGGCAGCTGAGAAGCATGTGTTTCTGCTCTTGGGTAGCAAAAGCTGCACCCAGGAAACAAGGAGGTGTGAGGGCCTGGTCTGAGAAGGCCACATGGAGGAGGGATCACTGTAGTGGAGTCTTTGGAGAGGGGAGCAGCTGAATTTCCTACTGGCTTGGTGAACTCCCAGGAAGAGTTCAGCAGTAGCAGGACATGTCCAAGCCTGGTCAGATGGACAAGAATGGTGCAGAGGTGATTGTCCCAGCAGGCCTTGACCAGGCATCCTAGACTTTGCTGGAACTTGCCTGACTCTGAGCAGAATGATCTGGAGTATGGGTCAAGCAGGGGGAGCACAGGGAAAAAGATAGGGGAACTGACAAGAGAGCCATCTGGGCAGCCTCCTGCTGGGCCTTGCATTGCCCCACACAAAGGTCATCTCATTCCTGATTCCTTTCATAATGAAATAAAAGGTGCCCATAATGAGGCCCATGGTGGGACGTGGTGGGACCTGGTGGGGCCCAGTGACTTCAGCAGCAGGACATGGGTCCCAGGAAATCCAGGGAAGCACAGGCATTCTTTGGCTCCCTGTTCCCAGCAGCTGCAGGAAGCTGTTCCAAGCTGCTGGCTCTCCCAGCAGTCCCCAAGGACCGGAGAAAATCTTGTTTCCTGCCATCCCCCCTAATTGGACACAAAGAGTCCTGGATGGGGGCAGCTGAGTACTCCATGGCATGCCCCAGGGAGATCATGGGCTGCCAGACTACATTTAGGAAGGCAGTGTGGAGCCTGTCTCGAGACCAAGCCAGGGAAGGGGATACCATGGATTTCATAACTTATGGTAGGGTCTCCAACCTTCCTTATCTCCATTATCTGAAAAAGCTATAGACAATTTTTCCAGAAACACACCCTCTACACACACCATATTGCTGCAATTTAAAAGAGTCCCTGAAAGTTCTGCAGTACTAGGAGCCCCTGCAATGTGCTTAAGGTCAGAGAAATTCCAGTGTGGTTCTGTCTCAACTGGCTGTGAGCCCTGGGCCCACCCTTGGCCACCTTGACTTGCACTGCCCTCTAGAGCCTGAGGGGTTGGGCTAGGAAAGCCTTGAGAGACTCACCTGCTCTGCCACCTGCTTAGAGCTACTTCAAATCATCCTACAAGAGACAGTGGAAAAGAAATGGCAGCTTCTGGCTGGGTATGGTGCCTTGCGCCAGTAATTCCAGCGCTTGGGGAGATCTAGGTGGGAGAATTGCTTTGCTTGAAGCCAGGAGTTCAGACCAGCCAGGGCAACATAGCAAGACCTTATCTATAAAACAAAAAAAAAAAAGAAAAGAAAAAAAAATTAGCCAGACATGGTGGCATGCATCTGTAGTCCCAGCTACTCAAGAGGCTGAGCTGAGAGGATCCTTTGAGCCCAAGAGGTCGAGTCTGCTGTGAGCTGTGAACATGCCATTGCACTCAAGTCTGGGTGACAGAGACCGAGTTTCTTATTTATGTATTTATTTATTTTTGAGACAGAGTCTCACTCTGTCACCTAGGCTGGAGTGCAATGGCTCAATCACAGCTCACGGTAGCCTCAACCTCCCAGGCTTATGCAATCCTCCCACCTTACCCTCCCAAGCAGCTAGAACTATAGGCACATGCCACCACGCTTGGCTAATTTTTTTGTTTGTTTGTTTTGTTTTTTTACAGGCAGCCTCCTGAGCCAGAGTAGACTCCGAAACACCCCTTGCTAATTTTTGTAATTTTTGTCGAGATAGGGTTTTGCTATGTTGCCCAAGCTGGTTTCTAACTCCTGAGCTCAGGTGATCTGCCCGCCCTGGCCTCCCAAAATGTTGGGATTTCATGCATGAGCCACCTTGCCTGGCCAAGACCCTGTCTGTCTCTGTCTGTCTGTCTTTCTTTCTTTCTTACTTTCTTTCTCCCTCTCTCTCTCTCTTTCTTTCCTTTCTTTCTTTCTCCCTCTCTCTCTCTCTTTCTTTCTTTCCTTCCTTCCTTCCTTCCTTCTTTCCTTCCTTCCTTCCTTTTCTTTCTTTCTTTCTTTCTTTTTTATGGAGTCTTATTCTGTCACCCAGGCTGGAGTGCACTGGTGTGATCTTGGCTCACTGCAACCTCCGCCTCCGCAGGTTCAAGCAATTCTCCTGCTTCAGCCTCCCGAGTAGCTGGGATTACAGGCTCCTGTCACTGCGCCAGGCTAATTTTTTTGTATTTTTAGTGGAGACAGGGTTTCACCATCTTAGCCAGGCTGATCTTGAACTCCTGACCTTGTGATCCACCCGCCTCAGCCTCCCAAAGTGCTGGGATTACAGGCGTGAGCCACCGCTCTTTCTTTTTTGTTTTTTTGAGACGGAGTCTTGCTCTTGTCACCCAGGCTGGAGTGCAATGGGCTCACTGCAACCTCTGGGTCCCAGCTTCAAGCAATTCTCCTGCCTCAGCCTCCCCAGTAGCTGGGATTACAGGCGCCATCCCTCCCAAACCACGCCTGCTTAATTTTTGTATTTTTAATAGAAACGGAGTTTCGCCATGTTGGCCAGGATGGTCTTGAACTCCTGAACTCAGGTGACCCACCCGCCTTGGCCTCCCAAAGTACTGGGATTACAGCCGTGAGCCACTGTGCCCGGCCAACCCTGTTTCTAAAAAAAAAAAAAAAAAGAAAAGAAAGAAAGAAAGAAAGGTAGTTCCAAACTCAGTTGAGAAGCTAGGCCTGCACTTGTGAGTACAGAGCAGTCCACGCCCAATAGATTTGCCTAGACTGTCAACATTGCTTCCTTACCTTCTGCCCGTCCAGATGGGTCTGGCTGCCAGTTTGTGGACTCCTGGAGGCTTTTGAGGCTCTGAGCTCTCATCCACAAACACACACATCCATCACTAATCCTTCTGTTTTTCCTTTTATTTATTGGCAGTATCAGTCACTCACTACATTTATATGTGTGTGTGTATGTATGTATGTGTGTTTGTATGTGTGTGTGTGTGTGTGTGTGTGTGTGTGTATATATATATATATTTTTTTTTTGAGACAGAGTCTCACTCTGTCATCCAGACTGCAGTG
Organism: Homo sapiens; assembly: GCF_000001405.40. Lineage (NCBI taxonomy): Eukaryota > Metazoa > Chordata > Mammalia > Primates > Hominidae > Homo > Homo sapiens. Next base: position 49,452,709 of record NC_000003.12, on the reverse strand, counting down.
CAGTGGCGTGATCTCAGCTCACTGCAACCTCTGCCTCCTGGTTTCAAGTGACTCTCCTGCCTCAGCCTCCCTAGTAGCTGAGATTACAGGTACAGGTACAAGCTGACACATCCAGCTAATTTTTTTTTTTTTTGGTTTTTCTTTGAGACGGAGTCTCACTCTGTCGCCCAGGCTGGAGTCTCATGGTGCGATCTCAGCTCACTGCAACCTCCGCCTCCCGGGTTCAAGCAGTTCTCCTGCCTCAGCCTCCCGAGTAGCTGGGATTACAGGCATGCACCACCACACCCAGCTAATTTTTGTATTTTTTTTTTTTTTGAGATGGAGTCTCGTTCTGTCACCCAGGCTGGAGGTGCAGTGGTGCAAGCTCGGCTCACTGCAAGCTCCGCCTTCCAGGTTCACGCCATTGTCCTGCCTCAGTCTCCCGAGTAGCTGGGACTACAGGCGCCCGACACCACGCCCGGCTAATTTTTTTGTATTTTTAGTAGAGACAGGGTTTCGCTGTGTTAGCCACGATGGTCTCGATCTCCTGACCTCGTGATCTACCCGCCTCGGCCTCCCAAAGTGCTGGGATTACAGGCGTGAGCCACCGCGCCCGGCCAATTTTTGTATTTTTAATAGAGATGGGGTTTCACCATGTTGGCCAAGCTGGTCTCGAATTCACAACCTCAGGTGATTCTCCCGCCTCGGCCTCCCAAAGTGCTGGGATTACAGGCATGAGCCACTACGCCTGGCCAATTTTTTGTATTTTTAGTAGAGACAGGGTTTCCCTATGATGGCCAGACTGGTCTTGAACTCCTGACCTCAGGTGATCCACCCACCTTGGCCTCCCAATGTGTTGTGATTACAGGCATGAGCCACCATGCCTGGCTTTTTGTTTTGTTTTGTTTTTTTGGACAGATCTTGTTTGGTGGCCCAGGCTGGAGTACAGTGGGGCGATCACGGCCCACTGCAGTCTTGAACTCCTGTGCTCAAGCAATCTTCCCACCTCAGCCTCGCAAAGAACTATTTTATTTTATTATTATTATTATTTTTTGAGACAGAGTTTCGCTTTTGTTGCCCAGGCTGGAGTGCCATGGCGCAATCTCAGCTCACCGCAACCTCTGCCTCCCAGGTTCAAGCAATTCTCCTGCCTCAGCCTCCCGAGTAGCTGGGATTACAAGCATGCACCACCATGCCTAGCTAATTTCGTATTTTTAGTAGAGATGGGGTTTCTCCATGCTGAGTCTGGTCTCGAACTCCTAACCTCAGGTGATCTGCCCACCTCGGCCTCCCAAAGTGCTTGGATTACAGGCGTGAGCCACTGCGCCCGGCCTATTTTATTTTATTTTATTTTATTTTTTTGAGACATAGTCTTGCTCTGTGGCCCAGGCTGGAGTGCAATGGCGCAATTTCAGCTCACTACAAACTCTGCCTCCCGGGTTCAAACAATTCTCCTGCCTCGGCCTCCTGAGTAGCTGGGATTACGGGCGCCTGCCACAACGCCCAACTAATTTTGTGTGTGTGTTTTTAGTAGAGATGAGATTTCATCATGTTGGCCAGGCTGGTCTCGAACTCCTGACCTCAAGTGATCCACCCACCTCTGCCTCCCGTAGTGGTGCTGGGTTTACACTGCACTCCAGCCTGGGAGACAGAGCGAGACTCCGTCTCAAAAAACAAACAAACAAACAAAAGCTCTATGAGAGGAGAACCTTTGCTGTATGTTTCTGTGAGAAAAGTGTTCAGTAAATAATAGTTTTTTATTTTATATATATATATATTCGTTTGTTTTTTCTTTTGAGACAGAGTCTTGCTCTGTGGTGCCCAGGTTTGAGTGCTGTGGCGCGATCTTGGCTCACGGCAGCCTCTGCCTCCTGGGTTCAAGCGATTCTCCTGCCTCAGCCTCCCGAGTAGCTGGGACTACAGGTCATCATGCCTTGCTAACTTTTGTATTTTTAGGAGAGACGGGGTTTCACAATGTTGGCTAGGCTGGTCTCAAACTCCTGGCCTCAGGTGATCCACCCGCCTTGGCCTCACAAAGCATTGGGATTACAGGTGTGAGCCACCGTGCCAGGCCTATATTTATTTATTTTTTTTAGAGACAGGGTCTCACTATGTTGCCCAGCCTGGCCTCAAACTCCTGGGATCAAGCAATCCTCCTGCCTCACCCTCCCAAAGTGCTGGGATTACAGGCATGAGCCACTGTACCCAGCAAAATATTTGTTAAATAAAAAAAATCATAAAGCTGAAACTAGATCTATATACAATTTGGCAGAAGGATTCTATGACCACTCATCAGCTGTGTGGCTTTGAGCAAGTTATTCAATCTTCCTATTTTTCCATTCAGTTTTCTTACCTTTCCACTCAGTTTCTTTTCTTTCTTTTTTTTTTTTTTTTTGAGACGGAGTCTCGCTCTCGTCGCCCAGGCTGAAGTGCAATGGCTCGATCTCAGCTCACTGCAACCTCCCCCTCCCAGGTTCAAGGGATTCTCCTGCCTCAGCCTCCCGAGAAGCTGGGATTACAGACGCATACCACCACGCCCGGCTATTTTTTGTATTTTTAGTAGAGACAGGGTTTCCCCTGGCTGGGCATGGTGGCTCACGCCTGTAATCCCAGCACTTTGGGAGGCCGAGGCGGGCGGATCATGAGGTCAGGAGATCGAGACCATCCTGGCCAACATGGTGAAACCTCTTCTCTACTAAAAATACAAAAATTAGCTGAGCGTGGTGGCATGCAACTGTATTCCCAGCTACTCGGGAGGCTGAGGCAAGAGAATCGCTTGAACCCAGGAGGTGAAGGTTGCAGTGAGCCGAGATCACATCACTGTGCTGCAGCCTGGCAACAAAGCAAGACTCCGTCTCAAAAAAAAAAAAAGAGCGAGACGGGGTTTCACCATGTTGGCCAGGCTGGTCTCAAACTCCTGACCTTGTGGTCCGCCTGCCTCGGGCTCCCAAAGTCCTGGGATTACAAATGTGAGCTGCCACGCCTGACCCATTTACTACAAGTTTATGCATACATCCTCTGAGGGCAGGAGTTCTTACCTTGAAGGCTGTGGGCAGTCTTTATGGGTCTCTGGAAAGAAAGAGAGAGAAGGAAGGAAGGAGGGAGGGAAGGAAGGAAGGAGGGAAGGAGGGAGGGAGGAAAAGAAAGAAAGAAGAAGGGAAGGAAGGAAGAAAAAAAAAGGGCTGGGCAGAGAATGAATGGGCTTGCAAAATACTCTTTCAGCCAGCCATTTCCAGAATTCAGGTGTGGACCATACAAAAGGGAGCCTGGCACAGTGTTGTTATTTTTCATTGTCTTGGTAATGCTAGGACATAAGAGCAGAGAAAAACCTTTGGAAAGTTGGGGATCCGAGGTTAAGGTAAGGAATATCATTCCAGGCCCCATCAGCCTTGGATAGATGAGCTTGATTCTCAGAGGCAGGTGATGCTCCATCTTCCAGCAGATGGCGCTAACTGTCCTTATTATATCTGAGGGTTGCCAGGTTAGAGACTGTTCTCGGAGACCTGAGATAGGGACTGGTCGCAGGAAATGGTGCCAAGGAAACGGAAGGTCATCATTCACTAATTAAACACCAACTAAACACCTATGTGCCAAGGCCTATTCTAGACACTGAGAATTTGGCCATGAACAAGACAAAGTCCTACTTTTACAAGGGGTGCATTTTAGAGATGTGTTGTCAAATATGATAGTCACCAGTTTACACATGGCTACTGAGCACTTGAAATGTGGCTAGTCCGCGGGACGCGGTGGCTCATGCCTGTAATCCCAGCACTTTGGGAGGCCGAGGTGGGCAGAATACGAACGAGGTCAGGAGTTCGAGACCAGCCTGACCAACATGGTAAAACCCCGTCTCTACTAAAAATACAAAAATTAGCCGGGCGTGGTGGCGGGTGCCTGTAATCCCAGCTACTCAGGAGGCCGAGGCAGGAGAATCGCTTGAACCTGGGAGGCGGAGGTTGCAGTGAGCCGAGATCGCGCCACTGCACTCCAGCCTGGGCGACAGAGCGAGACTCCATCTCAAAAAAAAAAAAGGGCCAGGCGCTGTGGCTCACGCCTGTAATCCCAGCACTTTGGGAGGCCAAGGCGGGCGGATTGCCTGAGCTCAGGAGTTCGCGACCAGCCTGGGCAACACGGTGAAACCCCGTCTCTACTTAAATACAAAAAATTAGCCGGGCGTGGGTGCCCCTATAGTCCCAGCTACTTGGGAGGCTAAGCCGGAAAATCGCTTGAACCAGGAAGGCGGAGGTTGCAGTGAGCCGAGATCGTGCCACTGCACTCCAGCCTGGGCGACAGAGCGAAACTCCATCTAAAAAAAATAAAAATAAAAATAAAAGAAATGTGGCTAGTTCAAATTGAGATGTGCTGTAAGTGTAAAATATACACCAATGTCAAATATTTCGTATGGAAAAAATGACCTAAACTAATATTTTAAACATTAATTTTTATGTTGAAATGATCATCTTTTATATACAAGTGAAATATCCTATTAAAATAAATTTAACCTATTTCTTTCTTTCTTTTTTTCTTTTTTTTTTTTTTTGAGACGGAGTCTTGCTCTGCTACCCAGGCTGGAGTGCAATGGCATGATTTTTGGCTCATTGCAAACTCCACCTCCTGGGTTCAAGTGATTTTCCTGCCTCAGCCTCCCAAGTAGCTGGAATTACAGGTGCCCACCACCACACCCAGCTAATTTTTGTATTTTTAGTAGAGACGGGGTTTCACCATGTTGGTCAGGCTGGTCTTGATCTCCTGACCTCAGATGATCCACCTGCCTTGGCCTCCCAAAGTGCTGGGATTACAGGCGTGAGCCACCGTGTCTGGCCTCACTATGTCGCCCAGGTTAGAGTTTAGTGGCATGATCATGGCACACTGCAGCCTCCACCTCCCAGGTTCAATCGATTCTCATGTCTCAGCCTTCCCGAGTAGCTGGGATTTACAGGCAGATGCTACCACACCCAGATAATTTTTTTTTTTTGAGATGGAGTCTCGCTCTGTCGCCCAGGCTGGATGGAGTGCAGTGGTGCAATCTCGGCTCACTGCAAGTTCCACCTCCCGGGTTCATGCCATTCTCCTGCCTCAGCCTCCCTAGTAACTGGGACTACAGGCGCCCGCCACCACGCCTGGCTAATTTTTTGTATTTTTAGTAGAGACAGGGTTTCTCTATGTTGGCCAGTCTGGTCTTGAACTCCCGGCCTCAAGTGATCCACCTGCCTTGGCCTTCCAAAGTGCTGGGATTACAGGCATGGGCCACCTTGCCCAGCCGAGACTTTTTATTTATTTAGTTATTTTGAGATAGGGTCTTGCTCTGTTGCCCAGGCTAGAGTGCAGTAATATAATCATGGCTCACTGCAGGCTAAAACTCTCCAGCTCAAGCAATCCTCTTGTGCCTCGGTCTCCCGAGTAGCTGGGACTACAGGCGTGTACCACCATGCCCACCAATTTTTTTTTTTTTTTTTTTTTTTTTGGTAGAGATGAGGTTTCCCTCTGTTGCCAAGGCTGGTCTTAAACTTCTGGGTGCAAGTGATCCTCCTGATTGGGCCTCCCAAAGTGCTTGGATTACAGTTGTGAGTCACCTCGCCCAGCCTAAGGGAGACTTTAACTATGAGTTATATCTATCTATGTTTATGATATTAGAAATTAAAACTGAGAAAACTTTAAACTATTTCTTTTTGTTTGTTTTCTTTTTATTGAGACAGGGTCTCACTCTGTCACCCAGGCTGGACTGCAATGCTGAGATCATATGTCACTACAGCCTTGACCTTCTGGGCTCAAGTGATCCTCCTGCCTCAACCCCCTGAGTAGCTGGGACTACAGGTGTGTGCAACCACACCCAGCTAATTTTTCTTTTTTTTTGCAATGTTTGTGGAGATGGGGTTTTGCCATGTTGCCCAGGCTGTTCTCTAACTCCTGACCTCTGGTGACCCGCCTGCCCTGGCCTCCCAAAGTTTTGGGATTACAGGTGTGAGCCACAGCACCCGGCTACTATTTGCCTATAAACAATAGGCCGGGTGGGTCACCTGAGTATTAAATCATATTTATAGCAGGCCATTGGTTTGGGTAGAACTCCTGTACTAGGCCCAAAAGACCAAACCAAAATTGAGTTACTTGTGCTGAAGTGCCATTCCACGAAGCTGCAACTAAATTATTTATCTAATCTTCCAAGAAATTAGGAGAGAGAGGCCGAGTGCAGTGGCTCATGCCTGTAATCCCAGGACTTTGTGAGGGCGAGGCAGGCGGATCACTAGAGGTCAGAAGTTCAAGACCAGCCTGACCAACATGAAGAAACTCCATCTCTACTAAAAATACAAAATCAGCCCGGCGTGGTGGCGCATACCTGTAATCCCAGCTACTTGGGAGGCTGAGGCAGGAGAATTGCTTGAACCCAGGAGGCAGAGGTTGCAGTGAGTGAAGATCATGCCATTGCACTCCAGCCTGGGCAACAAGAGCAAAACTCCATCTCAAAAAAAAAAAAGAAAGAAAGAAAAAGAAAAGAAATCAGGAGAGAGAGAGATAATAGCCAAATCTCCAAACAAGTCAATTTTAGACAACATGATAGAGAAATTCCCTCTGCTTTAACCTCTACAAAGAACATACTTTTGAAAGAACCAATCCCCTTTTGTTCACTGTTTCTGCTTTCCTCAACCCTTTTCTGCCTACGCAGCCAAACTGCTCTGCTCAGTTCATCAGAACACTCACTGTATTTTATTTTATTTTATTTTTTTGAAACAGAGCCTCACTCTGTTGCCCAAGCTGGAGTGCAGTGGCGCAATCTCAGCTTATTGCAACCTCCACCTTCCGGGTTTAAGAGATTCTTGTGCCTCAGCCTCTGGAGTAGCTAGGATTACAGGCATGTGCCACCACACCTGGCTAATTTTTGCATTTTTTAGTAGAGACGGGGTTTCACCATGTTGGCCAGGCTGGTCTTGAACCCCTGGCCTCAAGAGATCCACCTGCCTCAGCCTCCCAAAGTGTTGGGATTACAGGCGTGAGCCACCACGCCCAGCCTCATTCTATTTTATAGAATGAAGTGTTGCCTGATTGTGGAATCATAGATAAAAGCCAGTTAAGATCCTTAAACTAGCTGGGCACTGTGGCGTGCACCTGTAGTCTCAGCTACTCAGAAAGCTGAGATGGGAGAGTCACCTGAGCCCAGGAGTTCAAGGCTTCAGTGAGCCACTCCACTGCATTCCAGCCTGAGCGACAGAGATTCTATCTCAGAAAAAAAAAAAAAAAAGAAAGAAAAGAAAAAAGGAAAAAAAAGGAGATCCTTGCTGGGCACAGTGGCTCACGCCTGTAATCCCAACACTTTGGGAGTCCAAGACAGGTGGGTCACCTGAAGTCAGGAGTTCAAGACCAGCCTGGCCAACATGGTGAAACCCTGATTCTACTAAAAATACAAAAATTAGCCAGGTGTGGTGGCGGGTGCCTGTAATCCCAGCTACTCAGGAGGCTGTGGCAGGAGAATCATTTGAACCTGGGAGGTAGAGGTTGCAGTGACCTGAGACTGCGCCATTCCACTCCAATCTGGGCAACAAGAGCAAAATTCCATCTCAAAAAAAAAAAAAAAGCGATCCTTAAACTAAATTTGTTGTGATTTTGTTTTTGACAAGATTGGAAGATGGATTAAAAGAGACAAGATCCAGCTATATGCTGCCCCCAAGAGTCTTACTTTAAATATAAGGACACTTTGGGAAGTTGAGGTGGGCAGATTGCTTGAGCTCAGGGTTTCGAGACCAGCCTTGGCAACACCATGAAACCCAGTCTCTACAAAAAATACAAAAACTAGCTGGGTAGGGTGGCCTATGCTTGTAGTCCCAGCTATTCAGGAGGCTGAAGTGGGAGGATGGCTGAGATAGGCCACTGCACTCCAGCCTGGGCAACAGAGCCAGACCTTGTCTCAAAGAAAGAATGAATGAATGAATGAATGGCCGGGCGTGGTGGCTCACACCTGTAACCCCAGCTCTTAGGTAGGCAGAGGCAGGAGAATAGCTTGAGCCCAGGAGTTCCAGACCTGCCTGGGCAATATAGCGAGACCCCATTCTCCACCAAAAAAAAAAAAAAGACAATAAATAAATAAATGAACACAAAGAAATTATAAGAAATGGCCAGGCCCAGTGGCTCACGCCTGGCACTTTCAAAATCCTAGCACTTTGAGAGGCTGAGGCGGGCAGATCACATGAGGTCAGGAGTTCGAGACCAGCCTGGACAACATGGGGAAACCCCGTCTCTACTAAAAATACTAAAAATTAGCCAGGCGTGGTGGTGGGCGCCTGTGATCCCAGCTACTTGGGAGGCTGAGGCAGGAGAAGTGCTTGATCCCAGGAGGTGGAGGTTATAGTGAGCCGAGATCATGCCACTGCACTCCAGCCTGGGGAACAGAGCGAGACTCTGTCTCAAAGAAAAAAAGAAAAAAAAGAAAAAAATTGTAAGAAAAAATAGCTCAGAGCAGTCTGAATTATGTGTGGTGTGCAGGCACAGAGAGACTTCCGGTATGAAACTTCAGTCATGCTCCCTCCCTCAAGCCCATGCCTGGGGGCAGTTGCTTAAGGTTATTTTGGGTCAGGCACAGTGACTCATGCCTGTAATTCCAGTGCTTTGGGAGACAGAGGCAGGAGGATCCCTTGAGGCCAGGAGTTTGAGACCAGCCTGAACAACATAGTGAGCTCCTGTCTTTACGAAAAAAAGTAAAGAAAAATATTCTTGCTGTAGCCTGAGCCTGCAGTCCTAGTGCTAGTCCCAAGAGGAGTGCTTGAGCCCAGGAGTTTGAGGCTGCAGTGAGCTATGATTACACCACTACACTCCAGCCTAGGTGACAGAAGCAATAGCTTGTCTTGAAAAAAAAAGTCATTTTGTTCTTGACTGCCTCACCCATTATCTTCATGCTCCTGGAATTTGTGATATAAAGAAGCAATGGGGCCTGGGCAGGGTGGCTCACACTTGTAATCCCAGCACTTTGGGAGACTGAGACTGGAGGATTGCTTGAGTCCAGGAGACCAGCCTGGGGAACATAGTGACACCCTGTCTCAATTAAAAAAAAGAAAAAAGAAACAATATATAAGCAATCAATGGCTTATGTTATTTTAATATAAGTTATTGGTAACAACTCAGGAATTGCTTCTTCTTTCCTTTAAAAATCCACCTGTACAGCCAGCATGGTGGCTCATGCCTATAATCCCAGCACTTTGGGAGGCCGAGGCAGGCAGATCACCTGAGGTCGGGAGTTCGAGACCGGTCTGACCAAAATGGAGAAACCCCATCTCTACTAAAAATACAAAATTAGCTGGGCGTGGTGGCACATGCCTATAATCCCAGCTATTCCAGGGGCTGAGGCAGGAGAATCGCTTGAACCTGGGAGGCAGAGGATACAGTGAACTGAGATCTCGCCATTGCACTCCAGCCTGGGCAACAAGAATGAAACTTCATTTAAAAAAAAAAAAAAAAAAAGACCAGGCTGGGCTCAGTGGCTCACGCCTGTAATCCCAGCACTTTGGGAGGCTGAGGCGGGTGGACCACGAGGTCAGGAATTCAAGACCAGCCTGGCCAAGATGGTGAAACCCAATCTCTACTAAAAATATAAAAATTAGCCAGGTGTGGTGGCAAGCGCCTGTAATGCCAGCTACTCGGGAGGCTAAGGTAGAGAATTGCTTAAACCCGGGAGGCAGAGGTTGCAGTGAGAAGACATTGCGCCACTGCACTCCAGCCTGGGCAACAGAGTGAGACTCAGTCTCAAAAACAAAACAAAACAACAACAAAAAATAAATGGCTGGGCACTGTGTCTCACACCTGTAATCCCTGCACTTTGGGAGGCCGAAGGGGGCGGGATGACGAGGTCAGGAAATCGAGACCATCCTGGCCAACATGGTGCAACCCCATCTTTACTAAAAATACAAAAATTAGCTGGGTATAGTGGTGCATGCCTGTAATCCCAGCTACTCAGGAGGCTGAGGCATGAGAATCACTTTAACCCAGGAGGTGGAGGTTGCAGTGAGCCAAGATCACACCACTGCACTCCGGCCTGGTGACAGAGCAAGACTCTGTCTCGGCCGGGTGTGGTGTCTTACACCTGTAATCCCAGCACTTTGGGAGGCTGAGGTGGGCGGATTATCTGAGGTCAAGAGTTCGAGACCAGCCTGGCCAACAAGCTGAAACCCCATCTCTACTAAAAATACAAAAATTAGCCAGGTGTGGTGGTGGGCACCTGTAATCCCAGCTACTCAAATGACTGAGGCAGGAGAATCGCTTGAACCTGGGAGGTGGAGGTTACAGTGAGCCGAGATTGAGCCATTGCACTCCAGCCTGGGTGACAGAGCGAGACTCCGTTTCAAAAATAATAATAATAATAATCCATCTGTACTTGCTACTAATCAGCATATATATATATATATATATATATATATATTTTTTTTTTTTTTTTTTTTTTTTTTTTTTTTTGAGACTCTGTTGCCCAGGCTGGAGTGCAGTGGTGTGATCTCAGCTCACTGCAACCTCCACCTCCCGGGTTCAAGCGATTATCCTGACTAAGCCTTCCAAGTAGCTGGGATTACAGGCACCCACCACCATGCCCGGCTAATTTTTCTATTTTTAGTAGAGACAGGGTTTCATCATGTTGGCCAGGCTGGTCTTGAACTTCTGACCTCAGGTGATCCACCCACCTCAGCCTCCCAAAGTGCTGGGATTACAGGCATGAGCCACTGCACCCGGCCATCAGTGTATTATTATTATTTTGTTTGTTTGTTTGTTTGTTTGTTTTTTGAGACGGAGTCTCACTCTGTCACCTGGGCTGGAGTGCAGTGGCGAGATCTTGGCTCACTGCAACCTCTGCCTCCCAGGTTCAAGTGATTCTCCTGCCTCAGCCTTCCGAGTAGCTGGGATTATAGGCGCCCGCCACTACGCCTCGCTAATTATTTGTATTTTTTTTAGTAGAGACAGGGTTTCATCATGTTAGCCAGGCTGGTCTCAAACTCCTGACCTTGTGATCTGCCTGCCTTGGCCTGCCAACGTGCTGGGATTACAGGTGTGAGCCACTGTGCCTGACTTTTTTTTTTCTTTCTTTTTTTTTTTTTGAGACGGAGTCTCACTCCATTGCTGAGGCTGGAGTGCAGTGGCATGATCTTGGCTTACTGCAACCTCTGCTTCCCAGCTCCAAGCAATTCTCCTGCCTCAGCCTCCCAAGTAGCTGGGATTACAGGTGCGCACCACCACACCCGGCTAATTTTTTGTGTGTTTTTAGTAGAGACGGGGTTTCACCATGTTGGTCATGCTGGTCTCGAACTCCTGACTTGTGTTCTGTTCACCTCAGCCTTCCAACGTGCTGGGATTACAGGTGTGAGCCATGGCACCTGGCCCAGTGTATATTATTAAGGACAACACAATAGTATGTTCTTGGGTAGAATATTAATCTATGTTCTTGGGTAGCAATCCTCAAGCTTGGCCCAAATAAACTCTCTACTTATATTAATTTTGCCTCAGCTTCCTCTTTTTAGCTTTACATAAGAAAAGGGTGGAAAAATATATTCCATGCAAATAATAACCAAAAGAGAGCTGGAGTGGCTATATTATTGTAAGTGAAAATAGACTCAAATCAGGTTACAAGAGGCAAAGACATTATATGTGTGTCCTTATATATCTGGACAGACACACACAGACACACATGCATATTTTTTCAAGATAGGTCACCCAGGATGGGGTGCAGTGGCATGAATACAGCTCTCTGCACCCTCCACCTCCCAGGTTCAAGTGATCCTCCAACGTTATCCTGAGTAGCTGGGACTACAGACATGGACCACCACACTCAGGTAGTTTTTTTTTTTTTTTTTTTTTGAGACAGAGTTTTGCTCTTGTTGCCCAGGCTGGAGGGCAATGGTGTGATCTTGGCAGCTCACTGCAACCTACGCCTCCTGGGTTCAGGCGATTCTCCTGCCTCAGCCTCCTGAGTAGCTGGAATTACAGGGGCCCACCACCACGCCTGGCTAATTTTGTATTTGTTTTTTTTTTTAGTAGAGAAAGGGTTTCTCCATGTTGGTTAGGCTGGTCTCCCACTCCCGACCTCAGGTTATCCGCCCGCCTCAGCCTCTCAAAGTGCTGGGATTACAGACATGAGCCACCTTGCCTGGCCAATTTTTTACTTTTTGTAGAAATCGGGCCTCCCCAGAGGTTGCAGTGAGCCAAGATTGTGCCACTACACTGCAGCCTGGGTGACAGAGTAGGACTGTCAAAAAAGAAAAGAAAGGGCCGGGCACAGTGGCTCACGCCTGTAATCTCAGCACTTTTGGAGGCTGACATGGGCAGATCACCTGAGGTCGGGAGTTCGAAGCCAGCCTGACCAACATGGTGAAACCCCATCTCTACTAAAATTATCAAATTAGCTGGGTGTGGTGGCGCATGCCTGTAATCCCAGCTACTCGAGAGGCTGAGGCAGAAGAATCGCTTGAATCTGGGAGGTGGAGATTGCGGTGAGCCAAGACCGCACCATTGCACTCCAGCCTGGACAACAAGAGCGAAACTCTGTCGCAAAAACAAAACAAAACAAAGCCGGGGGTGATGGCACGCTCCTGTAGTGCCAGCTACTTGGGAGACTGAGGCAGGTGAATCGCTTGAACCCAGGAGGCAGAGATTGCAGGGAGCCGAAATCTTGCCATTGCACTCCAGCCTGGGCGACAGAGCAAACTCTGTCTCAAAAATAAATAAATAGGCTGGGCGCGGTGGCTCACGCCTGTAATCCCAGCACTTTGGGAGGCCTAGACAGGAGGATCATGAGGTCAGGAGATCAAGACTATCCTGGCCAACATGGTGATACCCCGTCAAAAATTAGCTGGCCGTGGTGGCGTGTGCCTGTAGTCCCAGCTACTTGGGAGGCTGAGGCAGGAGAAACGCCTGAACCCAGGAGGCAGAGGTTGCAGTGAGTTGAGATCATGCCACTGCACTCCAGCATGAGGTCAGAGCAAGACTCTGTCTCAAAATAAAAAAATAAATAGGCCCATGCCAGGTGCAGTGGCTCACGCCTGTAATCCCAGCACTTTGGGAGGCCGAGGCAGGCGGATCACCTGAGGTCAGGAGTTCGAGACCAACCTGACCAACATGGAGTAACCCCGTCTCTACTAAAAAATACAAAATTAGCAGGGTGTGGTGGTACATGCCTGTAATCCCAGCTACTTGGGAGGCTGAGGCAGGAGAATCGCTTGAACTCAGGAGGCAGAGGTTGCGGTGAGCCGAGAATGCGCCATTGCACTCCAGCCTGAGCAACAACAGTGAAACTCCGTCTCAAAAAATATATAAATATAAATATAAATAAATAAATAGGCCTGGCGTGGTGGCTCACACCTGTAATCCCAGCACTTTGGGAAGCCAAACAGGGTGGATCATGAGGTCAGGAGTTCAAGACCAGCCTGGCCAAGATGGTGAAACCCCGTCTCTACTAAAAATACAAAAATTACCTGGGTATGGTGGCAGGTGCCTGTAATCCCAGCTACTCAGGAGGCTGAGGCACGAGAATCGCTTGAACCTGGGAGGTGGAGGTTGCAGTGAGCCGAGATCGTGCCACTGCACTCCAGCCTGGGCAACAGAGTGAGACTCCAACTCAAAAATAAATAAATACATAAATAAGGCCGAGCACGGTGGCCCACGCCTGTAATCCCAGCACGTTGGGAGGCCGAGGTGGGTGGATCACTTTAGATCAGGAGTTCGAGACCAGCCTGGCCAACATGGTGAAACCCTGTCTCTACTAAAAATACAAAAACTAGCCAGGCGTGGTGGCACGTGCCTGTAATCCCAGCTTCTTTTGAGGCTGAGGCAGGAGAATTGCTTGAACCTGGAAGGCAGAAGGTGTAGTGAGCCAAGATCATGCCACTGCACTCCAGGCTGAGGGACAAGAGTGAAACTCTGACTGTAACAAAGAAAATAAATAAATAAATAAATAAATAAAGCCAGGCACGGTGGCTCACACCTGTAATTCCAGCACTTTGGGAGGCCAAGGTGAGTGGATCACTTGACATCAGGAATTTGAGACCAGCCTGGCCAACATGGTGAAACCCCGTCTCTACTAAAAATGCAAAAATTAGTCAGGTGTGGTGGCACACACCTGTAATCCCAGCTACTCAGGAGACTGAGGCAGCAGAATCTCTTGAACCTGGGAGGAGGAGGTTGCAGTGAGCTGAGATTGTGCAACTGCACTCCAGCCTGGGCGACAGAGCAAGACTCCATCTCAAAAAATAAAAATAAAAAATAAAACTATGAAAAGGACAGTGGTAGGCCGGGCACAGTGGCTCACGCCTGTAATCTCAACACTTCGGGAGGCCGAGGCGGGTGGATCACCTGAGGTCGGGAGTTTGAGACCATCCTGACCAACATGGAGAATCCCTGTATCTACTAAAAATACAAAATTAGCCAGGCGTGGTGGCGCATGCCTGTAATCCCAGCTACTAGGGAGGCTGAGGCAGGAGAATCGCCTGAACTCGGGAGGCGGAGGTTGCAGTGAGCCGAGATCGTGCCATTGCCCTCCAGCCTGGGCAACAAGAGCAAAACTCCGTCCAAGAAAAAAAAATAAAAGGGCAGTGGTAGTTATATGTATATAAACAATTTGTTTTTGGAGAGTCAGGGTCTGGCTATGTTGCCCAGGCTGGAGAGCAGTGGCTATTTACAGGTGTGATCAGGTATGTGCAATCTCTTTTGGCTGACTGGTAATTTTGAAATGAATGCCAAACATTGTAAATTTTACCTTTTCAAATGCTGGATAGCATTGTATTCCTATAGATATTTTTGAGCATTGTTCTTTAATACATTTAAACATTTGATTATTTTGAGGCTTGATTTTAATCTTTGTTAGGTAGGATCAGAGTAGATTTTAGCTTCACACAAATTTTCATCCATAATGTATGGCAATACCCTTTTTTTTTTTTCTGGAGACAGAGTATTGGTCTGTCGCCCAGGCTGGAGTGCCCTGTCACGTTCTTGGGTCACTGCAACCTCTGCCTCCTGGGTTCAAGCAGTTCTCATGTCTCAGCTTCCCAGGTAGCTGGGCTTACAGGTGTGCACCAACAATACACCTGGCTAATTTTTGTATTTTTAGTAGACATGGGGTTTCCTCATGTTGATCACGCTGGTCTCAAACTCTTGGCCTCAAGTAATCCACCTGCCTCAGCCTCCCAGAGTGCTGGCCAGCAATACCCTTTTTTTTGAGAAGGAGTTTTGCTCTTGTTGCCCAGGCTGGAGTGCAATGGCGCAATCTTGGCTCACCACAACCTCTGCCTCCCGGGTTCAAGCGATTCTCCTGCCTCAGCCTCCTGAGTAGCTGGGATTACAGGCATGTGCCACCACGCCCAGCTAATTTTGTATTTTTAGTAGAGATGGGGTTTCTCCGTGTTGGTCAGGCTGGTCTCGAACTCCCGACCTCAGGTGATCTGCTCACCTCAGCATCCCAAAGTGCTGGGTTACAGGCATGAGCCACCTCACCTGGCCTTTTTTTTTTTTTTCTGTTTTTTTTTTTGAGATGGAGTCTCACTCTGTTGCCCAGGCTGGAGTGCAGTGGCGCAATCTTGGCTTACTGCAACCTCTGCCTCCCGGGTTCTAGCGATTCTCCTGTCTCAGCCTCCTGAGTAGGTGGGACTATAGGCACGCATCACCACACCTGGCTAATTTTTTATATTTTTAGTAGAGATGAGGTTTCATCATATTAGCCAGGCTGGTCTCGAACTCCTGATCTCATGATCCGCCCCCATCGGCCTTCCACAGTGCTGGGATTACAGGCATGAGCCACCGCACCCGGCCCAGCAATACCCGTTTAAGCATGCTACACAATGCCCCATGAATTAGGAGGGCTTTAGCTATGGCTGGTGGAAACACAATTTCTGGCTCAGACTAAGAGTTGCTGATTGTTATTTTTACTCTTTTTGGGTAATTCTTTCACTGGCTTGGGTAGTTTCCTCACATACTCGTAAGATTTGGTGATAGTTATCTTATTCTTTTTTGTTTGTTTGTTTGTTTTTTGAGACGGAGTTTCACTCTTTTTGCCCAGGCTGGAGTGCAATGGCACGATCTCGGCTCACTGCAACCTCCGCCTACCAGGTTCAAGCAATTCTCCTGCCTCAGCCTCCCAAGCAGCTGGGATTACAGGCACCCACCACCATACCTGGCTAATTTTTTGTATTTTTAGTAGAGACGGGGTTTCACCATGTTGGCCAGGATGGTCTTGATCTCTTGACCTCGTGATCTGCCCACCTTGGCCTCCCAAAGTGCTGGGATTACAGGTGTGAGCCACCGGGCCTGGCCTAGTTATCTTATTCTTTTTGGGTAATTCTCTCCCTGGGGTTGGGTAGTTTCCTCACATACTTGTGCTGATTATCACTCAGCTGAAGCCTCAAGGAACCGCCTTGGAAATCGCCTGTTATCTCTCTATGGAGTTCTGTCCTCTCTAATCTCTAATCATTTTGCCTCTCCAAATTGCCACTTTGTTTCTCTTATTTTTTATTTTTCTTTTTTTAAGATGGAG
This sequence comes from Homo sapiens, assembly GCF_000001405.40. Classification (NCBI taxonomy): domain Eukaryota; kingdom Metazoa; phylum Chordata; class Mammalia; order Primates; family Hominidae; genus Homo; species Homo sapiens. The sequence continues at coordinate 49,436,247 of NC_000003.12, read as the reverse complement.
TCTCCCTCTGTCACCGAGGATGGAGTGCAGTGGCGCGATCTCAGCTTACTGCAACCTCTGCCTCCCAGGTTCAAGAGATTCTCCTGCCTCAGCCTCCCAAGTAGCTGGGACTACAGGTGTGCACCACCACGCCCAGCTAATTTTTGTATTTTTTTTTTTATTTTCAAGATGGAGTTTCACTCTTGTCACCCAGGCTGGAGTGCAATGGCGTAATCTCGGCTTACTGCAACCTCTGCCTTCCGGGTTGAAGCGATTTCTCCTGCCTCAGCCTCCCAAGTACCTAGGATTACAGGCTCATGCCACCATACTGGACTTTTTTTTTTTTTTTTGAGACAGAGTTTCCCTTTTGTTGCCCAGGCTGAAGTGCAATGGCTCGATCTTGGCTCACTGCAACCTCCACCTCCTGGGTTCAAGCGATTCTCCTGCCTCAGCCTCCTGAGTAGCTGGGATTACAAGCATGGGCCACCATGCCTGGCTAATTTTTTTGTATTTTTAGTAGAGACGGGGTTTCTCCATGTTGGTCAGGCTGGTCTCAAACTCCCGACGTCAGGTGATCCGCCCGCCTTGGCCTCCCAGCATGCTGGGATTACAGGTGTAAGCCACCGCGCCCGGCCTTTTTTTGTATTTTTAGTAGAGATGGGGTTTAGCCATGTAGGCCAGGCTGGTCTCGAACTCCTGACCTCAAATAATCCGCCTGCCTTGGCCTCCCAAAGTGCTGGGATTACAGGTGTGAGCCACCTCACCTGGCCTAATTTTTGTTTTTGTTTTTTTTTTTTTGAGACGGAGTTTCGCTCTTGTTGCCCAGGCTGGAGTGCAATGGCGCGATCTTGGCTCACCGCAACCTCTGTCTCCCGGGTTCAAGCAATTCTCTTGCCTCAGCTCCAAGTAGCTGGGATTACAGGCATGCACCACCACCCCGGCTAATTTTGTATTTTTAGTAGAGACGGGGTTTCTCCATGTTAGCCAGGATGGTCTCGATCTCCTGACCTTGTGATCCGCCCGCCTCTTCCTCCCAAAGTGCTGGGATTACAGGTGTGAGCCACTGCGCCCGGCTTTATATTCTTATTTTTTGTGATCTTGGCTCACTGCAGCCTCGAACTCCTGGCCTCGGTGATTCTCCAATGTCAGCCTCCTGAGTAGCTGGAACTACCGGCATGAGCCACCATGCTCGGCTAATTTTTGTATTTTTTGTAGAGACGGAGTTTCACCATGGCTGACCTCAAACTCCTGGGCTCACACAATCATCTTGCCTCAGCCTCCCAAAGTGCTGGGATTGCAGGCATAAACCACTGTGCTCAGCCTTTTTTCTTCCTTTTTTTTTTTTTGAGACAGATTCTCACTCTGTCACCTAGGTTGGATTGTGGTGGTGTGATACAGCCGTGACTCAGGCTCAAGAGATCCTCCAGCCTCAGCCTCCTAAAGTGCTGGGATTATAGGCATGAGCCACTGTGCTTGCCTATCTGGTTCTTTTTTTTTTCTTTTGAGACGGAGTCTCACTCTGTCACACAGGCTGGAGTGCAGTGGCGTGATCTCGGCTCACTGCAACCTCTGCCTCCCAGGTTCAAGCAATTCTCCTGCTTCAGCCTCCCAAGTAGCTGGGACTACAGGTGCGTGCCACCACGCCCGGCTAATTTTTTGTATTTTTAGTAGAGGCGGAGTTTCACAGCGTTAGCCAGGATGGTCTCAATCTCCTGACCTCGTGATCCACTCGCCTTTCCTCCCAAAGTGCTAGGATTACAGGTTTGAGCCACGGTGCCCGGCCGCATTTTTGAGATGAAGTCTTGCTCTGTTGCCAGGCTGGAGTGCAGAGGCGTGATTGTTGCTCACTGCCACCTCTGCCTCCCGGGTTCAAGTGATTCTCCTGCCTCAGCTTCTCAAGTAGCTGGGACTACAAGTGTGCACCACCATACCCGGCTAATTTTTGTATTTTCAGTAGTGACAGGGTTTCACTATGTTGGCCAGGCTGATCTTGAACTCCTGATCTTGTGATCCACCCTCGTCAGCCTCCAAAAGTGCTGGGACTACAGGCTTGAGCCACCGTCCCAGCCTCCATCTTGGTTTTAAGTGGAAGTTCCTAACACCAAGCAATATGGGCATGGTGGCTCTGGGATGAAACCTCAGCAATTAGGGAGGCAGAGGTAGGAGGATTGCTTAAACCCAGGAGTTCCAGACCAGTTGGCAACAAAGTAAGACCCTTATCTTTTTTTTTTTGAGACAGATGGAGTTTCGCCCTGTGGCCTAGGCTGGAGTGCAGTGGTGTGATTTAGGCTCACTGAAACCTCCACCTCCTGGGTTCAAGCCATTCTCCTGCCTCAGCCTCCCTAGTAACTGGGACTACAGACGCGCGCCACCATGCCCAGCTAATTTTTGTATTTTAGTAGAGACGGGGTTTCACCATGTTGGCCAGCATGGTCTGGATCTCTTGACCTGGTGATCTGCCCTCTTCAGCATCCCAAATTGCTGGGATTATAGGCGTGAACCACCGCGCCTGTCCTGTTTTGTTTTATAGAGATGTGTGTCACACTATGTTGCCCAGGCTGGTCTTGAACTCCTGTGCTCAAGCAATCCTTTCACCTTGGCCTTCCTACATGTTGTGATTATAGGTGTGAGCCTCTGTGCCCTGCCTTATTGAGAGCTATTGGACATGGCTGTAAAACAGAGAGAATCAATGAGGATTTCACATTGAAAAACCTGCCTGCCACAATTGGGCAATGTATTGAAGGGGCTGGAGTGAAAGTGGCTGTTTACCAGCAAGCTAAGAGGTGAAACTCATCTGTAATGAGGGGCCATACAGTTCTGTGTCTGCTGGTGGCTGTGCTCACAGAGATGGGACCTAAAGCCAGAGCTTGTCTGGATCCTCCTGATGCCCAGGGGGTCCATACTGTAATCCATGGGATTTGGGAAGGGCTCTGCTTCAGCACGGGCAGGCTTCCTATAGGGGAATATCTCAGGAACATGGAGGGAGCTACACAGTGAATCATTAGCCTGGGTCAAAATGGAGATGGCAATGATCAGACCAGTCCAACATTAGAAATTGTCTTCCCCTGACAACACCCAAGGAGGAGGCAGGGAATGTTTTCTGTTACTTAAGTTCACCAGGCCTGGAGTGGGAAGGCACAGCTCCTCTAGGCCATTCCTTGGGATGGCCTGGAATCATGTGCCTGGGCTTGTTTGACCTCACATCATGAGAGCCCCATAGGCTGTGCAGGATCTGTGTCTCTGGGGCCCCTCAATATAGAGTAGACACAGGTTAACTGAAGCTGACCATTGCCTGGGGGGTTCTGACCTGTGAGATGGGAGCCAAAGGGAGGCCAGGGTTCCAGCTTTACTCCACGCTGTTTTCCTGGGTTGGGGAAATCACTGGACATCTTCTGTCTGAGCTTTGCCATCTATAAAACAGGCTTGGCTGGGCGTGGTGGCTCATGTCTGTAATCCCAGCACTTTGGGAGGCCGAGGCAGGCGGATCACAAGGTCAGGAGTTCGAGACCAGCCTGAGCAACATGGAGAAACCCTGTCTCTACTAAAAATACAAAAATTAGCTGGGCGTGGTGGCACACGCCTGTAATCCCAGCTACTCAGGAGGTTGAGGCAGGAGAATCTCTTGAACCCGGGAAGCGGAGGTTGCAGTGAGCTGAGATCGTGCCACCGCACTCCAGCCTGGGTGACAGAGCAAGACTCCGTCTCAAAAAATAAATAAATAAATAAATAAATAAATAAAACAGGCTTAACTGAAAATCTCTTGGACATTTTTTCCACAAGTATTTGGAAGAATGGTGATGATAAATATGATGGTTAAATTGTGTGTGTGGTTTTTGCTTCTGTTTTGTTTTTGAGACAGGGTCTCACTCTGTCACCCAGGTTGGAGTGTAGTGATGCAATTTCAAGGCTCACTGCAGCCTTGACCTCCCAGACTCAAGTGATCTTCCCACCTCAGCCTCCCAAATAGCTGGGACTACACAGGCACACACCCCCACGCCCGGTTAATTTTTGTATTTTTTGTAGAGATATACTTTCACCATGTTGCCCAGGCTGGTCTCGAACTCCTGAGCTCAAGCTATCCACCTGCCTCAGCCTCCCAAAGTGCTAGGATTACAGACATGAGCCACCGTGCCCGGTCAATATTTACTTTTTTGCTTTACTTTTTCGTTTTTTCCCCCCACAACCACTCCCTCCCCCATCCCCTTCTCGCTGTTTTTTTTTTTTTTGAGACGGAGTCGCCCAGGCTGGAGTGCAGTGGTGTGACCTCGGCTCACTGCAACCTCTGCCTCCCAGGTTCGAGTGATTCTCCTGCCTCAGCCTCCCAAGTAGCTGGGACTACAGGTTCGTGCCACCACGCCTGGCTAATTTTTTGTATTTTTAGTAGAGATGGAGTTTCACCGTGTTAGCCAGGCTGTTCTCGATCTCCTGACCTCAGGATCTGCCTGCCTTGGCCTCCCAAAGTGCTGGGATTACAGGCGTGAGCCACTGCGCTCGGCCCCTTCTCACTCTTAAGATCATGTTTATTGAGGTATAATTTAGATACAATAAAATGAACAAATCATAAGTATTCAGTTTATTTGTTTGTTTTTTTAGAGACAAAGTCTCACTTTGTTACCCAGGCTGGTCTCAAACTCCTAAGCTCAAGTGATCCTCTCACCTTCATCTCCCAGGGTGATGGGATTACAGGCCTGAGCCACCCTGCCTGGCCTATGCATTTCTTTATATTGATGAGTAGTATTCCATTGTATTGATATAGCACAATTGGTTTATCTGTTCATCTGTTGGACATTTGGATTATTTTCAAATTTTGGTTATCATGAATAAAGGACTTTGGTTTTGTTATGCTTTCATTTACCTTGGGTAAATACTTATGAGTGCAATGGCTAGATCATATTGTAGATATAAATTAAGAAAGACCCTGTTTTTCAAAGTGGTTGGAGGCCAGGTGTGGGAGGCAGGAGGATTATTGGGACCCAGGAGTTTGAGACCAGCTTGGGCAACACAGGGAAAAATAAACAAAACTAGGCCAGGCACGGTGGCTCAGGCCTGTAATCCTAGCACTTTGGAAGGCCGAGGTGGGCAGACTGCCTGAGCTCAGGAGTTCGAGACCAGCCTGGGCAACAGGATGAAACACCATCTCGACTTAAAATACAAAAAATTAGCAGGGTGTGGCGGCATGCACCTGTAGCCCCAGGTACTTAGGAGGATGAGGCAGGAGAATCCCTTGAACCCGGGGACTCAGGAGGCGGAGGTTGCAGTGAGCTGCGATTGCACTGCACTCCAGCCTGGGCAAAAAGAGCAAAACTCTGTCTTAAAGATTAAAAAAATAAAAAGGCCGGGCGCGGTGCCTCATGCCTGTAATCCCACCACTTTGGGAAGCCAAGGCGGGCAGATTACCTGAGTTCAAGACCAGCATGACCAACATGATGAAACCCCGTTTCTACTAAAAATACAAAAAATTAGCCGGGCACGGTGGCTCACGTCTGTAATCCTGGCACTTTGGGAGGCCAAGGCGGATAGATTGCAAGGTCAGGAGTTCGAGACCAGCCTGACCAATATGGTGAAACTCCGTCTCTACTAAAAACAAAAAAATTAGCCAGGCGTTGGTGGCGCATGCCTGTAATCTCAGCTACTCGGGAGGCTGAGGCAGAAGAATTGCTTGAATCCGGGAGGCGGAGGTTGCAGTGAGCCAAGTTGCGCCACTGCACTCCAGCCTGGGTGACAGAGACTCCGTCTCAAAAAAAAAAAAAAAAAAAAGGAAAAAAAGAAAAAAAAATTAGCTGGGCGTGGTGGCGGGCGCCTGTAATCCCAGCTACTAGGGAGGCTGAGGCAGGAGAATCGCTTGAACCTAGGAGGCAGAGGTTGCAGTGAGCCGAGATTGCGCCACTGCACTCCAACCTGGGCGCGACTGAGCGAGACTCCGTCTCAAAAAAATAAAATAAAATAAAAATAAGAAATAAAATAGACAAATCTAGCAGGACGCAGTGGCGTGTGCGTGTAGTCCCAGCTACTCTGGAGGCTGAGGTGAGATCACTGGAGCCCGCGAAGTCGAGGCTGCAGTGAACCGTGATCGCAGCATTGCACTCTAGCCTGGGTAACTGAGACCCTGTCTCTAAAACAAACAGAAAACCCCAAAGTGGTTGGAAATCAGCAATGGATGAGGGTTCCAAGCACTCCACATCTTTGTCAGTCTTTAATTTTAGCCTGTCTAATGACTGTGTGGAGGTTCTAATTTGTATTTCCTCTATAAATATTAAGTATCTTTTCATGGGTTTATTGGCTGTTTATCTACTTTTGCAAAGCGCGTGTTCAAATCCTTTTTTTTTCCAACGGCTAATACGTATTTTTGAGGTTAATCTAGGCTAATCACTGCTGATTTGTGTTTATGTATTTATATGCCTTTAACAGACTACCGCCCTAAGCAGTGAAAGAAACCCAAAGGGAGCCGAATGGCTTGCATACAGAAAGGCTGGGCAGTTGCTGGGCGCGGCTCGCGGGTAGGCTCTAAGCCTCGAGCAGTGATTGGCTGAAGAAGAACTTCAGTGGGAGGGGCGCGGTGACCCACGCCTGTAATTCCGACACTTTCGGAGGCCGAGGCGGGCGGATCACTTGAGGTCAGGGGTTCGAGACCAGCCTGGACAATATGGTGAAACCTCGTCTCTACCAAAAATTAAAAAAAAAAAAATTAGCAGGGCATGGTGGCGGGCACCTGTAATCCCAGCTACTAGGGAGGCTGAGGCAGGAGAATCGCTTGAATCCCGGAGACGGAGGTTGCAGTGAGTCGAGATAACGCCACTGCACTCTAGCTGGGGCGACAGAGCGAGATTCCGTGTTAAAAACGAAAAAGAAAAAAACTTCCGCAGGCACTTCCGACTCCCGGCCGATCCTGAGCTTCGGTGATTGGCTGGGCTGGCCGTACGCGGGGCCTCCCGGGATTTGTAGTTCTTGAGGCTCGGCTGAGGATGCCGGGAAGGGCTGGTGGTCGGGGGCCTAGAGCGGCGGTTGCACTTAGTTGCGGCTGCTGTCACCATGTCCCGCGTTTTGGTGCCTTGCCATGTGAAAGGCTCCGTAGCCCTCCAGGTGGGCGACGTGCGGACCTCCCAAGGCCGGCCTGGCGTGCTGGTCATCGATGTCACCTTCCCCAGCGTCGCTCCCTTCGAGGTGAGCAAGCCTGGTGGGCGCGACCGAGGCTCCCGGGCGGGGCCGACCTGGAATCTCGGTCGTTTCCCAGGCATTTAATCTTTTATGGGAAAGCCTCTGCCGTCTTCCTTGCCCTTGCAAATTAGTTAATCATTCATTTATTTAGTCCTTCAGTTAACACATTTTTCCTAGAATTGAGCTTCCTGTCTTGTTCTCTGCTATGTCTCTTGCCCACATCCAGGACAGCGCTGGCATGCAGGTGGCGAGAGTGGGCTAGGTTTTGCTGGAAATACCAAATAGTGAACCAAAATAGAAGTTAGGGGTCATTTTGTCCCTGGCCACAGTTGGGGATCGCTAAGCAATGATTTACCCCAAAACCTGCCTCCCCATTTTTTTTTTTTTTTTTTTGAGACGGAGTTCACTCTTGTTGCCCAGGCTGGAGTGCAATGGCACGATCTCGGCTCACCGCAACCTCTGCCTCCCGGGTTCAAGCGCTTCTCCTGCCTCAGCCTCCCAAGTAGCTGGGATTACAGGCATGCACCACCATGCCCAGCTAATTTTGTATTTTTAGTAGAGACAGGGTTTCTCCATATTGGTCAGGCTGGTCTGGAACTCCCGACCTCAGGTGATCCGCCTACCTCGTCCTCCCAAAGTGCTGGGATTACAGGCTTGAGCCACCGCACCCGGCCACCCCTCCCCATTCTTATAGTCCCTCCCAGAGGTCACTTACCTCATCACCATACCCCCAATGACTCGAGTTGCCAATCTCCAGTTGCACTTCCACATCAGTTGATAGAGTGACTGGACACTGTATGACTCAACAAAGAGGGCAAAACCCACCTCCAATGGCGTGGCATTGAGAGCCCTCTGTGTCTGTGCCCCACCTGTTTCTGTCTCTTTTTTTTTTTGAGATGGAGGTTCACTCTTGTTGCCCAGGCTGGAGTGCAGTGGCGCGATCTCGGCTCACTGCAACCTCCGCCTCCTGGGTTCAGGCAATTATCCTGCCTCAGCCTCCCAAGTAGCTGGGATTACAGGCACCCACCATCACGCCCGGCTAAATTTTTGTATTTTTAGTAGAAACGGGGTTTCACCATGTGGGACAGGCTGGTCTCGAACTTGTGACGTCAGGTGATCCACCCACGGCATGAGCCACCGTGCCCAGCCCTGTCTCTCTTGTCTCAGGAGCTTTGTGCTGTGGTGTGTGGTTCTCCCCCAAGCTGTTCCTTACCATCAAATGGGAAACTTAATTAAAGAGCCCAACCTTGGAAATCCTGACTTAGTAGACTAAGGTGAAGCCAGGACAATTTATTTGGTAACACATTTTCTTGGGTAATTCTGATGAGTATCCAATGACAAGATCCACTGCAGTAGTCAAGCTGAATCACTGGCTGTTCCAGTGGCACACCAGGTTCTCTCACCCTTTGGTAATTATTTGTATATGCTACTTTTACATTATCTACATTTCTTTTTTTTTTTTTTTTTTTCTGAGAGGTAGCCTCGTTTTGTCACCCAGGCTGGAGTACAGTGGCTTGATCTTGGCTCACTGCAACCTCCACCTCCTGGGTTCAAGCAATTCTCCTGCCTCAGCCTCCCGAGTAGCTGGGATTACAGGCATGCGCCACCACGCTCAGCTAATATTTTTGTATTTTTAGTAGAGATTGGGTTTCACTATGTTGGTCAGGCTGGTCTCGAACTCCTGAACTTAAATGATCCACCCGCCCCAGCCTCCCAAAGTGCTGGCATTACAGACAGATGTAAGCCACTGCACCCAGCCTACGTTTTCTACATCTCTTTTTTTTTTTTTTTGAGACCGTGTCTTGCTCTGTCGCGCCCAGGCTGGAGTGGAATGGCGCGATCTCAGCTCACTGCAAGCTCCGCCTCCTGGGTTCACGCCATTCTCCTGCCTCAGCCTCCCGAGTAGCTGGGACTACAGGTGCCCGCCACCAAGCCCGGCTAATTTTTTGTATTTTTAGTAGAGACGGGGTTTCACTGTGTTAGCCAGGATGGTCTCAATCTCCTGACCTTGTGATCCGCCCGCCTCGGCCTCCGAAAGTGCTGGGATTACAGGCTTGAGCCACCGTGCCCGGCCACGTTTTCTACATTTCTTAGTCCACTTGGTGAACTCTTCCTCCTTCAGGCCTCATATGTACATTTTCTGCCTCTTCCAGGGTTAGAGCGCTGCTCTCTAGCAGCATCTTGGACGTGTGGCAAGATCTGCAGTCGTGGTTTGTTTCCAGGACCTACTCATTTAGACTGTGAGCACCTTTAGGAAGGCAGAATTGTCTTTGGGCCCTAGTGATACTTGTTGAAATTGTTAGTTTAGTAGAAGAGTACATTGAAAGGGGAAGAGGCAGGTGGATCACCTAAGGTCAGGAATTTGAGAGCATCCTGGCCAACATGGTGAAATTCTGTCTCTACTAAAAGTACAAAACAATTAGCTGGGCGTGGTGGCACGTACCTGTAGTCCCGGCTACTAGGGAGGCTGAGGCAGGAGAATCGCTTGAACCTGGGAGGTGGAGGTTGCAGTGAGCTGAGATCACGCTACTGCACTCCAGCCTGGGCAAAAGAGCAAGATTTCCTCTCAAAAAAAAAAAAAAAAGAAAAGGTGGGGAGAAGGAAGAGGTGGCACCTTTGATCTTTGAGCTTTTCAGGCCCCTGGGCCTGGGTCTGACTTGTTGTAATGGGTTGTATGTGTTCTAGTTGCAGGAAATCACGTTTAAGAATTACTACACAGCTTTTTTGAGCATCCGTGTCCGTCAGTACACCTCAGCACACACACCTGCCAAGTGGGTGACCTGCCTGCGGGACTACTGCCTAATGCCTGACCCACACAGTGAGGAGGGAGCCCAGGAGTATGTATCGCTGTTCAAGCATCAGGTCAGCTGGGCCTCAGGATGGCCAGGGCAGCCCAGATGAGGACTTACCAGAGGTGGGGGGATTGGATCAATATACCAAGAGGGAAGAGGGGGCCAGTCTGGCCTGAACTGTGACTTCCAGGGAAGTGCCTTGGAGGGACTACTGTTCCTTCCTTCCCAAGGCCTGTGGGGTGGGCAGCATTCTGGCTCATTGCTGGTTGGGAGGCTTCTGGGCAGTGAGCTGGATCCTTGCTGGGTCCTTGTGTGTGTGTGTCAGATGCTGTGTGACATGGCTAGAATATCGGAGCTACGCCTGATTCTGCGGCAGCCATCACCACTGTGGCTGTCTTTCACAGTGGAGGAGCTGCAGATCTATCAGCAGGGACCAAAGGTAAGTGACTAGCTCAGCTGCTGGCTGGCCCTTTCCCCAGAAAGCTTCTATGACTGGGAAAGCTAGGTGGTGGGGTGGGTAATGGGTGAAGATTGTGAATGGGGCCTTCATGGAGGTTAGCTGGGTGTGAATGCTGGAAGCTCACAATGAGAGGTGAGGCCATGTCCCCATATCCCCTGACCTTTGGGGCCACCTGCTACTTTCAGAGCTGGAGCCTTTAGGTGCTGGGAGACACTTTTGAGCTTGTGTTTCTGAGGACTCCGTCTGCACAGCAGGAGAACTTAGGTAGTCTGACTGCCTCTTTAGGTCTCTGTGGGCTCCCTAAACAGGGTTTTCCCAGTGTCTGAGGCCCAGCGGCCCTTCTCTCTGCTCCTAGGACCTTGGAATCTGGTCCCAGAGCTGTCCACTTTGTCTCACTCAGGGCAGTACATCTTTGCTTTGCAGAGCCCCTCCGTGACCTTTCCCAAGTGGCTCTCCCACCCAGTGCCCTGTGAGCAACCTGCACTCCTCCGTGAGGTAAGCCCTCACCCTAGGTAAGAACCATGTGTGAATGGCTCTAGTGTCCAACACAGGCCAGGTAGACCCCTTCCTGTAAAATTCTGGGGCTGGGCCCAGGGCCCTTGGGTGTTATCTTCCTCCTGGGTATTCTGTGGGATTTGAGGCATCTCTGTTGTGGGGCTACATCAGGCCCTAACCTCATGTTTCATAAGCCATCTGAGAATGTTGTTGGTCTCAGCTGGAGGGCCCCTAGCCCAGGTTGGCCTCTCTGGAGCCTGAAGGGCACTGCTGGGGAGAGACCCATGGCCACTGACCCCTCCTTCTGGAGCAGGGTCTCCCAGACCCCAGCAGGGTATCCTCCGAGGTGCAGCAGATGTGGGCACTGACAGAGATGATCCGGGCCAGTCACACCTCCGCAAGGATCGGCCGCTTTGATGTAAGTAATCGCTTCCTTCTGCTTGGCTTGCTTTGCCCTGAGCAGATCAGACCTGATGGTCTTTTGTATTTCAGGTGGATGGCTGTTATGACCTGAACTTGCTCTCCTACACTTGAATGGTTGCTCCTAGCCAAGATGTTGGCCTTTCTGTGCCCACCCAGACTTGGTTTGGGCCACCAGAGGCTGAAGTGTATTTCCTGTGCATTCCAAGTGTTGCCTGCATGCCTGTTCTGTCTGGGCCACATTCACAGATTCAGGATTCTCAGGGGCTTACCGTGTTACTTCAGCATGAGCTCCTGGCATGGGGGTGCTCTGTCTTCGCCTGGCTGCAACTCAATTCTTCCTTCTACCCAAAAACACTCCAGTCAGTTGTACTTACTGAGAATCCCTGAGTGCCCTCTGCCCCTTCTGGCAACATGCACATTCCTGTCTTCTGCCTGCTCCCTCATGTCAGTGCAGTTGGGCTGGGCTGACCTACTAAAACCTGCTCCATGTATGGACCTGGAAGGCCATTGCTGCCATGGCACTTGGGACACTTGAGGAAGAAACAGAAACCTTATTTCTTCCTGTGTGTCCCCTAGTGGTTTTCTTTCCATTTGTGTTATGCCACAGAGAGAAATTTCCTGTCTGAACTCTTCTGCTGCCTGCCTAGGAAGGAAACCTGAAGATTTGGGCAGCCTGAGTCTCTTGGTTTCTGAGCTGGCTCCTGAATATATGTTCAAGTGGGTGTGCCCATAGGGCCTGGGCACGTGTCTCTAGCAAAACCAGGGCCTGAGCATAAGAACTGGGACCCTTCTAGGCAGGGTGCAGTGGCTCACGCCTGTAATCCCAGCACTTTGGGAGGCCCAGGCAGGCGGATCACCTGAGGTCAGGAGTTCAAGACCAGCCTGACCAACCTGGAGAAACCCCGTCTCTACTAAAAATACAAAAAATTAGCTGGGCGTGGTGGTAGGCACCTGTAATCCCAGCTACTTGGGAGGCTGAGGCAGGAGAATCTCTTGAACCCGGGAAGTGGAGGTTGCGGACCTGAGATCATGCCATTGCACTCCAGCCTGGGCAAGAAGAGCGAAACTCCATCTTAAACAAACAAACAAAAAAAAAAGAACTGGGACCCTTCTGCCATCTGACATAGCCCAAAGCACATCTCTATCCTTTCTCCCAGTTGCCCCTCTCCTTTTTTGTTGTTTTTTTTGAGGTTGAGTTTTGCTCTTGTTGCCCAGGCTGGAGTGCAATAGTGCAATCTTGGCTAACTGCAACCTCCGCCTCCCAGGTTCAAGCAATTCTCCTGCCTCAGTCTCCCGAGTAGCTGGGATTACAGTCATGCATCACCATGCCTGGCTAATTTTGTATTTGTAGTAGAGATGGGGTTTCTCCATGTTGGTCAGGCTGGTCTCAAACACCTGACCTCAGGTGATCTGCCTGCCTTGGCCTTCCAAAGTGCTGGGATTACAGGCATGAGCCACCGCGCCCGCCCTGCCCCTTTCCAAGAGATATGCTCAGCATAATGAGAGATCAACCGTGGTGGGGAGTGGGTCCAAGTAAGGGTTCTCATTGTTGCCTTTTAAGAGGCCTAAGTCCTGCATTAACTCAGTCCAACCATTAAGTGATGCAGGCTGCTCTTCCCTCATGTGAGAAAAACCTGTTTCCCTCTGGTTCTTCCTGGCTTTGCACCTGGTGGCTATTACAAAGCAGTACTGCAGTATGTCTTGGACCTGGAAAGTTGGACATGTGTGTGGCTCAACAGTTTTCTCGGGGGAGTTCAGTGACCTTTTGGTGGCCACCCTCTGTTCTCACCTGTGAGTTCTTGCAGGTGGCGACTTCATCTGCAAGGTCACTTACATAGCCCCACTCAGCTGCTTCGGAAAGCGTGACGAAGCAGTAGTCCTCAGTGTGTGTGTAAGTGAAGAGGACCTTGTGGTAGCAGGGACCATGCTTCATTCGTGGCTGTGTCCCCATCTGAGGGCCTGGTATGCAGTAAGATCAATAAATACTTGTGGAATGCATGACTGCTGGCTGCCTGTGTCTGCCTGGTGGGAGAGCTGTGGAACTAGGGGTCCACATGAGGACAGACTACTGTGGTGCTGCCTACCTGCCAGGCTGGCCCACCTTCCCCACCCCCACTTGACCTTACTCTCTTGAGGTCCTAAAGGTATGATTCAGACCTTTCAGCCCTTTCCAGAACTTTGACCCTCTGGAGACAGGGCGGTTCTGCAGGGGGCGGTCTAGCCCCTAGCTTTGTTCTGGGCAGCCCAATCAGCTCTGGATTGCCCGAGCTGCCCTGAAGAGTCAGCCGAAAGAGCTGGAGGCTTCTTCCCTGTGGTTGCGGGTTCCTGCATTCTCTGCTCTAAATCCCAGCCTGCCCTTGGGGCTGCCCACGCCCCCTTCAGATCCTTTGCTCCGGAGAGAGACCTGTCCGAGCAGAGGCCTGGACTACATCTCCCGGCGTGCCTGGCAGTGTGGTGGCCTCTGTGCGCCGTCTGCACTCGTTGCAGGCGACGATGCAGAGGGCTGTAAGTGTGGTGGCCCGTCTGGGCTTTCGCCTGCAGGCATTCCCCCCGGCCTTGTGTCGTCCACTTAGTTGCGCACAGGTGGGATAGAGGGTGCTGATCTTGGAGGGTGGGGGAGGGAAGCGGCTGGGGGCTAGGGCCCTGGTGGCACTAAGCCCAGCCGCCCACAGGAGGTGCTCCGCAGGACACCGCTCTATGACTTCCACCTGGCCCACGGCGGGAAAATGGTGGCGTTTGCGGGTTGGAGTCTGCCAGTGCAGTACCGGGACAGTCACACTGACTCGCACCTGCACACACGCCAGCACTGCTCGCTCTTTGACGTGTCTCATATGCTGCAGGTGAGCCAGGGGAGCACACTGGCCATCTGATCAGGCCTTCCTCCCTGTTTACAGTGGTCCACTCCTTGGCTTTGTTTGCTGTGAACTGGATTCCAAGGACAGCCTTCTCAGAAGAGCTAGAGGTCATGGGGGTGTCATGGATAGGTCAATGGCCCCAAGGAAATGAGCTCAGAGGGTCTCATCATCTCATCCTTCTAGCTTGCCCCCATTAAATGGTGTGCCTTAATGTCCCGGGTTTTCCAGGGCTGACACCCACTCTCATGTATTGGGCTGGATGTTGGTTTGAAAAGGGGTTATTTCAGGAAGGTGCTAGGTCCTGTCCAGTTCCCTGGCAGTCCCCCCACACAGAGTGACTGGGGGAGGTCAGGAAATCAGAAGGTGGTCCTTTGCCACGTGTAGAACCAAAAGACTGGTTAGTCACTTTGGGTGGGCTGGACTGCACTGTGGATGGCAGGGAGGATGCATCCTTGCTTAGTAGCCTTTTGGATTGTAGCTGTTGCAATGGCCTGAGGCTTTCAATCTCTTCCCCAGACCAAGATACTTGGTAGTGACCGGGTGAAGCTGATGGAGAGTCTAGTGGTTGGAGACATTGCAGAGCTAAGACCAAACCAGGTGGGCCCTTTTATTTCTGCTCTATGAGTTTTCTTAGTCATGAGCCAGCAAATGGGCTGAGTCCCTACCTCAGGCTTAGGGGCACAGAGATGAGTCAAACACAGCTTCTCAGGGCTTGCAGTCTTGGACAGAATCCCTGAGTCATTTCCAGAGACACAGACATTTGTAGGGAGGGGAATATCCCAGTCTTACTACATCAGGCTAGGAGGCCAGAAACCAAGGTTAATATGCTGCTCTCTGGCCATCCCTTCTGCTTAACCCCTCTCTATTCAACATGTGGTCCCTGGCCAGGCGACGTGACTCAAACACCTGTAATCCTGGCACTTGGGGAGGCCAAGGCGGGTGGATCACCTGAGGTCAGGAGTTCGAGACCAGCCTGGCCAACATGGCAAAACCTCGTTTCTACTAAAAACACAAAAATTAGCCGGGCGTGGTGGCGCGTGCTTGTAGTCCCAGCTACTCGGGAGGCTGAGGTTGCAGCAAGCTGAGGTTGCACCACTGCACTCTGGCCTGGGCAACAGAGTGAGACTCAGTCTAAAAAGAAAAATAACAACAACAAAGTGTGGTCTCTAAACCAGCATCTTTGGAGCTTGTTAGGAATATAGTCTCAGGCACTGCTGCAGACCTGCTGAATCAGAACCTTCATTTTAACAAGATCCCCAGGTGATTCATGTGACCCCCTCAACCTCAGGCTTTTTGTCCATCCAGTGGGGAGGCTAAGGAAGTTTTTTGGGGGCATTGCTATGGAGTACTTAGGAGAGCCTGCGATCATCAAGATGACCTTTGAAGCTTTTGTCCTGTGGGTTGCCACATGGGCTAAGTCGTCCCAGGTTTGGGTAGGTGAAGCAGCAGGTCCTAGGTGTCATAGATTAAGTGTCAGATGGGACTCTCAGTACAGAGTGGGGAGGGGTGCAGAGGTTGCACCAGATCAGGGAAGCACCCCAAGGTAGGGAGGGGATGAAAACTTACTTGATGCATGAGGATCAAAGACCTTGGACTTGGGCCCAGACTTGTACCTTGCACACCCTGAGTCCTTCACATTAGGGTTCATAACCTTTTGGTAACTAAGTGGGTCCAGGGTTGTGTCTGGCTCACCCTTGGCCTTGCCCTCCTGGACCTGGAAGCCAAAACGCTCCACTTTGGTCCTAGGGGACACTGTCGCTGTTTACCAACGAGGCTGGAGGCATCTTAGATGACTTGATTGTAACCAATACTTCTGAGGGCCACCTGTATGTGGTGTCCAACGCTGGCTGCTGGGAGAAAGATTTGGCCCTCATGCAGGTATACCCCCTCTGTGTTCTAGACACCTTGTCTTCCTTGTTCATAGAGCAGTATCCTTGTTGTCCAAGACAGGGTTGGCACAGACAAGGGACCTGGAAAATGGCTCTTTCAGTGAATGAACAGCTATGAGACTCAAGAGCAGGCCCTCTCTGGAGCACGCCAGGGTTTGGTGGTGGGGGATTACCAGGCATGGGGAGGGGGTCTTGGCCCCTCTGGTGTGAGGTGGCAGAACTGGGCTTGGGTCATCTCTATCACTTAGTAGCTATGTGACCTTGTAAGATGGGAACCAGCCTACTACCTTTTTTTTTCCTCCCTCCTCCTCCTCCTCTCCACTGTCCTACTACTGTCCAGCTCTGCAGCGTCCAGCCCATGGTAGCTGCTCAGTAAGTGGCCCCAGATGCTCTTGTGTTTCTGTCTTTTAGGACAAGGTCAGGGAGCTTCAGAACCAGGGCAGAGATGTGGGCCTGGAGGTGTTGGATAATGCCCTGCTAGCTCTGCAAGGTGAGAGGGCTGGGCTGGGGTTGGAGCCAACCTTTGCCTTCCTGGCTTCATTGACTGCTTAGCACAGAGGCCATACCAAGAAGAATGTGTGGAAGGTGTGATATTTGTGTGCCATAATTTTAAGTTTTGTATCTTGCCCTCCTCCTACCTACCACAAGGCTCCATGGGCTAGGGACAAGGGCATCTTCTCCCACTTGCAGAGTAAGACATGCTCAGGGCTTGTTCTGGTCCCTGAATAAGGCTTTAGTCCAGCTTTGAGGGATGCTGGGACCTGGATACTTGGTCACTGGCTCCCTGGGCCCAGGCCCCACTGCAGCCCAGGTACTACAGGCCGGCGTGGCAGATGACCTGAGGAAACTGCCCTTCATGACCAGTGCTGTGATGGAGGTGTTTGGCGTGTCTGGCTGCCGCGTGACCCGCTGTGGCTACACAGGAGAGGATGGTGTGGAGGTGTGTCAAGAAGTGGTGTGGGGGCAGTACAGGGCACAGGATGCATGTGAGGGGTTGGGGGTATGTGGTACAGGGAGCTTCCCATCTGCCCTCTGGTGTTTCATACAGATCTCGGTGCCGGTAGCGGGGGCAGTTCACCTGGCAACAGCTATTCTGAAAAACCCAGAGGTGAAGCTGGCAGGGCTGGCAGCCAGGGACAGCCTGCGCCTGGAGGCAGGCCTCTGCCTGTATGGGAATGACATTGATGAACACACTACACCTGTGGAGGGCAGCCTCAGTTGGACACTGGGTGAGCTGGGCCAGCACTAAAGGATAGGGTCCTGGAGGTCAGGGTGACCCTTGATAAGACTAGCCAGCCCATGACTCATCCAAAGGTTATGTAGCCTGAAGCCTTCCTGAGCCTCCCTTCCCTGAAGGTGCCACTGTGCCTTTGCCCATTAGAAACTGCAGATGTTGGCCGGATGCGGTGGCTCACATCTGTAATCCCAGCACTTTGGGAGGCCGAGGCGGGTGGATCACGAGGTCAGGAGATCAAGACCATCCTGGCTAACATGGTGAAACCCCGTCTCTACTAAAAATACAAAAAAAAAATTAGCTGGGCATTGTGGCGGGCGCCTGTAGTCCCAGCTACTCGGGAGGCTGAGGCAGGAGAATGGCATGAACCTGGGCGGCGGAGTTTGCAGTGAGCCGAGATTGCGCCACTGCACCTCCAGCCAGGGCGATAGAGCGAGACCCCGTCTCAAAAAAAAAAAAAAAAAAAAAAAAGAAACTGAAGATGCTGCCGGGCATGGTGGCTCACACCTGTAATCCCAGCACTTTGGGAGGCCAAGGTGGGTGGATCATGAGGTCAGGAATTCGAGAATAGCCTGGCCAACATGGTGAGACCCCGTCTCTACTGAAAATATAAAAATTAGCCAGGCGTGGTGGCGGGTGCCTGTTATCCCAGCTACTCGGGAGACTGAGGCAGGTAAATTGCTTGAACCTGGGAGGCAGAGTTTGCAGTGAGCTGAGATCGTGCCACTGCATTCTAGGCCTGGGCGACAGAGTGACTCCATCTCAAAAAAAAAAAAAAGAAACTGAAGACGCTCGGCAGGTGGGCAGCATGGCCTCCAGGGGATAGGAGGTGGTTGGTTGGCTGACGGCAGTGAAGGGAGGAATAGAGCCTGGAGTAGCCCAAGCAAAGGGGCCTTGATGCTAGATAGTGTGTTACTTGAGGACCTCATAAGGACCTCCTGTGGCCAGGGCTTCTATGGGCTGTGGCTTATGTCTCATGTGTCATTCTCCAGGGAAGCGCCGCCGAGCTGCTATGGACTTCCCTGGAGCCAAGGTCATTGTTCCCCAGCTGAAGGGCAGGGTGCAGCGGAGGCGTGTGGGGTTGATGTGTGAGGGGGCCCCCATGCGGGCACACAGTCCCATCCTGAACATGGAGGGTACCAAGATTGGTAGGTGGACCAGGGAAGCTGGGAAACCCTTGTCTCTTCCCAGGAGGGTGGGGGCACTGGCAGGGTGGTGCTGATGCGTGGCTTATGCTTGCTTGACAGGTACTGTGACTAGTGGCTGCCCCTCCCCCTCTCTGAAGAAGAATGTGGCGATGGGTTATGTGCCCTGCGAGTACAGTCGTCCAGGGACAATGCTGCTGGTAGAGGTGCGGCGGAAGCAGCAGATGGCTGTAGTCAGCAAGATGCCCTTTGTGCCCACAAACTACTATACCCTCAAGTGAAGCTGGCTCAGGGTGGGGCTGTCCCTTCCAGGAGTTTTGCCCCTACAAGGGGTTAGTCAAGAAGCTGAGGCAGAACTCACTGGGGGTGGGCAGTTAAGGTGGAGGCTGATTCTAATTGTCTGGTTGAGGGGCCACACCACCTATTCCCCCCACCTAACTCATGCCATTCCAGCTTCCTTCAGGACCCTGCTTCTGAGTGACGGACCAGCTCACACAATGTCTTGTTTCAGTCCATGATCCCACTGACCTACTCTTGCCTGCTGGAGGGTAATGAGAAGCTTTGGTTCTGCCATCTCTCCCACTCTGCCAGGTGCTGGCTGTGGAGCAAAGGCTCACCTTTGTGGAGAGGATAAAACCTGCCCAACCTACCTCACCATGGTTTTTCACATTGCAAAGGGTAATAACATGGGCAGTGCGGACTTAGGCTACCCCCTCCAGTTTGCTTTCCGTAAATGCAAATTGTCCTTACTGCAAGTCAGGAATGATTGCTGACTCACAGTAGGGCTGCTATGCCTGTGTGTAAACTTGGGGATGGCTGAGGGAACATAGACTCACTCTTCCACATTCCCAAGTTGGTCTAGTGTGCTGCCCAGTAGCAAACCATGGCAGACTCACCACCTATTCTGAGTTCCAGGGCTGCTGTAGGGCAGGGTGGGCTTCCTCCCAGACTTGCCTTACCCTGGGCTGATCTTTGCCCCTGGTATGCATTAATGGACTCCACTGAATCCTGAAAAAAAAATTAAACTTCCTTCTTACTTGCCAGTCTCTAGCTTCATTGTTCTCTGTTCACAGGGTTCCTGAAATGCCAACCCAATGCCTGCCTTCCTGGCCTCCAAGACAAGCTTGGAATAGGTTCTCCTTGAAAGGGGCCAGTCTATAAAAATGGAGATATTGCCCCTGTTGGGCACCCCATCCCTGCTCCTCCAGGGAGCTGCATCACCTCTCCCCTCCCTGCAAGTTATTGCATCTGGGTCCCAAGGGGCAACAGCTTCCAGGATGTTCCCTCTCTCACTGCCCCTGTGCATGCACACCCTTGTTCTGTCTGAATAACCACAACAACCGATGCACTTCCGTGTTTAATAAGCCACATCCTCAGTTGAGCCTGGGGTGAAATGTGAGATCCTGACTCTGTGCAGTAGTATTAGTGGGTGGGCCAGGGGCTGTGAATAACATCATCCTCAGTACAGCTGCAATTCCAGGGCCCCTCTACCACAAAGATGGCTTAAGCAAAGGCAGCCAGATGGAAGTATGATATCCAACAGGAAGGAAGTAGGCAGGGGTCACTAAAGTGGCTGGTGGCCCAGCAGATGGAAACAGAAGTATGGCCCCGAGGGAAGGAGGCAGGTCCAGGGCTACAGTGCTTTCAGGTACTGGTGTTTCTATAGGGGCATTTGCCACCCACATCTTTGGAAACTCCCCTGGCCTATTGTGACATGGCAGGGCTGCCTGGTTCTTGAAGGTAGAGAAAATGCTAGTGGGGAGGAGCTGAGCCTGTGACGTGCATTTGTACCAGGTCCAGATGGGAAATGATGAGGCTGCAGGCTATGATGGGGCCACTGTGCACTAAATGCTTGGTACCATCCTATGAGGGGACAAGGTGCAGACCCACATTCCCATAGGCACTTAAGCAGTGGTGGATAGGAGGCTACCCCAGGGGTTCAGCTGTCCTTCAGGTAATCAGCTTACCCCCAAGAAGGACTGAGAGGAATATGAGTAGGACAGTTGGCAGATGACAATTTCCTTTGCCTGGCTCACGGGAGAAGTCTGGTTGGGCCAGGTATGTGGGTGTTTGGTGCCTCCATCTGGATAGTGCCAGCAGGTACACCACCCTGCCTTATACCTGAATGGCCAGCTAAATAACCATAGAGCTTAAGGTCTGGCTCAGGTCAGGATTCCCTGGCTCCTTGCCAACAAAGCAAAACCAGAGATTCAGAAAACTCAGGGCCTAGGAGAAAACAGACCTGCCTTACAAACCCCAGAGCTGGTCAACCTCAGGCTTCCTCTCAGGAAAAAAATTTTTTTTTTGAGATGGGTCTTGCTCTGTTGCCCAGGCTGGAGTACAACGGCGCAATCTTGGCTCACTGCAACCTCTGCCTCCCAGGTTCAAGCAAATCTCCTGCTTCAGCCTCCTGAGTAGCTGGGATTACTGGTGTGTGCCACCACACCCGGCTAATTTTTGTATTTTTAGTAGAGATGGGGTTTTCACCATGTTGGTCAGGCTGGTCTCGAACTCCTGACCTCGTGATCTGCCTGCCTCAGCCTCCCAAAGTGTTGGGATTACAGGCGTGAGCCACCATGCCTGGCCAACTCAGGAAAAATTTTTATGGGGTCACATCTTGGGGATGGAAGAGGGACAGGAAAAGAAACCTAAGACAAAAGAACTGATGGTCTTCCCAACCCAGAGGCTTCCTGAGTTATCACCCCTGAGAGAGGAAGAACACAATCTCTCTCCTTAAGGCACCCAGATAAGAGTACAGGCAAACTCTTCACTTGCCCAGTGCCTGGGTGAGGGAGCAGGCTTAAGAGGCAGAAGAGGCCCAGCCCTGTAGGCACTGGGTACTCCCTGCTACCAACCCTGAACCCCCGGCAGTTGTCCCTGAGGTCTGGGGAGTAGCAGAACCCAGTGTAGAAGCCAGCAGACCCAGTGATGCCCTTGGAGACCCTCTGCTGCCTTCCCTTATTCTCTGTGGGTTTTGAGAGGTTCGTTTGCTGCCATTTCCCTGAAAGTGATGGAGAGAGAGAAGAGAGAGTGGTTATTCCATGGGCAGAACAGTTGCTGAAATTGGCTCTCCCAAGCTCCTTCTTGGGGGCTGAGCTAGGCTCAGTAAGGTCACATAACAATCTAGACCTCTCTGCTGGTCTCCCACAGCCCACCCTGGGCCCAGCACCTTCTCCCTGCAGACTCATTCTTCTTCCTGGTTCTCCATGTTAGTACGGCATTGCCATCCTTCTCTAGTTTTTTTATTCTTTTTATTTATTACTATTGTTATTACTTTTCTTTTTTTGAGACGGAGTTTCACTCTTGTTGCCCAGGTTGGGGTGCAATGGCAAGATCTCAGCTCACTGCAGCCTCCACCTCCCGGGTTCAAGCAATTTTCCTGCCTCAGCCTCCCAAGTAGCTGGGATTACAGGCGCCCGCCACCACACCCAGCTAGTTTTTGTATTTTTAGTGAAGACGGGGTTTCGCCATGTTGGCCAGGCTGGTCTCAAACTCCTGGCCTCAGGTGATCTACCCTCCTCAGTCTCCCAAAGTGCTAGGAACAGGCGTGAGCCACCATGCCCGGCCTGTTATTTTTTTTGAGACAGAGTCTCACTCTGATGCCCAGTCTGGAGTGCAGTGGCGTGATCTGGGCTCACTGCAACCTCTGCCTCCTGGGTTCAAGTGATTCTCATGCCTCAGCCTCCCGAGTAGCTGGGATTACAGGCGTATGCCACCATGCCCAGCTAATTTTTTCTATTTTTAGTAAAGACGGGGTTTCCCTATGTTGGCCAGGCTAGTCTCAAACTCCTGACCTCAAGTGATCCGCCCATCTCAGCCTCCCAAAGTGCTGGGATTACAGGCATGAGCCATGGGGCCTGGCCTCTTCTCTAAGACAGAAACCTGGGCAGTGGCAGCCTTTCTAACCTCTAGCCCTAACTCTTGGACCCCTTTATCTACTTGCCATGAAGTAGGCATTTATAAAGGCAAATTAGATCAGACCACAGCCTTGCTGAGTTAGTCTTTCAATGGCTCCCAGGGTCCAACAAGCTCTCACGTTCAAGCTCCAGCATCACAGTCTTACCTATTCTAATATGTCACCCGTATTCTTCCCTCTTAGCCTTGCTCAATCCATTCCCTTTGCTTGGTACACTTTGTCACCCTGTGGCATTTGATCTCGGCTTAGGTGTCTTTCTTGGGAGAAGCCTTCCCTGACCACCCTTGCCCCATGCACTGCCGCCCTCCCCTAATAAATCCCTGGCTCCCCATGAGCAGGGCCCGGGTTGTCTTTGTTCTCTGGGCCTCGTGTGGCCCCTATCACGTGATAGGGGCCCAGAGATTATCTGAATGAATGCCCTGATTAGTGAGCGCATGTTTTGCAGAAGAGGAGGCTGACCCTGATGAGGTCAATGTGCTCAGGACAGAGATTACTGCCTTCCCAACTGAGGGGATTGTGCAGAGTGGAATCCAACAAACCTGTCATTTCATCTCTCTGAAATTATGACAATACCACCACCTATCCTACAGGCTGCTGAACAGCATGATGATGGACTGTCCAGACCTTGGTGTCACCCTAACTTGAAGCCTGAGCTCTACGTGCAGACTTGAAGCTTGCTGCAAAGGCCATTAAGCTGGTGGGCTTAAAGCCTGAGAACTCCCCTCTCTGTCACCAGCACAGGAGTGTCCTTGGAATGCCAAGCATGGGGTTGCGGTATGGACAGATTTACTCACCACGAAGGGAAATGCGTGGAGCCATCAGGCGTGGATCCATTCTGACCACCCAGACCTGGAGGCAGAAACACATCCAGAGCTGCAGAAGGCTGGGGTGGGAATCTGAGCAGGCATCAGCCCAGGTCAGGTTAGAGACCACTGGTATTGTTTGGTGAAGTCTGGTGAGGGTCCTAAGGGACTAATGGTATTGCCAGGTGAGAGTTCTGAGGAACAGATACAATGTGATGGGTGGACTGGTGGGGATTCTGGCGTAAAATGGTATGGTGGCATGAGTCAGGGCACAACGTTAAGTTCTCCCATCCAAGTACCTGGCTTAGCTTCCGAGGTCAGATGCGTTCAGGGTAGTAAGGCCGTGAACCAATGTTAAGTTCTGATGAGCCTCTTGCAGGATAGTGGGGAACCCAATGGTACAGTCGGGAGAGGGTGGGGGCGGGGGCGGCCAGCCCACGGAGGTTCGTAGGAAGCCTCACCTGGACGGTGATACAACCCGGTCACTGTATTCCCGTAGAACCCCCACGCCAGCTGGATGCCCAGGAGACTTAACACCAACCACAGCAGCAGCAGCTTGAAGAGGGTCACGCGCATGTCCTGCGCCTCCCACTCCCGCAAGAACTCGCTGCCCAGCGCGCCCAGCACCGTGGCCGGCAGAGCCTGCAAGGCCTGCCCAGACCAGGACTCCGCCATGACTGGCCCTCGCCCCACCCGGGGTACTGTCACCGTAGTCCCCACCACGCACGCGTGTGGTCTTCCGGGACCAGGCCCGTTAGTGCGCACGCGTAAACCCAGCCAGGGTGGGGCCTACTTCGCGTGCGTGAAGAGTTGGCAGTTCGGGGAGGAGTATTAAAACCGCGCACGCGCACCTAACCCCACCCTGCTTGCTTAAGGGATGAGTGACTCCGGGAGTACAAAATAGCAACCAGGTCTTTTATAGCCCCGGAGTTCCCGTGATGCCCCACGCGGCTGCAATGATTGGTTAAGGGTTTTGCTTTTAGGGCGTGGACGGGCTCCTGAGCAATAGTGGATGAGCTGTGAGTGCGCGCGCGTGCGCGGGGCCGCGACCTGTGCCGGCTCGAGCCCGCTGGGCACTCGGAGGCGCGCACGTCGTTCCCCGCCCTCCCGCCGCCGCCCGCCCTCGCTCTCTCGCGCTACCCTCCCGCCGCCCGCGGTCCTCCGTCGGTTCTCTCGTTAGTCCACGGTCTGGTCTTCAGCTACCCGCCTTCGTCTCCGAGTTTGCGACTCGCGGACCGGCGTCCCCGGCGCGAAGAGGCTGGACTCGGATTCGTTGCCTGAGGTGAGCGGAAGGGTTCCCTCCAGGCGCCGCGGGGCCCCAGGCCCGCCAGCCCGGTACTCTTCCGGCCGGCAGGCCGCCGCACCGCCGCGGCCGCGCCCCACCGGCTGCTCGTGGCCGAGCCGCCCCTGGCCCCTGACCCTTGACCTGACTCCCAGCCCGGGCCCCGCGCCCCAAGCGGCGACCCCGCCCGCGCAGTCCCCGGAAGCGCGCCCGGTAGTCTCCTGTGCCCCTTCCCCCGCCCGGCCGGGCCTGGTGGAGCCCAGGCTGCCCGCCTGCCCGCCCTCGGTCCCCGGAGCTTCCTCTCCCAGCGGCGCCGGGCAGGGCGGGGGCTTTGGGCCGGGCCCCGCGACCGCGCAGTGTAGCCGGCCGCTGAAAGCGCGCGTGGCTGTCGGAGTTGAAATGGGAAAGAAACTCTTTACAACTCCATTTTGCTTTTTACGTTTAACGAGAAACGACAATCACTGTTTCATATTGATTAAAGTCCAGTTACACTTTGGGTAGGTTTTCTTTTAATGCAGACTTGTTGGAGACTGTGTAAGTAAGTAAAAGATTGTATTGAACGCTTAGGGGTATGATCTACGGCCATACCACCTGGAACGCGCCCGAACTCGTCTGAAAGCTTTGGGGTCTGTTTTGAGTGGAAAAGGGGTATTTTCCATTTGGAAAAAAAAAACAACACACAAAACTGTAAATGATTTAAGCGATGTTGCATGAAAATAGATGCAATGTTGCTTAGTCGAAGTCGCTGTATTGATTAGGAATGATCTAAATATCTGTACCTTAGTTACTGATTGGATCTACAGTTACGGGTCGTCTTCATTGAATAGCGCTATTCGCATCCAAGTTGATTTGTTCACAAACCTTGTTTAGTAGTTTACGGTGGAAAATTGGAATCCTTTTTACCTCAAAGTTGGTTCCACTTGTGTTTTTTAATAGTTCTGATTTTAAATTTTTACCTCTGTTGTTGACTTGTTTGGTTCTGTCTTGAAGAAAGTCTTAAACGTTTCTTGCAGGTGTGTAAGTAGATATTTCACTCTGCCTTTCTGAAGGAGAAAAATTGAAAAACCAAAAAACTTCCATAATTTAAAATGTTGTATGTGGAGAGAATTTTTCAACCACTTAGTATCACCCAGATGTGTAATGTGTACCATGCGGATGATTGTCACCTTAGATGTGGCTAGATTGGCGGAGATACTGTTTTGAGCATTTGGCACAAGTGACATTGGACTGAAAAACTAGTTTTTAATTGTAAAGAATGACTTATTGAAGGATCTCTGGATAACTTGTCTTAATTGGTTCCATCTACTTTTGTGGAGCACTGATGGCTCTTGGGGACATTAAATATATAAGGTGCACCTTGGTTTGAGTTAAAGTCTAGTGCTAGATTTATCCTCTCTGTTCTCATAAAAATCTGTGTTGGAGGGAAGAAGAGAGTAGGAATACTGTGTAGTTCTTGAGTTTTAGATCTAAGAGGAATCTTTCAGGACTGGTTGTCCAACCCCATTTGCAGATGAGCAAACTGAGTCCCAGAGACTTAAGTAAATTTCCCAAGGTTACCTATCTAGTCAGGAGCAGACCAGAACTGTCTGCTCTGTTAAGGTATTCTCCATTTACTCCCAAGCAGTTGGCCTCCAGAGTCAGCTAAAATTCAGGACTTCTAGCTTATTCCATTGTTTCTTCTTTTAAACCTTGTTGATGGTGAATAGTTTGGGAGAAACTGTTCATTTGCCAAAAAATTTCGGTTCATTAGCTTACACAGCACTCTCCCCTTGTTAACTGGATGGTCCTGCCTTCAATTGAGGGAGATAGATGAATGTACGAGGGTCCCTGGTTGGCCTAATCATGGCTTTGTTTGGATTTTTTTTTAAGGGACCAACTTCTAGAGCAAGGCCTACACTTTACTGCTTCAAAACCAAGATATTTAGGTCAGGCTAAGATATTTTTAGTTAACTGTGGGCACTTTTGACTGTTGATTTGGGGTACTGCGTGTATCAAGTAAACAATTCCCTGTGCACATGCATGTGGTGGTGGTGGAGTATTTTCGTAGTCCTGATTTCTTTCCATTTGTCAGTTAACTGCTTTTTAAAAGTTTATTCTGGTCATATGGGGGTGTAAGTTATTAGGAGAGTAAAAACAGGTAGCTCTTCAGGTGTTTCTTGTCCATGGGGTGGAGTCCATGCAGTGACTGGAGAAGGTGCTAGTTTGCGTCTTTTTAATTGTCTTAGAGAGCTGAGAGATATATGTTAACTCTGAGAAGAAAGACTGATCAGCTTCTAAGAGAGCTAATTTGAAGCTGCTGGCCTTCTGTAGACAGCACCTTGGGTTTAATTGCATTGTGGTTACTAGTGATTATGATAAATAGTACATAGTCACTGGATTTTAAAATTGGCCATATAGTTGTAGTTTTATATTTATTTTTATTTTTGAAATGGAGTCTCACTCTGTTGCCCAGGCTGGAGTGCAGTGGCGCGATCTCAGCTCACTGCACCGTCTGCCTCCTGGGTTCAAGTGATTCTCCTGCCTCGGCCCCTGGAGTAGCTGGGACTACAGGCACCCACCACCATTCCTGGCTAACTTTTGTATTTTTAGTAGAGATGGGGTTTCACCGTGTTGGCCAGGCTGGTCTTGAACTCCTGACCTCAGGTGATCCGCCTGCCTTGGCCTCCCAAAGTGCTGGGATTACAAGGGTGAGCCACCACGCCCACCCATATTTGTAGTTTTAAAAGGATCCTGGCAGGGCGCGGTGGTTCATGCCTGTAATCCCAGCACTTTGGGAGGCCGAGGCGGGCGGATCACGAGGTCTGGAGACCATCCTGGCTAACACGGTGAAACCCCGTCTCTACTAAAAATACAAAAAAAATTAGCTGGGTGTGGTGGCGGGCGCCTGTAGTCCCAGCTGCTCTGGAGGCTGAGGCAGGGGAATGGCGTGAACCCGAGAGGCGGAGCTTGCCGTGAGCTGAGATCGCGCCACTGTGCTCCAGCCAGGGCAACAGAGCGAGACTCCGTCTCAAAAAAAAAAAAAAAGGATCTTAAGTATTTTGTCTGACTCTGCCATTTAGTTTATTCCTTTGTTTACCTGCCCAATGGAACTGTTTGCTTGTAACTACACATTAATATAACTAAATTTTGAACTTAATGTTACATGCCTTGCTATACATGGGGCTCTTTGGGGACATGCTCATTTGTGGGATTAAAATTTCCAAGACGGTTTGAAGTTTGTAATTACTATAAAATCCCTCATCTTTAATCTGTGGAGCTGTAGTATTAAGTGAAGGCCTTGGTATGTTCATAATTACGATAGTCATGTGACTGAAAATCAGGCACTGAAGCTGCTCGTTCTGGGTGTTGGTCTCAGTTTATTGATGCTTCATCCAAATACATTTTTATAGCTAATAATAAAGAAAAACATCAAATACTCTTGCTAAATTGCAATCAGTATGCAGTTTATGCCAAACTTAGCTTGATTTTATTTTTTGAAGAGGATGAGTATGTATATTTAAGCATATGTGTGTGTGTGTATATGTATATATACTTGTGTATACGTATATACGTGTATACGTATATATATGTGTACATATACGTGTATACGTATATATATGTGTACATATACGTGTGTGTATGTGTGTGTGTATATATATATATTTTTTTTTTTTTCTCTTTTGAGACTGAGTCTCACTCTGTCGTCCGGGCCAGAGTGCAGTAGCGCCATCTCGGCTCACTGCAACCGCCGCCTCCTAGTTCAAGTGATTCTTGTGCCTCGGCCTCTGGAGTAGTTGGGAGTACCAGCATGCGCCACTGTGCTCAGCTAATTTTTGTATTTTTAGTAGAGACGGGGTTTCACCATGTTGGTCAGGCTGTTCTCGAACTCCTGGCCTTGTGATCTGCCCCCCTTGGCCTCTGAAAGTGTTGAGATTGCAGGTGAGAGCCACTATGTCTGGCCATATTTAAGCATATTTATGATAGTATCTTAAATTTAAGTGAAGGGAAAGAGGAAAACATACACAGCCAATGAAGTAAGTTTGAAGTGGAGTGAAAGGAAAAGTTGGAGGTAAAAAGAGGTTAGAGAGGTGGGCAGGGGCCAAATCATATAGGGCCTTTAGGACATGGGAAATTCTTTGGATTTGTTCTGAGATTAGAAGTCATTTAGATATTCTTTAGAAAGGGAATGACATGATCTGATATTAAAAAAAAAACTAGAATCACTGTGAGTAGGAGTAGATCTAATTCCATTCTGACTAAATAGTAAACTAATATGATAATTTGGACAAATATAAAAAGGAATTCCTGGCTGGGAGCAGTGGCTGATGCCTGTAATCCCAGCACTTTGGAAGTGCTGGGCAGGTGGATCACTTGAGGTCAGGAGTTTGAGACCAGCCTGGCCACATGGTGAAACCCTGTCTCTACTAAAAATACAAAACATTAGCTGGGCGTGGCAGCAGGCGCCTATAATCCCGGCTATTCAGGAGGCTGAGATAGGAGAATCACTTTAACCTGGGAGGCGGAGGTTGCTGTGAGCAGAGATCGAGCCATTGCACTCCAGCCTGGGAGACGGTGCAAGACTCAAAAAAAAAAAAAAAAAAAAAAAAACGGAAAGGATTTCATAATATTAATTTCCTTGACTTAGTGACTTCTGCCTATTTTATTTGAAGTCATTGGTTCTTCTCTTCTCTTCTCTTGAGACAGGGTCTCACTGTCACCCAGGCTGGAGTGCAGTGAGTGATCTTTGTTCACTTCAACCTTTGTTTCCCAGGTTCAAGCGATTCTCGTGCCTCAGTCTCTAGAGTAGCTGGGACTACAGGTGTGTGTGTGTGACCATGCCCGACTAATTTTTGTATTTTTAGTAAAGACGGGATCTCACCATGTTGGCCAGGATGGCCTTGATCTCTTGACCTCGTGACCCCGTGACCCACCCACCTTGGCCTCCCAAGGTGTTGGGATTACAAGCATGAGCCACTAAGGATTTGTTTTTAAAATTTTTTTGCTTTATTTTTTTCTTCTCTTTTTTTGTACTAGAGATGGTGTCTTGCTATGTTGCCCAGACAGATCTTGTACTCCTGGGCTCAAGTTGTCCTCCTGCCTCAGCCTCCCAAAGTGCTGGGATTAAAGATGTGAGTCAAGCGATTCTCGTGCCTCAACCTACCCACTAGCTCGATTACAGGTGCCATCCACCACCTGCCCACCACCCTTGGCTAATTTTTGTATTTTGTATTTTAGTAGAGACAAGAATTTTACCATGTCGGCCAGGCTGGTCTCAAATTCCTGACCTCAGGCAATCCACCCGCCTCAGCTTCCTGCTGGGATTACGGGCGTGAGCTACCCTGGCCAAGATTTTTAATTTCTGAAGCTTATAGCTGCTCTAAAGCACAAGGATTCAGTCCCATGATTTAAAAAAGTTGCTTGTTTTGACTTCAAGTATATGGTTGAGCATTCTAACTTTTGTTATGTATACATTTTTATTTTACTGTATTCTTCTAGCCATTGTATCCTAGTCTGTATGTTGCAGATGAGTTGTGATTCTCTGGTGTCTCTTCCATGGACCTAGAGATCATATGCTCTACTACTGGGATTTTTTTTTGTAACTTTGTTTGGGATATAGGCTTTGAGAGGTTAAGGAAGTAAATTTAAGATGGATATTTAATGTTGTAACACTTTGTTAATGCTTTTTTCTACAAGATAATTTTATTATGTGATATGGCAGCTTTGTTGGAAATACCTGTTTTTTTGTGTGTGTGGAAAATTTCTTTTCTGGATGAAATCTCTTGTTTAACTTTTCCAGTTATTCATAATGAAGCTCTGTTTATCTTTTGAAGATCTTAAGTTCAGAAACAGAAGGCAGGCTGCGTATGGTGGCTCATGCCAGTTATCCCAGCACTTTGGGAGGCCGAGGTGGGTGGGTCACCTGAGGTCAGGAGTTCGAAACCAGTCTGACCAACATGGTGAAACCCCATCTCTACTAAAAATACAAAAATCAGCCGAGTGTATTAGTGAGTGCCTGTAATCCCAGCTACTCGGAAGGCTGAAGCAGGAGAATCCCTCGAACTTGAGAGGCGCAGGTTGCAGTGAGCCAAGATTGCTGCACTCCAGCCCGGGCAACAGAGCGAAACTCCGTCTCAAACATACACACAAAAAAAAGAAGGAAAGAAAAGGCAGTAGAGTATCTTATTTAAGAGCATGGATTCTGGAGAGAAACTGACAGTTAAATACTAGCTCTGACACTTGATGGCTTGAGACCCTTGGCAGTAGTATGTCTCCTTTGTAATTCAGTTTTTTTCTTCTGTAGAAAGGGAATGGTAAGGAAGCGCCATGAGATTTCAGTGAGAGAGAAGCACTTACCTCAAGTGCCAGACATGTAGCCCTTCAACTAACTTATTTTATTTATTTATTTTTTGAGATGGAGTTTTGCTCTTGTTGCCCAGGCTGGAGTGCAATGGCGTGATCCCAGCTCACTGCAACCTCCACCTCCTGGATTCAAGTGATTCTCCTGCCTCAGCCTCCCCATTAGTTGGGGTTTACAGGCATGTCACCATGCCCAGCTAATTTTTTTTTTTTTTTTTTTTTTTTTGAGACACAGTCTCGCTCTGTCACCCAGGCTGGAGTGCAGTGGCGCGATCTCGGCTCACTGCAACCTCCGCCCTCCGAGTTCAAGCAGTTCTCCTTCCTCAGCCTCCTGAGTAGCTGAGACTACAGGTGCCCGCCACCACGCCCGGCTAGGTGTTTTTTTTTTTTGTATTTTTAGTAGAGACAGGGTTTTACCGTGTTAGCCAGGATGGTCCCGATCTCCTGACCTCAGGTGATCTGCCTGCCTCCGCCTCCCAAAGTGTTGGGATTATAGGTGTGAGCCACCGCGCCTGGCCTACTTTTTTTATTATTTTTTTTTTTGGAGACAAGAGTCTCGCTCTGTCGCCCAGGCTGGAGTGCAGTGGCGTGATCTCGGCTCACTGCAAACTCTGCCTCCCGGGTTCATGCGGTTCTCCTGCCTTAGCCTCCCAGGTAAACTGGGACTACAGGTGCATGCTGCCACGCCTGGCTAATTTTTTTTTTTTTTTGTATTTTAGTAGAGACGGGGTTTAACCATGTTGCCCAGGCTGGTCTCCATCTCCTGAGCTCAGGCAATCTGCCTGCCTTGGCCTCCCAAAGTGCTAGGATTACAGCCGTGAGCCACCGTGCCTGGCCTTCTGGCCTTTTTTTTTTTTTTTTTTTTTTTTTTTGAGACGGAGTCTTGCTCTGTTGTCTAAGCTGGAGTGTAGTGGCACAATCTCGGCTCACTGCAATCTCTGCCTACCAGGGTGCAAGCGATTCTCCTGCCTCAGCCTCCCAAGTAGCTGGGACTACAGGTGCGTGCCACCATGCCCGGCTAATTTTGTGTGTGTGTGTGTGTGTGTGTGTTTTACTAGAGACGGGGTTTTACTTTGTTGGCCAGGCTGGTCTTGAACTCCTGACCTTGTGATCCACCTGCCTTGGCTTCCCAAAGTACTGGGATTACGGGTGTGAGCCACTGCGCCTGGCTTTTTTTTGGAGAGATAAGGTCTTGTTTTGTCATCTAGGCTGGAGTGCAGTGGCACAGTCATAGCTCATGGTGGCCTCCAACTTTTGGTGTCAAGGTATCCTTACGCCTCGTCCTCCCTAGTAGCTGGGACTACAGGTGTATGTGCCACTGCGCCCAGCTAATATTTTTACATTTTGTAGAGATGGAGTCTTGCTGTCTTGCCCAGGTTGGGTCTCAGACTCCTGGGCTCAAACAGTCCTCCCACCTCAGACTCCCAAAGTGCTGCAAGTACGGGCATGAGCCACTGAGTCCAGCTATCTTCAACTTTCACTATTCAGGTTACAGTTTGTAGTACCTTTTTTCGGGGGTGGTGGGAGGGTAGTGGGAGTAGCAC